>NC_000007.14:47512969-47815999 GCF_000001405.40 Homo sapiens | reverse complement strand
GCCTTTAATACCCTCTCTCAGATGACCACGGGCTCCACCCTCACCTTCAGGTCTTTGCTAGACATCACCACCTACTGAAGCTTCCATGGCTGCTTGAACATCTGCTTACCCCACCACTTGCCTGTCTTTCCTGCTTTTTTTTTTTCCTCCTTCATATTTGTCACAACATAGTATATGTTTGCTTATTTGTCTTATTTGTTGCCTGTTTCCCCATAGGAGGGCAGAGAATTGATTTTCTGTTTCCCAGTGCCTAGAAGAGTGCCTGACACCTAGTAGTTGCATAGTAATGTTTGTTGAGTGACTGATGGAGTGAGCAAATGAACAAGTGCTTCACCCGCCATTCTCTCTTATCTCCTGCTACTAAGGAGCAAAGTGAGTTCCAGGGTTTCATGCTTCACGCTGCAAGCAGCTTGAGTTTAATTCCTGCAGAGTACCTGAAATCTGAATGAGAGAAAAATTGGCAAGAAAACATGCTTTTGTTCTCACGTTTCATTGTTCTTGTTGATGCAGAAGCAACTTTTTATTTTTGTTCTTGCATTAAGAAATGCCAGAAACTGCTTGGGTGGCCTGAGAAACATCGCTGACTGGTGGGACTGGAGTCTGACCACACTTCTGGATGGCCTGTACCCGGGAGGCACCCCGTCAGCCCGTGTGCCGGGGGCTCAGGTGAGCTTTCCGTCTCCTCTTCATAGGAGATCATCTCAGAAAAGCTATCTTGCAGTGGGTGAAACAGTCACTAATGCTGAACTGCAGCACTGCATAGGTTCTTGAATGACCATGCAGGTGTAAGGCCGGTGGCTCTCCAGTGGGTCCCAGCAGAGCATCCTGTTCCTTTCCTGCCAGAACCCATTGGCCCCATCCCATTACACCCTGCTGAGCTGCACGGGATTCTCCAGATTCCTGTGCTTCCCAGGCCTGAGATAGACACAAGGGCTATGGCAGAGCCTCAGGAGCCCTCAGGCTGATGGGGTGGGAGGTCAGGAAATGGAAGATTCTAGTTCCGTGTGCAAAATACCCTGACAAGGAAACACAAGAACCACCCCAAAACAGAGGAAGTGCAAGGAAGCTTCCAGAAAGAGGTGAGGTTGATCCCAAGTTCGGAAGAAAAAGTTAATATGCATTTTGCATAATCCCATTCCTTGCTCAGCTTTTATTTTCAACCCCTTTCCCATGTTTAAAAATGAAATATCCTGGGCGCGGTGGCTCACACCTGTAATCCCAGCACTTTGGGAAGCTGAGGCAGGTGGATCACGAGGTCAGGAGTTCGAGACCAGCCTGGCCAACATGGGGAAACCCTGTCTCTACTAAAAATACAAAAGTTAGCTGTGTGTGGTGGCGCGTGCCTATAATCCCAGCTACTTGCAAGGCTGAGGCAGAATTGCTTGAACCTGAGAGGTGGAGGTTGAAGTGAGCCAAGATCATGCCACTGCACTCCAGACTAAAAATACAAAAATTAGCCGCGCGTGGTGGCACATGCCTGTAATCCTAGCTACTTGGGAGGCTGAGGCAGGAGAATTGCTTGAACCCGGTGGGTGGAGATTGCAGTGAGCTCAGGTCACACCACTGCACTCCAGCCTGGGCAACAGAGCTATTCTCTGTCTTTAAATTTAAAAAAGAGAAATATATTTGTCCATATTCCTTGAGCAGTTTATTTATAATTTTATTTTGTTGTATTCTATATAGTCTCTTGGGTTGATGACACTGGAGAAACTTTCAAAAAAGATAAAAGAGAGCATTCTCATGTGACGAAAGTTACGAACACCATTTGAACGTTAACCCTTTTCCAGGACAAGTCTGGGGAGGTTGTTGCTGCCTTCTTAGAATGTTGGTTGTATCCCTAAAATGGTATTGGAAGGAAAATAAAACTCTGACCTCTATGGTAGCAGGTGGAGTTACCCAGAGCCCCACGCCTTTTGAGCACGCTTGATGAGGAGGTTTGAAGTCCACAGCACACCCAGTCCTCATCATCTTTTTTCTCCTTTCAGCCTGGAGCTCTTGGAGGAAAATGCTACCTAATAGGCAGTTCCGTAATTAGGCAGCTAAAAGTTTTTCCTAGGCATTTATGCAAGGTAAGATGTTCCTTTTCCTTTTGCTTCCAAGAATAAATGGAATTAGAGAAGTCTAGGCAACATTGGGGCAGGACCCTGGCAGATCATTTGAACTTCTCTGTGAGTTCAGTGGTAATTGGAATTGTCAGTGCCGGGGCTGGGGAGAGGGCGAGCCTCGCCCTTCCTTCCTTCCCCTTTATGAACACTTTCCCAAAGCCTCTTTCTTCCTTGACGTTCTGCTGCAGGTTTCTTCAATTCACTCTTTGGCCTTAGAGACTGGCATTCTAGGCAAAACTAGGATTTTTAATCAAACAATCTAAAAATAGAATATTCACATATCTTTTTCTAATGGGGAGGGTATGCCCTGAGACAGGCATTTTACCTGGCATCTCATGATGGGGAAGTCTTCAAGTGGTCTAAGCCTTAGAACCATACACAGCTCAGATGCCAACCTTCTGTGGGTAGAACCTTGATCCTGTAGCTTGAGCTAGAGTCTGTAGACCACGAAACAGGCTGCAGAACGATCCTATGAGGAGAGAAGGGTGCCATGTTGCAGGACAGAGCAGGTGTTCACATGTGGCCAGGCCTGGAGACCCCGGATTGCAGGGTAGCCTTGGGAATAGTATCTGTGTCTTCTGACTGCTGGTTTGTTCTGCAGCCTCCCAGGCCATTTTCAGCACTCATCGAAGACTCTATTCCTACATGTAGTCCCGAAGTTGGAGGCCCTGAGAACCCCTACCTGATAGACCCAGAGAACCAAAACGTGACCCTGAATGGTCCTGGGGGCTGTGGGACAAGGGAGGACTGTGTGCTCAGCCTGGGCAGAACAAGGTCAGTGAGATTCGAAGGGCCGGGGCTCATCCTGCCTGCCACCGCCACTCCAGCTCTGGTGCCTGCTGGACGCAGCGCATCTGCAGCAGGTGCAGCCTCCTGACAGGCCTGCGAGGTCAGCGCACCACTGCCAGGGGCTCCAGCCAGACTTGTCATTGTTGTGAATGATAGAAGCATCACACAGGCTCAGGCCTCCACGTGGGAGAGCACAGAGCAAACGTTCTTTCAAAAAGTGGTTGCTAGAACATCTGTAGCTCATGGAATATAAGGAGCATTTGTTGCATGCTGACCTTGTGCCAAGCTGGGTGTTTACTGTCTCATTTAATCCTCACCTAGCTCTGTGGAATAGGCCCTGTGCTACTTTTCCCATGTCCTGAGGGTGAGGGGTGGAGGTTCAAGTGCGTAACAAGCACGACCCCATGTTGCAGCTAGGTCTGAGGTCAGGCCGCCTGCCCCATCCAGCCAGTCACACTGTTGTCCACAGCCACCCGTGGCTCCCCAAGCAGCATGCACCTCACACTGGGTTGGAGCTGTGCTGACCCAGTGGTAACACGGATGGTCTTAGAGCAACGGGGAGGTCTAGACAGTTACAATAATGTGAGCCTTTGAGTAATACTCTTTAAAAAGGAAATGATTTAATTGTTACTAAATACGAGTTAGTATTTAGTAACTGCCTTCTCCCAGCTTGTTTGTTCCAAACAGTGGGGTCTCTAGAAAAAAAAAGAACAATGAATATTCTAGAGTCCCTGGGGAGAGAGAGTGGACATCTCTGCCTCACATGGGTTGGGGTGGGAAATGGAGGCCTCCGTTCTCCAGGTCCCTCCTGCCTGAGGGTCCCCTGGGCTGCTGCAGGGAAGAGGGTGGGGCAAGGAGAGAGGACAGAGGGCTATTGATGAGGTCTCTTAGATACAGAGGGCCATCTGTCCTGCCCCTTGAAGCCCAGGCACTGTGTGTCCTTGCAAAGTCTAGCATAGGGTGTTCCCAGCATGGGACCTGCAGCTGGGAGCCTCAGTAGACTTCTGTGCCTTTCTCCCTGCCCTGCCCTACCCCAGTGTGTGCTGTTTTACAGGACTGAAGCCCACACAGCCCTGTCCCGACTCAGGGCCAGCATGTGGATTGACCGCAGCACCAGGGCTGTGTCTGTGCACTTCACTCTCTATAACCCTCCAACCCAACTCTTCACCAGCGTGTCCCTGAGAGTGGAGATCCTCCCTACGGGGAGTCTCGTCCCCTCATCCCTGGTGGAGTCATTCAGCATCTTCCGCAGCGACTCAGCCCTGCAGTACCACCTCATGCTTCCCCAGGTGAGCTGACCTGCCTCTTGGGCCTCCTGGAGGTGCACAGGAAGATGGGGCTTCACCTGGGCTGGGCTTCTCCACCAGACAGGACTAGTTCCCTACCCATTCACCTGCCCCTCCGGTCACACTCTTTGTCACATCCCCTTCTTGCAGCAAGCATCACACTAAGGGTTGGGGCATGAGACGAAGAAGACCCCCAGTGGGGAAACCAATCTTCACATGTGTGGCAAGGGCAAATATAGAGCTGTCTTGAGGTACCAAATTCATCACGGGGGAATTGGGCCTGATGTTTAGATCCCCCCAGGGATTTAGCTCAGGCTGCTGTAACAGAATAGCCTACACTGGGTGCTTTAAAAAGAGACATTTATGGCCAGGCGCGGTGGCTTATGCCTGTAATCTCAGCACTTTGGGAGGCCGAGGTGGGCGGATCACAAGGTCAGGAGTTCAACACCGGCCTGGCCAACATGGTGAAAACCCATCTCTACTGAAAAAATACAAAAATTAGCCGGGCATGGTGGCATGCACCTGTAATCCCAACTACTTGGGAGGCTGAAGGCGGGAGAATTTCTTGAACCTGGGAGGCGGAGGTTGCAGTGAGCTGAGATTGCGCCACTGCACTCCAGCCTGGGCAACAGAGCAAGACTCCGTCTAAAAAAAAAAAAAAAAAAGAAGGAGACATTTACTTCCCACACTCCCAGAGGCTGGAATTCCATGATCAAGATCAAGCCTGGTGAGGTTCTGGCGAGGTCTCTAGTCCTGGGAGATGGCCGCCTTCTCACGGTGTGCTCACAGAACCTCTTCTTTGTGGGTATACACAGGGAAAGAGAGCAAGAGAGAGCTGTCTAGAGTCTCTTTGTGTAAGGACACTAATCCTATAGGACCAGAGCCCCAGTTAACCTTGATTACTTCCTTAGGAGCCCCATCCCCACATATATCCACACTAGGAGTTAGGGCTTCCACCTGTGAATTCAAGGGAACACAAATCTTCAGTCCACAGTACCCAGGGTCTTGGTGAGATGGAATATGTCCACATAGCTTCACTGAACAATCCAAAACACCAGAAGTCACTCTGAGTTATTCCTTGGGAACTTTCCTGATTTTCTGCCTGTAGTTGACTTTTCTGCTATGAAGAACTAAGTCCTGCTGACTCTTCAGGTCAAGGTTACTTTGCTTTAGCAGTGAAGAGAGGGGAGTCCCAAGAGGTTTTAGACTCTAGGGACTGTTCAGTGACCCGGTAAAGGCTGAGATTTGTGTAGAGCTCAGCTCGCGCTGGTGTGGGCGCAATGGAGGGTGGGAGCATGGGCCACTGGTCAGGGTCTGCCTGGGGGAGACACATAAAGTACTTACCTTGGGCATCAAATTTAAGGGGCACCACAAATACTTGGTAATCAAGGTGAACAGTATTCTGGTGCAATATTTATAAACATCAGAATTCATATCAAAAAATCATATTGGACAAAATATGGAAATTGTAAGCAATGGCAGGATCAGTTTTCCTGATAGTTTCTTTGCCTCAGGCTCCAATAAGGCTCAGCACAGCACTGCTGTTAAACACCTTGCAGCACCCAAAAGTGAACCCTGCTTTGATTATGTGTGTAGCTCCTTACAGCGGGCCAATGGGACACAATGCACATAACTCCAACAGAGGACAGAGAAGATGCATAAAGCCCTGCTGATGTGCTTCAGTTCCTTGCAAATCCATAACTAAATTTGAGTTTGGGTTAGTGATTAAAGGCATGAATCAACAGGTAACTCACCACTGGAGAGAGAATCACATAGAGAACTTTAAGAAAGTGCTTATAAGGGAGCTTTAGAAGACTTTACTTGGCTGAGAAAACTAGTATATATATGTATATATAGTTCATATGTTATCTATTTCACATGTACACAGAAACTCACTCTTTTGAGCAGTGCCAAGGAAGGACTGGAGGATCAGCATGGAGGTCGGGAGGCCTGGTGGCCGTAGATGCCCATACTCCGTGCTTTCCCTGAGTGCAGAGACCATCTTGGGTTCTAACCCCTGGCATGGAGTTTCTGTGAGTGCTTGACTTGTGGAGAGGCACCAAACACCCCAAGTGCCTACTGAAGAGCAAGTTTAGGATTAAACCTCTGCAGAACAGGAAATGGGCTTGCATCCTAGCTACTCAAAGGTGATTGGCAGGGGAGCTGGTCACATGTTTAGACCTTCAAAAAACAATTTATCAGCATTCCTATTGATCTTGTTTGTTTACATTCTCTCCACCAGCTGGTCTTCCTGGCACTCAGCCTGATCCACCTCTGTGTTCAACTCTACCGTATGATGGACAAGGGCGTCCTCAGCTACTGGCGAAAGCCAAGGAACTGGCTGGAGGTAGCCTCTCTTGTGTCATTTTCTTTTGAAAAATAACAATAAACTGTTTATATCTTGAAAAAATAATTTAAATAAGAAATTGATTATGCACTAGCTACTGCCAACATTATTGCAGTTTTCTCCCTCTGTAGTGTTAATCTCAAAACAGCATTTGAGATCAGGTATCATTTAGTGTTGTTACAGTTACCGTCATGTACCACACGAATTTCAGCCAAGGTGGTGGTCCCATAAGATCTTATGGTGCTAAGAAATTTCTGTCACCTAATGACATCTTGATTCTGACCTTGTATGTAGGCCTAGGCTAAATATGTCTGTTTGTATCTTAGCTTTTAATAAAGAAGTTTAAAAATAAAAAATTAAAACAAAATTTTTAAAAATAGAAAAAACTTTTGGAATTAGGATATAAGGAAAATATTTTTTGTACAGCTGTACAGTGCATTTGTGTTTTAAGCTGTGTTATCATAGAGTCAAAAAGTTTAAAAAAATTAAAAGATTTTTAAGTAAAAGGGTTACAGTAAGCTAAGGTTAATTTATTACTGAAGAAAGAAAAACGTGTTTACAAATTTAGTGTAGCCTAAGTGTGCAGCATTTATAAAGTCTACATTAGCGTACAGTAATGCTCTAGGGCTTCACATTCACTCACCACTCACTCAGTGCCTCACCCAGAGCCACTTCTGGTCCTGCAAGTGCCATTCATCGTAAGTGCTGATACAGGTGGATCATTTTTTACCTTTTGTACTGTATTTTTACTGTATCTTTTCGATGCTTAGATATAGTTAGATACACCAGCACTTACCATTGTGTATGATTGCCTCAGTATTCAGTACAGGAACACGCTGCACAGGGTTGTAGCCTGGGAACAATAGGCTGTCTCATATAGCCTAGGTGTGTGGGACTGTCTATGTTTGCATAAGTGCACCCTATAATGTTCCCCCAAGGACAAAATCACCCAGCGATGCATTTCTCAGAAGGCATCCCTGTAGTTAAGTGACTCATGACTGTAACTTACAAACGCGTGTCACATGGGGTGCCAGGTAAGCCCTTCCTCAGGAGCCATCTGAGGGCCTTTCTCTTGGATGTTCCAGCTCTCCGTGGTTGGAGTGAGCCTCACCTACTATGCAGTTTCCGGCCACCTTGTTACTCTTGCTGGAGATGTCACTAACCAGTTTCACAGAGGACTTTGCCGAGCATTTATGGACCTCACCCTTATGGCATCATGGAATCAGGTACACGGTGTGCTCAGGGCCATGCAGATAGAGGCCATGCACTGTGATGCCATCCAAAAGGCAGAGGTCACACAAACTCTAGAAGGTGCGAGACAACAGATTTGTTTGATATCGAGAGATGATGCTCTGAGCTGGCAGATGGGAGTGGCCAGGACAGTGAAGGGCCTGAAGAGCTTGAGACATGCTTTGAACACTGGGGTATGTGGATTCTGCGTGGAGCAGAACTCAAGAGCCTGGAATTCCCCCAGTGCCTCCAGGGGACGCTAAGGGGCACAGGAAGCAGGTGTTGATGCAGCATGGAGGAAGGAGGCTAGCGCTGACTTGCTTAGACACACCATTTTCTCTCTTCATTCTGGCGACAGTCATAAATGCAGGCAGTATTAGCCACTCTGCAAGTGAAGACACCAAAGCTCACAGAGTATCAGGTCCCTCAATAGAGAGAAGTCTGGTTTCAAAGTCCCTGTACCTCCTTCCCCTAGGCAGCCCTTCCTGCAGGGAATGGTTCCCCACAGGGATGGGGGCTCCTACCAGGAGGACCAGGCAAATGTGCACAGATGGGCCTGGACGAGCCCTGGGGAGGGGGCTGATGAGATGGGGCAGGATCCCCCCACAACAGCATGGGACGCTGCCTTCCTGTGGTGGTGGAAGATGAGCCCACATACTCTGCCTCCTTGCCCTGCTGCCCTCAGATCTAGCCCCTCCCTAACCCCCTTGTCCTCCTTTTCCCATCTAGAGGGTGGTCAGGGCCCCAGGGCCACCCCCAGGGCTGGGTGAGTCCTATAGCAACCTAGAGAACAAGGGCCAGTTCCCCTCCATCTTCAGGCCCCTTCTCCCCAGGTCCATTCATCTGCCCCACAACCTCCCTCTCACCCCTTGGCTCCTGTCCGCTGTGTAAGGAGAACCAGGCAGGATGAGGCTCGTTTCCTCTACACTTCTGCTTCCTCCACCAGTGCCCCAGTCCCTGCCTCTTTGTTGGAGATCATTTTGTTGCAAGCAAGAGAAACTCCCTAGGCTAGAGGAAAGAAACAGGTTCTAAAGGAGCCCAAGCAGAAGATTTGGCTTTTCTCCTGAAGTGAAAGAATACATGAATCTGATGAGACAGAACACTCGCACAAGCAAGGCAAAGCAACTGTCACTCACAGATTGGCAGGGACAGCAGAAGCCTGGGCTGCATGGTGAGCCAGTGCCCCCACCTCAGGAAAGCTGACCAGGGTGGACAGAGTCCCGTCTGTGTGTGTCCCGACAGAGTCCCGTCTGTGTGTGTCCCGACAGAATCCTGTCTGTGTGTGTCCCGCTTGCACCAGTTCAGAGAGCCTGGAAAGCTGCCTGCCCTGAAGTTTCATAAGCTGGGGGAACATAACATGCTGTGCTAAAGTGTTAGAGGGCATCCTCTTCTTGGAGGAACATGACCAGAGCCCACGCTCTTCCATGTAGTTCCTCCTTATCTCCGGATATTGCATTCCTAGCACATTCAACAGTTATTGTGAGAACTATAAGCAATAAAAGGGGAAGAGCTGGGCTGGCCAAGGCCAACCAGGGACCTGTTCTGCAGGCACTTATCAGCATCTAATGAAATCTGCATTAAGCAATTATTTGGTTTACTGTCTTCCCCCACAAGGCTGGAAACTGCAGAATAGAGAATGTATCTATTTTGTTCACTACTGCTCCCCTGGTACCAATATTAGGGCCCGATGAGGACTGGCTGCTTAATTTATTGGCATCTCTCTCTGGGACAGACAGCAGGCTTCCTGGTCTACCTTTTATAGTATAGCTCTGCTAGTCAACCCGCTTCCTACTATTTGAGTTCTGGCTTACCCATGTAACTGTAGTCTTGCATGGTCCTGTGGGCTACAATGCCGACATGCCTGACACTCCCTTGCCTGTGCTTAAAGGCCCACAGATAGCGGCCAGCTTTCTGTCTCTCAGTGCACAGCTTACAAGAGCATCTGATTAGTCACTGATTGGCCAGCAGGTGTGGGCCTCAGGAATAGGGGGCAGAGTGAATGTAGGATGTTCTTTTCACCTGATGCGGACAGGGGAGGTTTTCTAGAAGCATGACTAGGGCAAACATGAATCTGGTCTACATACTGACCTGGTGACTTGCAGTAAATAGCCTCCTCCTGACTTCTGACCTTGGGAAGTGAGTTCATCCTTATATCCCTTTTCCCCACTGATGTCCTATCTTTCTCATTATGTTCCCTGCCCCTGCCAGAAAAACTTACCTGGGGAGAGCCCCTCTTCCCTGGGGATCCTTTCTAGGGCAGATGCCAATTTCCAATTCCTCAATTAGCTTCTGAGAAGAGCTGACATGTATTGAGGTTAGCTCCTGCCAGGCACTGCATAAATTCTATATAATCACGTGTATGTTGAGCTATCCAACCATCTAATGAAACAGGTACTAGTATGCCACCCATCTAGACCGAGGCTCTGAAAGGTTAAGCAACTGGCTCAAGGTCACTCACATTGATATAGGAGCTGCACTGGAATTGGCCTCTGGTCTTGGGGTCCTGGGTAACTGCATTCCTAAGCACAGAACTATAATGCAATGGAACGGCCCTCCAAGGACATGGTCCACATTGTCCTGACCCAGGAGTGCTCAAGGCAGGAACCTGTATCTCACACCATTCAGCTCTGTTGCTGTGTTGCTGTGTGTTCAGGGCCAGCTTTTCAGAAATGTGCAGTGTAGACCATGTTTGTCTTCTGAGGTGCCCTCATGTACCCGTCTCTGTTCTGGCACCTTGGCCTCTGCCCACACTACGGCTTTCCCTCCTAATTCCACTTCTGTGGGCACCTGTTGTGCTGTTTGTCAAATTATTCTCTGTAGAGACAGTTAGAGGAATTTAGCTCTAACTTCAATGTAGGCTGCATCCCAGGTGCAGGAAGAACGAGTCATCTTCAAGATAAACACAAATGACTTTCTAATGATGGAATTTAACACCCAGGATTAAAGAACTATGATTTGAGTGTGTGAAAATGAAAATGCACAGGCTTTAGAATCAGCAGACCTAAAACTCACTCCCAGCTCCTCTTTGACCATGTGCCATTGGGCAAGTTTCTTAACTTTCTTCAAGTCTTAATAAGGTAGAACTATGATACATACCTTGGGGGTTTTGCTAGGATTTGAATGTGTGTGTGTGTGTGTGTGTGTGTGTGTGTGTGTATTTGTACAGGCACATTCAAACATATCCTTGGAACAGCTTGGCACCTAGCAGATGTTCCATAAATGAAAGTCATAATAATGGCAATTACTCAGAAGGCTTTATGGCATCCCTCAATCAGATGGAGGCAAGAAAGCGGCCCTTCCACTCTGTCCACAGGAGGTTTATAGCCGTGTTGTCCAATAGTCACCACTAGCCACACATGGCTATTGAGAACTTCAAATGTGGCTAGTCCAAACTGAGATGTGCTGTGAGTGTAAAATACTCACTGGACTTCATAAACTTAGTATGAAAATTAAAAATGTGCTGGGCGTGGTGGCTCACGCCTATAATCCTAGCATTTTGGGAGGCCAAGGCTGACAGATTGCCTGAGTTCAGAAGTTCAAGACCAGCCTGAGCAACATGGTGAAATGCTGTCTCTATTAAAATGCAAAAAAAATAAAAATAATAATAATAGCCACTATGGTGGCATGTGCCTGTAGCCCCAGCTACTCGGTAGGCTGAGACAGGAGAATTGCTTGAACTCACCAGGAGGCGGAGGTTGCAGTGAGCCGAGATCCTGCCACTCAAGCCTGGGTAACAGATTGAGACTCTCTCTCAAAAAAAAAAAAAAAAAAAATTAAAAATGTAAAATATCTCAATAATTTTTATGTTGGTTACATATTGACATGATGCTATTTTTTATGATTTTACATGTACTATTTTAAACAAAATATATTATAAAACAAATTTACTCTGTTTAATTATACTTTTTAAAACATGGCTACTAGAAAATTCTACCCATAGCTTGCATTGCATTTTTCTTGGCCGGTGCTGGCTAAAGCCCCATTCATCCCCCATTCAACCATGTGCGGCCCTGCCTGCTCTGAAGGGAACCCGAGGGGTGACAGCCACTCACAGCTTCTCTAGGTTTTGGTTGTCAGAAGTCATTGTTGACTTTGTCCCAATTACTGAGGAAATAAAACAAACAGAAAACCTTGATTCATTGCCCATATAGATTTTAAACCATCCAGCTGTCATTTCTTTTCTCTTGGGCTTATAATTTTGGTGAGAGCATATGAGATCATACACCCAAAAGTACTTTCCCCATAAGCCCCTGGTAGGGAGGGGAGAAGGGAGCAGCCTTCCTAGAGGCCTTGTGAATGTGGACGAGTCCATAAGGCTGTTTGCCCCTGGGTCTGCCATGCCCCCCAGTTGTACTATGTTTGTCTGTTCACACTGTTTATCTGAGCCGTAGACTCTAGAGATATAAAGTGGAGTGCCTCCCGTATTTGCAAGGATTACGTTTTTAAAAACCTACTTGGAAAGTGTTGGTGCCCTATTCTGTACATGTATCTGGGGGAAAGGAAATAAGCATGCACT
Organism: Homo sapiens; assembly: GCF_000001405.40. Classification (NCBI taxonomy): domain Eukaryota; kingdom Metazoa; phylum Chordata; class Mammalia; order Primates; family Hominidae; genus Homo; species Homo sapiens. The sequence goes on along the minus strand of NC_000007.14, from coordinate 47,803,726 downwards.
AAATACTTCTTTGAGTCCCCTCTGTGGTGATGATTTTCTTATAGCCCAGTAGACTGAGGCGCAGACAGGGAGAACAGACGTGGGGTGGACAGAGTCCCATCTGTGTGTGCCTGCTAGACCTGCTCCATCCTGGTGTTCAAAGAAATGGCCAGGCCAGAATTCAGAGCAGGTCTTCTCAAAATGCGTTACGATTTGTATTTACCCCTAGTTCCAACTCATTCTCCTCTGCAGACATCTGCACTTGATGTCCCTCGGAGACTCATGGGTCTATATAACATCATCAAATCCAATGAACTCTTTATGCATGACTGACAGCTGTGAATATGTCTGCACCTTTCAGTGACTGGCATGGCACACTGACTGTTATGTTCTTCTGTCTCAGAGGGCTCGATGGCTCCGGGGAATCCTCTTATTCCTCTTCACATTAAAATGCGTCTATCTTCCTGGCATTCAAAACACAATGGCATCCTGCTCCTCCATGATGCGCCACTCACTCCCCAGCATCTTTGTAGCAGGGGTAAGAACTCTCCCCTTTATCAGGTGATTTCCCTTGTAAACCATTGATCTGTGTACTCGTCAGCCTTTCTCAAGGGAAAAACAAACTGCTCTCAAGGTTAAACACCGTCTAGAATTCCAGTCTTCTAATCCCTTACAGTGTGGTTTTAGATAACTGATATCAATAGTTACATAGTAAGTTATGGTCATGACAACAATAACCATGATTTAGGAAACACTTGCTCTGTACTATACCTTACAACAGCATGTTATTATTACTAATATAAGTAGTTATTATCACCTACTGAGCTTTCTCTAAGTGCCAGGAATGGCACTTTGGGCCTCTCATAGATTACTTCGTTTAACTATCACAACCAAGCTATGGACAGGCACAGTTCTTCTTAGAAGATTCTCAGGATTTCCTGTCTCAAACAACAGGGCACAGCCAAGTCTTCATCCAGGGCTAGCCCTGAAGTCTGGTCTGGAGGGTGAAGCTCCGAATCAACAGGTACAGAGTACAGCTTGGAGCCCTGATGAAGTTCCTGGGGTGCTGTTGATTCCGATCTGGTCCCAGCAGAGAAAGAGCTTTCTCCAACCTGACAGGCCCTAGTACAGCAAAGAATTGCAATCAGGGCTGAGGGAAAGTCTAGGCCAAGTGCCCTGAGTTAGGAGGCTCTGGCTGTCAGGATCCAAGCCACACAGGACACCAAGCACAGGTCTCCTGCTCCAGGGAAGGGGTTCTGCAAGCCCTATTCACCTTACACTGGAGGAACATGCTGAGCAAACCAGGGCAGAGAGAACGAACCTGAGAGTCAGAGAGAGCAGCATTTGAACCTGGCTGTCCCACACTCCAGCTCACTGTTGCGAGCACCAGCCATTTGCCCAACCTCTGCCTCCAGAAAAAGCATTAACGACATTTGCCCCGAAGGTTACTACTGGCCTTTGAGATTATATGCATGTAGAATTTATGGAGTGATTAAACTAGTCATTATTAAGACCATTTAGCAACATGCAAAACTGCTTTTTTTTTTTTTTTTTTTGAGATAGAGTCTCGCTCTGTCACCCAGGCTGGAGGGCAGTGGTGCAATCTCGGCTCACTGCAAAGCTCCGCCTCCCGGGTTCATGCCATTCTTCTGCCTCAGCCTCCCGAGTAGCTGGGACTACAGGCACACACCACCATGTGTGGCTAATTTTTTGTATTTTTAGTAGAGACGGTGTTTCACCGTGTTAGCCAGGATGGTCTCGATCTCCTGACCTCGTGATCCGCCCGCCTCGGCCTCCCAAAGTGCTGGGATTACAGGCATGAGCCACCACGCCCAGCCAAAAATGCTTTTATGTAAGGAAAAAAAAGCCCAGAATATAAATAATTTGTGTCCAAATTAAGTAGCAGAATTCTAACTGTGCAGCAAGTATAGATGCATAGGCATCAAGGGGAGACCGGGAGACCACACAGCTCAATTTGTCCAGTTGTAGACTCATAGATTGTGCTTTCTTTCTTCTGAGTTCCACTGATGTCTGATTTCACTTATGGAGTAAGTAATACTAAAACGAGTCCTAGTGCATTTGTAGGGAAGTCTTTGGGTACCTGTCCAGGCTTGTACATGAATCCAGCAAGCACCCACACAGAATGCAGCCCATGACTATAGCTGCAGCTAGGTAGGGCCTCTCTGTAGGCCCGTCCACAGTCTACACACACAGCCCCATGTGGACCTATGGGACGACCGCCTGATGGTCTGACATCCAGGCTGAAAAAATACTTGTCAGCACCAGGGCTGGTTGGAGCAGATGGAGTGAGAAGCATGAACGGAGCCAGTGATACAACCCCTCAGATCCCAGGCCAAGTTCCCAGTCTGTTACGACAACCAGGACCATGAAACTTAACCTGAACCAAATCTACATCAAAATTGGAAAGCCTTCCTGATGCTTCCTAAGTGATTTATTTTACTAAGCTCTGGCCAGGTGCGGGGGACATAAAGATCATGAGGGAGCTGCCCCCTCATGGCAACCATGGCTTCCTAAGGGGGCCAAAGGCCAGGGGAGCAGGCCGCTTGTCACCATAGGCAGAGGAGGCAGCTGAGGAGAGGAGAGGGCACTGGCAGGAAGAGCCCTTGAAAGGGAGGAGGGAGACCAGCCACAGTGTGGGAGGCTGGTGGGGTGGGAGGAGGGAGGCCTGGGAGATGGGTGAGAGGGTGACATACGCCTTTTGGGTTCAAAACCAGGGATGACATGATTGATCCACACTCCCAAAACTGCCCCTCCAAGTTTGTCTCTATTTTCAACATTTGGAAGTTGAGTCTTCCACTCCTAAGAAGAGGTGACAAGGTCAGTGCTCTCTGGATTTTCTTTCTGCAGCTGGTGGGGGCACTGATGCTGGCCGCCCTCTCCCACCTGCACCGATTTCTGCTCTCTATGTGGGTTCTACCACCTGGCACCTTCACAGACGCCTTCCCCGGGCTGCTGTTTCATTTTCCCAGAAGAAGCCAAAAAGACTGCCTCCTTGGCCTTTCCAAGTCTGACCAGCGGGCCATGGCTTGTTACTTTGGGATCCTTTTAATAGTCTCTGCCACACTGTGTTTTGGAATGGTAAGTAAACACATCCCCAACTTTCAAGTTATGGTTTGTAAAAGTTTCATTTGCTGTTGGGGTGAAACTCTGGTCCATGTGGACAGGGCCAGGCAACACAGGCCAGATCTCATGGTAATGAATCCCTGCCGTCCAGCTCACCTGCCCTGGGAGGTCAGGTCCGTCAAACACAGTTGGTTTGACTCTCCCTTACTCTAGAATAGTCCAGCACGAGAGCAGCCACCCCAGGGTGCCACTTCCTCCAGGAAGCTTCCCTGGCCCCCCTCACTCTGCACTGAATCACATCATTTCTTACTGTGAACTTCATCTGCAATCTCACACTGCCTCAGGGGTATCTGTTGCCTTTTCTCAGTCTTTCCATCTTATCAGAGTTGCACTCCCATCAGCCACCTCCACTGGACGTGTTCTCCAGGCTAGCGGCTGAAGGAGGAATGGCTCCCTGTTTCACGCCCTCCTACTGACCTGCCACTGGCAAATCTAGTCATGTCATACATGGCTTAAACTCCTTCAGTGGAAGAAGAGTCTCCCCCATGGTCTTGTCCTATTGCCTGGACTTGGGGTCAACAGATTTAGCAAATAAAACTGGAACCCAGTTACAGTTAAGTTTCAGTAAACAATGGAAAAGTTTTCAGTATTAGTAAGCCCCCTGCAGCAGTTCAGACATATTTATGTTAAAAGTTATTTGTTGTTGACCTGAAATTAAAATGTTACTGAGTGTCTTATATTTTACCCCTCCCTGCCGAGGCTCCGACCTGCTCTGCCCAGCCAGACCCAGGATTGCTATGCCCACATCACAAGGGTGGGACTCATCACTTCTATTTCCAGAAGGCCCTACAGGTGTTCCTATGGAAGGCTCAGGGTTGGGACCCCTGCTCTGTGCTTGACTAAGCCTATAGGCATGCTGTCCACACTTACTGAACATGCCTTCCCTCGGATCCCTCCACTGTGACTCGTTCAGCGTTAAGTTCTAAGACAGGGTCAATGTGGTGTTCCCTCTAGAAGCTCTCCCAGCACCGATTCTCCCCTGGACCCCCAAAGGCTCTGAGCATGCCTCCTCATTGCACCCATTGTCTTGTGCTATTGGTTTTTGTCTGCTTTTGAACTCTAGCCACATTCCTAGCAGGCATATTGGTGTGCCTGCCTTCTAGGGTAGTAGTTCCTGACACATTGTAGAGCCCACTGCAAGTTCAGTAAATTTAATATTCAAGCTTTGTAAGTGGATAAAAATTCTCTGCAGTCCTTAAAAGTCTACTGGTATTCTAGTTTAGTAGCTAGAGGGAAACTAAAAGTGATTGCTCATGTTCACACCTTGACAACACTCAGGCCCGAGTCCTTTGCTTTTATCAATGATCCTAGCTCCCTACTCTTGCTCATCCATGAATGCATAAATCCATCGATCACCCATCCACACACCTACTCACCAAACTAGTTACCTGTCCACCTATCCACCCACCCATCCATCCATCAATCCACTCATTTGTTCATTCATGCACTCACTCATTCAACAAAAAACTAAAGAATGCCCATTATATTCAGGCAATGGCGAAACAAAGATAATAACTGCTTCCTGCCTCAGGGAGCTCACAGTCCATAGGGGAAGACTGGCATATACAAATAATTGTGGCAATTTTTATATTTTGAATACAGTTTTTAAATTGGATATGTGATTTGTAAATCTGTAGCTTCTCCTTTTATTCTCTTAACAGCATCTCTACAGAGCAGAAGTTGTAAATTTTGATAAAGGCCAGTTTTTCAATGTTTTCTTTTATGGATTTTGCTGTTGGTGTCCTGGCTCAAATGAATTGCCAAACCCAAGGTCACATATTTTCTCCTATTATTTTCTTCTAGAATTTTTTTTGTTTCTTTGTTTTTGGTTTTTTTGTTTTTTTTTTTTGAGACAGAGTCTCACTCTGTCGCCCAGGCTGGAGTGCAGTGGCGTGATCTCAGATCACTGCAACCTCTGTCTCCCAGGTTCAAGTGATTCTCCTGCCTCAGTCTCCTGAGTAGCTGGGATTACAGGCGTGTGCCACCACACCCAGCTAATTTTGTATTTTTAGTAGAGACAGGGTTTCGTCATGTTGGTAAGGCTGGTCTCGAACTCCTGACCTCGTGATCCTCCCGCCTCAGCCTCCCAAAGTGCTGGGATTACAGACGTGAGCCACTGCACGTGGCCTTTCTTCTAGAATTTTTATAGTTCTATGTTTTACATTTAGGTTAATCATCTGTTTTAAGCTAATTTTAATGTAAGATGTGAGGTATGGAACAGAGTTCCTGTTTTTTATAAATGAATATCCAATTTTTCCAGCACAATTTTTTTGAAGAATATTTACTCCATTGAATTGGCTTTACAACTTTGTCAAAAAGCAATTGACTGTATCTGTGTGGATCTATATCTGGGTTCTCTATTCTACTCCATTGATCTTTCCTTTAGCCAATCCCATGAGGTCTTTTTCACTCTGTGGCAAATCTTAAAGTAGCATGGATGAGTCCTCCAGCTTTGTTCTGTTTTGACTGTAGGTGTTCTAGCTCTTTTGCCTTTCAATATGTTTTAGAATCATCTTGTTACTATCTTTTTAAAAAATCATGTTGGTGTTTTGATTGAACTTGCTGTGGAATTATAAATCAAATTTGGGGGGAATTGGCATCCTAATAATATTAAGCTTTTTTGATCCTAGAATTCTGTATTTCTCTCCATTTATTTAGATACTCTTTGATTTTTTTCATCACTGTTTTATAGTTCTCAGCATACAGATCCTACACAATGATAGGCAATTTTAAAGCCTAACTAGAAGTGTCCTCAAAGAGCAAGAAACTTAGATCAGAGACTCATTTATTCTTCCTAGGGAGACCAGGAAATCTTCATACAACAGGAGAGTGAGCCTTGATGAGCAGTTCCACTCATGGTGATGACTGCTGAGAGCAGCATTTTAGACAGGGGGCATGCAGGGAGGGCCATGCTGGAGTTCTGGGTCAAGTGGGCATTATGTTGAAAAGGATGGTTGGAGTCAGGAATGGAGGGCCTTGAATGTCGTGCTTAGGCACCTGGATGCTATCTTCTGAGACAGGCAGGCAATATTGCATTGAGGTCTCTGGGTGGAAGAGTCAGGTCTTGCTGTCTGCCATGGGTGTGTTGCTGGTAAATCCAGGAGGCCTCAGACCTACACACCAATGGCCTACCCTTTCAGGCTCCTGAGCATCTTTGCAGAGTTCTGAAATTTTGTGAGGGGTTCGAGGGATTTGGGGACCAATCAAGAACAAACATATGACCACAAGAGATGATAACACACACAAGCTTTATCTGGGTAATGTTTTGAAGTGTTTCCATGTGGGGGAACTCCCTCATACTTCATGCTATGAAACTGTCCACAGGTTTACAGCGTAGGGGCCAAGAACCATCCAAAAAGGAAGAAGAGCAAGGGCGATCTCAGGGGAGAGGGGCAGCAGAGAGAGAGCTTACCCCTTAGACGATGCTGCTTAGCAGCATGGAGGGGAGGCTCTGGGTCAGAAAGCTCCTGAAGCCAGCAGCAGCTTGGGGCCTTATAACATTATCAGTGGGTAACAGCTGTCCCCTGAGGTTTTGCAGGGTGTGTAAAGCTGACAGGCTCTAAATGGCTAAAATGTTTGTTTGGGTGTTTTTTTTTTTTTTTTTGAGACGGAGTCTTGCTCTGTCGCCCAGGCTGGAGTGCAGTGGCGCAATCTCTGCTCACTGCAAGCTCCGCCTCCCGGATTCACGCCATTCTTCTGCCTCAGCCTCCCGAGTAGCTGGGACTACAGGTGCCCACCACCACACCCAGCTAATTTTTTTTTTTTTTTTTTTTGTAATTTAGGAGAGACAGGGTTTCACCATGTTAGCCAGGATGGTTTCAATCTCCTGACCTCATGATCCGCCTGCCTTGGCCTCCCAAAGTGCTGGGATTACAGGCATGAGCCACTGCGCCCAGCCCTGTTTGGGTTATTTTTTAAACAATTGGATGTGTAAAAATTCGAGTTTGTTACCAGTAGGCTTTTGAGCTAACAGCTTACAGCCTGCAGTGAAGAAATAAACCACCTGGAGGCTTATAGAGCACATGTTGAGGGCACAACAACTTGCTGAGCCCAAGACCCTTTCTGGTCTCCCAGGCACAGGCACAGGCCTCTCTCCTGAGGCTCACCCACAGCTCAGAATGGTTCACCAGGGGACACTGAAACTGAGACACAGACTTTACATATGGGCATGCACATCGCGTTGATAATCTCAGTCTCCAAAGTTAGATACTGAAAACAACCTTTATAATACAATGAATTTCCATTGCTGAGATCATCTTACTGCCATTTAGTTCAATTCAGGAGAGGTATTTTCCTGATTTTGCTTTTTTTCACCAAGAAATCACTATTTTACCAAAAGCTCGTAAAGTAGCATCATCAGATATAATCTCCATTGCATAGTTTATCACGTTAACAAAGCTCTTTATTTAGGCTGCTAACATGAAATTTGTCTTTATTTTTTTCTTTTTCCTAGCTGAGAGGTTTTCTCATGACTTTACCCCAAAAAAGAAAATCTTTTCAAAGTAAATCTTTTGTGAGACTTAAAGATGTCACTGCTTATATGTGGGAAAAGGTCCTCACCTTTCTGAGACTGGAAACACCAAAGTTGGAAGAGGCTGAGATGGTTGAGAATCACGTAAGCTGTGAGATCTTGGATTACTGAGCATGATAGCACACACTCAAGATGATGGTTTCATTGCAGAATTTTGCTTTCAGTTATCAAAGCATGAGTATGTTTCCATGCCAAATCTCCTTGCAAAGCCACAAAATTAGTCTCAATCATAGTGGAACTCATGGAATTTTCCCGTGCAATTCTAAAACACTTTACAGATTACCAAGCACATTCTCCTGCCTTAACTCACTATATCCTTATAGTGACCTGTACAGTTGGAAAGACAGAGTTTATGGTCTTCCCCAGGACACAGACATGCTGTATTCTGTCCCCTGAGTTAGTCATTTGCTTTTGGTGCCTGCTATCAAACCCAAACTTCTATCCAAAACATAGAGCCTTAGGTGCATTACTTGAGTTCAGTCACCCCAGACATGCATGTAAACAAATCAAACCAGGCGTTTGCACACTGAATACTCACTTTCTTCATGGCTGATATATTAGTTTGTTTTCATACTGCTGATAAAGACATACCCAAAACTGGGAACAAAAAGAAGTTTAATTGGACTTACATTTCCACATGACTTGGGAGGCCTCAGGTTCATGGTGGGAGGTGAAAGGCACTTCTTACATGGTGGTGGCAAGAGAAAAATGATCCAGATGCAAAAGTGGAAACCCATTATAAATGATCAGATCTTGTGAGACTTCTTCACTATCACAAGAATAGCATGAGAAAGACCAGCCCCTATGATTCAATTACCTCCCACTAGGTCCCTCCCACAACATGTGGGAATTCTGGGAGATATAATTCTAGTTGAGATTTGAATAGGGACACAGCCAAACAATATCATTCTGCTCCTGGCCCCCTCCAAATCTCATGTCCTCACATTTCAAAACCAATTATGCCTTCCCAAAAGTCCCCCAAAGTCTTAACTCATTTTAGCATTAACCCAAAAGTCCACAGTCCAAAGTGTCATCTGAGACAAGGCAAGTCCCTTCCACCTATGAGCCTGTAAAATAAAAAATAAGTTAGTTACTTCCTAGATACAATGGGGGTACAGGGATTGGGTAAATACAACTGTTCCAAATGGGAGAAATTGGCCAAAACCAAGGGGTTACAGGCCCCATACCAGTCCAAAATCCAACAGGTCAATCAAATTTTAAAGCTCCAAAATGATCTCCTTTGATTCCAGGGCTCACATGTAGGTGATGCTGATGCCAGAGGTGGGTTCCCATGGTCTTGGGCAGCTCTGCCCCTGTAGCTTTGCAGGGTACAGCCTCCTTCCTGGCTGCTTTCATGGGCTGGCATTGAGTGTCTGTGGCTTTTCCAGGTGCACAGTGCAAGTTGTCAGAGGATCCACCATTCTGGAGTCTGGAGGATGGTGGCCCTCTTCTCACAGCTCCACTAGGTCCCTTCCACACTGCCCTAGCAGTTCTCCATAAGGGCCCCGCCCCTGCAGAAAACTTTTGCCTGGGTATCCAGGCATTTCCATACATCTTCTGAAATCTAGGCTGAGGTTCCTAAACCTCAATTCTTGACTTCTGTGCACCCATAGGCTCAATACCACATGGAAGCTGCCAAGGCTTGGGGGTTCCACTCTCTGAAGCCCCAGCCCAAGTTGTACAATGGCCCCTTTCGGCCATGGCTGGAGCAACTGGGACACAGGGCACCAAGTCTCTAGGCTGCACACAGCACGGGGAACCTGGGCCCAGTCCACTAAACCACTTATTCCTCCTTGGCATCCAGGCCTATGATGGGAGAGGCTGCTGTGAAGGTCTCTGACATGACTTGGCGACATTTTCCCCATGGCCTTGGGGATTAACATTAGGCTGCTTGCTACTTATGCAAATTTCTGCAGCTGGCTTGAACTTCTCCCCAGAAAATGAGTTTTTCTTTTCCACTGCATTGTCAGGCTGCAAATTTCTTTAACTTTTATGTTCCATTTCCCATTTAAAACGGAATGCTTTTAACAGCACCCAAGTCACCTTTTGAATGCTTTGCTGCTTAGAAATTTCTTCTGCCAGATACCCTAAAAATCATCTCTCTCAAGTTCTAAGTTCCACAAATCTCTAGGGTGGGGCAAAATGCTGCCAGTCTCTTGCTAAAACATAACAGGAGTCACCTTTGCTCCAGTTCCCAACAAGTTCCTTATCTCCATCTGAGACCACCTCAGCCTGGACTTTATTTTTCATATCACTATCAGCATTTTTGTCAGAGTCATTCCACAAGTCTCTAGGAGGTTCCAAACTTTCCCACATTTTCCTGTCTTCTTCTGAGCCCTCCAAACTGTTCCAACCTCTGCCTGTTATCAAGTTCCAAAGTCACTTTCACATTTTTGGGTATCTTTTCAGCAACACCCCACTCTACTGGTACCAATTTACTGTTTTAGTTCATTTTCAAGCTGCTGATAAAGATATAACTGAAACTGGGGACAAAAAGATATTTAATTGGACTTACAGTTCCACATGGCTGGGGAGGCCTCAGAATCATGGCGAGAGGTGAAAGGCACATCTTACGTGGCAGTGGCAAGAGAAAAATGAGCAAGATGCAAAAGCGGAAACACCTGATAAGCCATCAGATCTCATGAGATCTTATTCACTATCACAAGAATAGCACGGGAAAGACCAGCCCCCATGATTCAATTACCTCCCCCCAGGTCCCTCCCACAACACAGGAATTCTGGGAGATACAATTCAAGTTGAGATTTGAATGGGGACACAACCAAACCATATCAGGTGATATTTAAGCATCATCCAGTAAGGTTCTGAAGGCAGTCATATGTAATCACGGTACTGTACATTTTGATAGGGCTTTATTCTCTGTCATGTGCTTCCCCATCCATTATTGCCTTATTTTTTTAATAGTGCTCAATAAAGATTTATTAATCGAAGGGATGAAAGAATGACCTTATTTTCCCATAGCAGCATGATGCATTACTGCCTTTAAATCCATTCAATAGTTTTTTTTATGTAGGCATTATTAACTGTAGCATTTACATGTATATCTGTATACGTACATTATTATTGAAGCAACTGAGATATAGAGATGTAAGAGTAGGCCCAGCACCCAGGTCTTCTAACTGCAGGCAGAGTCAGTATGTTTCCTAACATAGCCCAATACTGTCTACAGATGATACCCCTAAATGCTTCACATAATGAGGAAAGGGGGATAATGAGATTCTTGAATGCATTTACTAATCTAATTTTCTTCCCTTCAGAATTACTACTTGGATGAATTTGCAAATCTGTTAGACGAACTTCTGATGAAGATTAATGGTTTGTCCGACAGCCTACAACTCCCCCTTCTGGAAAAAACATCCAACAACACAGGGGAGGCAAGGACAGAAGAGAGTCCCTTAGTGGACATTTCTAGTTACCAAGCTGCTGAGGTAAGACCATGCAAAATTATTTATGTCAATTTTCTTCATAGCAATTTAAGTTCTAAAGGAGTTTTGGAATAGTTGTTTTTCCAAATTATAAGGTCCATTTGCATAAATATTCTTTAGATATCATACTGCTGATAAGATATGCTCTGGCCAGAACTAAAGAACCACTTAAAAATTTAAAGTCCATGATGTGACTTCCAGTTGAAAATGGTAGCATAAGTATCTGTCTGCCCCTTATTTCTGATTACAACTGAAATCAACAAGGAGACTGAGAAACAGAAATGGAAACTCGATCTTCCCAGAAACAAAAAAAAACCCAGAAATCTATGGCCCAGAATGTGACCAGTAATCTCAAGAATGGATGCCAAGAACAGTAAAACTTAGACCAAAAGGAGAAAGGATGCTACCATTTCCAAGAGCACACAGAATTCTCCAAGTTAGACAGTGTATCTGGAGGAGCCAACAAAGGCCCCTGGTTTGGACGAATAGATTATAGAGCACTAAAGAGTTTAAGGAATCTCCCTGAGACCTAATGCCACAGAGTTCCTGGGACATAGGACTGAAGGACAAAACGTGCAGGAAGCCGTCTTTGTAGGAAGCTGTTTGTTGATGTGGCTGCCTAGGGGAGGAACTATTGGTGGTTCACAGACCTAGAGTCACACTACTTGCAAACTATAGAAAAATCAACACCAATAGACACACCATGTGCCAGGTACACAGTGAAAAAGAAGGATGAGTGCCATGCCCCAAAGATAAATAGCTTCCAGTGGTAACTTCCCTGAGATCCAGAGAGATACTCTGCTGGCCCAGAGCTGTCATGTTCACATGACTGAGTGGCAATGAAGGAGCTCTCTGAAGGCAGAGGAGAACATGAAGTACCTGCTATAAGCTCTCTGCCCCAGCCCTTCCCGGGCCCTAATTCACAACAACCCAGGGAAGAACACCGTTTATGAAAAGTTGAACTTCCACATGTAGAGAGGAGTAGAAATAATAAAAGCAAATAATTATTGCATCTATGCAAATCTGCTTCAGGAAAAAGCAGTATGTAAAAATGACCAAAAGTGAAGATGAAGGGTATAACTTTGAAAACAATTGCCATCAACAGGTAAAAATTGTAACCGAGATGTTCTCCACACAAAGGTTAAGTTAATGAAAAAAAAAAAAAAATGTCTCTTTGAAATGACAGTTTGAAGCCAAGATGAAAGAACTCCAAGATGAAATAAAAAGACAGTGAATTAACAGAGTTGAGGAAAGAAATGGAAAAGAAAAAAATAAAGCAAATAGATTCACAGAAAAGAGAATAAACTATATGGATGACATATTTGGGAAAATTCTGCAAGAGAAAAAAAGTTAAAATTGATTTTAGGAAAAGTAATACACATGGAAATCAGACCAGGAAGAATGTGCGTAAGACACGGAAAGGGTATCTATAATTAGTGTCTCCCCTAAAAAAGCCCAGAAAATTTGAACAGAAAAAAATATTTTAAAATATAATTTTAAAAGACTTTACTGGAAAAGAGATATACACCTATATATTTAAAAAAGAACTGTGTCCCAGGGAAGAAATGGATTCACATCTATTAAAACTAGAACATGGGTGGGTGTAGTGGCTCATGCCTATAATCCCAGCATCTGGGAGGCCAAGGCAGGAGGATCACTTGAGCCCAGGAGTTCAAGACCAGCCTGAGCAATATAGTGAAGCCCTATCTCTCCAAAGAAAAAAACAAAACCTGTGGTCCCAGTTACTCAGGAGGCTGAGACGGAAAGATTACTGGGGTCCAGGAGGTAGAAGCTGCAGTGAGGGGTGATCCAGCCTAGGTGACAGAGTGAGACCACGTCTCAAAAAAAAAAACAGAAAACAGAAAAAATAAAAATAAAAAATAAAACACACACTAATAAAGTCGCTGGACTTAAAAAAAGATAATCCTACTGACACCTAGATACCTCCTACCCCTGAAAATCAAGTCATCTCCAAGTGAGTTAAAATTATTTAAGTTATGGCCCGGTGCGGTGACTCACGCCTGTAATCCCAGCACTTTGGGAGGCCGAGGTGGGCGGATCACGAGGTCAGGAGATCAAGACCATCCTGGCTAACACAGTGAAACCCTGTCTCTACTAAAAATACAAAAAAATTAGCCGAGTATGGTGGCGGGCGCCTGTAGTCCCAGCTACTCGGGAGGCTGAGGCAGGAGAATAGCGTGAACCCAGGAGGTAGAGCTTGCAGTGAGCCGAGATTGTGCCACTGCACCTCCAGCCTGGGTGACAGAATGAGACTCCATCTCAAAAAAAAAAAAATTATTTATTTAGCAATTATTATTATTGTTTTAATCATAAAAAACTGTTTAAATGTGCATATGAAAATTGGGCAAATGATAGGAAAAACATAATTTTTAAGAAAAGAAAATATAATGACCAATTTTGTAAAAAATAAAATAAAATTGGGTCAGGCGCAGTGGCTCACGCCCGTAATCATAGCACTTCGGGAGGCCTAGGTGGGCGGATCACAAGGTCAGGAGATCGAGACCATCCTGGCTAACACAGTGAAACTCCGTCTCTACTAAAAATACAAAAAAATTAGCTGGGCGTCATGGCACGCGGCTGTAGTCCCAGCTACTCGGGAGGCTGAGGCAAGAGAATTGCTTGAACCTGGGAGGCAGAGGTTGCGGTGAGCCGAGATCACACCACTGCACTCCAGCCTGGGCAACAGAGTGAGACTCTGCCTCAAAAATAAATAATAAATAAAATAAAATAGAGGATTTATACAGAGGAGAAAAAATGGATAGTATTTACTATATTTGTAACATAAAAATGAAAGAATTTAATTGAAAATTTTAGAAGAAAGATAATTGTATGTATTTATATTTAAACCATAAGGTATATATTGTTATTTTTGAATGATGGGATTAAAACAAAGGACAATATATACTGCTAATTAGTGCTTAGCAGAAAGCACTGACAGACGAAATCCCATGGTATATAAAGTGGAGCAACAACAAATAAAAGTAAACTAAGTGTGTGTTCAGCTCAAATAGGAAAAATTCACAACACACACAAATATACACACAGACACACACACTAAGCAAAACAGAAGGAAAGAAGTTGAAAGAATGAAAGTATAATTTAATGAAATCAACAGCAAAATGAAGTAATCCAAGAGATGAATCTTTTTACGAACAATTAAATTGACAAATTATTGGCTAATGTATCTAAATATGATGAACAAAGTGAGTACAATTCATATACAAAATAAAAATGAGAAACAGAAAATAACCTTTAGGAAATTAAATAAATTATAAAATTTTGGAAGGAGAGAACAGTTATCATTGTTTATTATGCAACAAACTGACTTGAGTAGAGACAGAAATCTGAAACAGTATTTGAAGTTCTATCCCTCCAAAAGCACCAGTCCCAGATGGTTTCACAGAGAAAATACACCAAACTATTAAGAAGCATGTAAGTCCAGAACGACCTTCAAACTGTGCCACAGCAGAGACAGAAGAAAAGCTTCCGAATGTGTTTTTATGAAACAAGCAATTTATTGATCTAAAAACTGGACAAAAATATTCCAAATTAAAAATAAAACTACATGTCAGTCTTATTGATTTTTGATACCAAAAATCTAAATAAAACATTAACAAATAGAATCCAGCAGCAGATTAAGAAAATTATATCCCATGATCATATGAGTATTAAATCAGGATACAAATGTTTTAATATTAAAAATTTATTAATAGGCCAAGCACGGTGGCTTACACCTGAAATCCCAGCACTTCGGGAGGCCAAGGTGGGCGGATCATGAGGTCAGGAGATCGAGACCATCCTGGCTCACACGGTGAAAACCCATCTCTACTAAAAATACAAAACAAATTAGCCGGGTGTGGTGGCGGGCACCTGTATTCCCAGCTACTTGGAAGGCTGAGGCAGGAGAATGGCTTGAACCTGGGAGGCGGAGATTGCTGTGAGCCGAGATTGCACCACTGCACTCCAGCCTAGGCAACAGAAAGAAACTCCATCTCAAAAAAAAAATTAAAATTAAAATTAAAAAAAAAAAATATATATATATATATAACTGGGCTGGGTGTGGTGGCTCACACCTGTAATCCCAGCACTTTGGGAGGCCAAGGCAGGTGGATCACTTGAGGCCAGGAGTTTGAGACCAGCCTGGCCAACAAAAATTAACCCGGCATGGTGCACACCTGTAATCCCCACTACTCAGGAGGCTGAGGCACGAGAATCTCTTGAACCTGGAAGGTGGAGGTTGCAGTGAGCAGAGATCGCACCACTGCATTTCCAGCCTGGGCAATAGAATAAATAAAATAAAAATATATGAATAAAATAAAAATAAATGAAATAATAAATAAAAAAAGAATATATTAATAACCTTCACCAAACAGGGAGGAAGCTATCATTTTATTTTTTCCATGGCTGCATTTGATAAAATTCAACATTCATTCCTAAGTATTAAAACATATTCTTAATAAAAATGAAATCGATATTTTTAAAAAAAATAGGAATATAGCTCAAGTTAAATGTCAGTATTATATTTAATAATACAACATCAGAGCCTTTACTACTAAGGTTAAGGACAAAAAGATTGTCAGTTCAAAAGTCCTACAACAGGCCGGACACAGTGGCTCCCGCCTACAATACAAGCACTTTAGGAGTCCGAGGCTAGAGGATCACTTGAGCCCAGGAGTTCGCGACCAGTCTGGGCAACATGATGAGATCTTGTCTGTACAAAAAATACAAAATTAGCCAGGTGTGGTGGCACACACCTCTAGTCCCAGCTACTTGGAAGGCTGAGGTGGGAGGATCACTTGAGCTCAGGAGGTCAAGGCTGCAGTGAGCCATGATTATGCCACTGCACTCCAGCCTGGGAAACAGAGTGAAAACCTGTCTCAAAAAGCAAATGAAAACAAAGTCCCACCACAGCATTTTAAAGGCGTATGGCTCATCTCTTTCCTTTAAACCCGCTTAATTTGTTTATATATTTTATAGCTCATATAACTAGCAAGAACTTTAAATTTATAATATGGTTGAGCAGTCCTTTATATACACAACACACACTATTGTGAGTCCTTATACAGTTACAACACATAGTAATCTATACTAATTTCCTATGGCTGAGAAAAGAATTTCCCTCAAATGATGGTGGAGGCTTGTAGGTGCTGTCTTTGCCCTTATGACTTACTTTTCTTGTGTATGAGTGGGACGTTTTCAGCAACAATGCAATCATAACTTTGGTTTCATTCCACAGGAAAACACAACGCTTTCTGGACTATCACTTTATGAGGTATTTATCAAAAGTATGTTTGGCAAAAAGTTAATGCTGCCAAGGGTGGGTCTCTCTCACCTGGCTCCCAGGTGGGTTTCTGCCTGCAGAACTCAAGTTTCTGCAACATGAGTTTAGCTGGCCTCCCTGGGAAAGAACCAGGAATGTCATTGGTCTTGGAATAGGCCAAGCAAGCTGGACTTTACAGAACAGACCCTTTTTTGTGTGAGGGGATCTGAGGAAACAATTCGTTTGAATTTCCTAACTTCAAGGCATTTATTTGTTTCTTCATCTTAACCATTAATAATTAAGATTTGTATCTTTATAAACTAGAAGGATTGGATGCCTGGAGCTATCAATAACCACCTACAAATCATATTGTTCTTTGTATTTTTAAAGTGACTCATGGCAACAAAATGCGGTGAGTTGCCAGCCCCCACCTTCTCCCCCTTGCCAGCTCGGCCCCCTTAACGGTTCTTGGCACTCTGTGGCCTCTCAGCTATGTAGCCTTGGACCCCGAAGAGACCTCCCAGCCGGGGGCTGCTGCTGATTGGGCAGAAGGACCTCCGAGCTCTTGCCCTGCTCCTTGCTCGGGCCTCTTCTCTACTGCGATGACTCACCACTTTGCAGGAGCTGGCTAGGCCACTAGTCAGTGGATGCAATTTAGAGATGTCAGAAGGGTTTTTCCTCCACATATTTTCCTCTTGATTTGCTTTTGTGAATACCATTGCGTAAGGCAGGAACATCCAGAGGGGAGCGCCTGACCTCAGGGCACAGAGTCTCTCCTAGAGGATTTTTGCCTTTATTTTTTTCAGTGTAATTCCTTAGCACCTACCTGCCAGGAGGAAGGTGAGATGGTTTTTATAACTGTGGAAAATCTGCATTCCCTTTCACATTTGGGGTCCCCAACACAATCTGTGAAGACTGGCGTGCCACAGTCCACAGCCACTCTTTTCAGCAAGGTTTGTGCTCTGAACTCTGCTGGTCAGTGTTACTTAGGAGCAGGAAGCCATCAAGAGGGTGAATTTTCTCTCAGCTTCTTCCTTTAACTTGCCAGTTTGTAAAATAATGAGAAGATTTAGAATACTTAGCTTTTCCCAATGCGTTTACGTAGCCCCCGTCACAGGTGACTGTCAAAGAAATTTACTGAGTTCCCTCAAATCTAGAAGTTTTTGTAGTTATAGTTAGGTTCTGTAAACTTACTGAATCTTCATTGACTTTGGTATTTTCTAACAGATGATGCAATGTATCTGAACACTAAGTTTGAATCCTTGAGGAAGAAACAGGCTAGAAGGGGCTTTTTAAAATGAAATATTGGCCAGGCATGGTGCCTCACACCTGTAATTCCAGAACTTTGGGAGGCCGAGGCAGGTGGATCACTTGAGGTAAGGAGTTCGAGACCAGCTTGGTCAACGTAGTGAAACCCCGTGCCTCCTAAAAATACAAAAATTAGCCGGCTGTGGTGATGGGCGCCTATAATCCCAGCTACTCAGGAGGCTGAGGCAGGAGAATTGCTTGAACCCGGGAGGCAGAGGTTGCAGTGAGCCGAGATTGCACCACTGCACTCCAGCCTGGGCGACAGAGTGAGACTCTGTCTCAAAAAAAAAAAAAAAGAAAGAAATATCAACTCGGCCTGAACATGCAGAAAGTATGATGCCCTAGAGATGCCCCAACTCCTGCTGATAAACATGGAGGTCAGGCAGGTCTGAGGGTTGAGCAACTGTGGAGTGATTCAGTTTTAACTACTGGCTGGGTGACTGTAGGAAAGCGACTTAACTTCTTGGTGTCTTTACATCCTACTCTGTAAAAGGAGGACAGTAGTAGAGCCTCTCCCATGAGACCACTGAGAGAGGTAAAGGAGTTAAAGGAGTTCGTGTCTGCATGCTGTAAGTGCTGTCTATAGCTTTAATAGAGACTATTAACACTTTCACGTTTCATGCATTCCTCAAGTATTTTTGTGCCAGGCACAATTCTAGAGGCTGGGGATCCAAAGATGAACAACATTGACTTGAAAGTGAACTATGTCCACTCAGAAAACATTATATTCCTGGAACTTGGAAAGTACAAATCTCAAAATTATGGACAAAAACCTGAGCAACTTTTGTATCCACTTGGACCTATGTTATGATGTGTTTCTTCATGTGAAGCCGAGAGGGGTCGGTAAGGATGCAAACATCAAGTTCAAATGAGGTATGCTCAGGAAGAATGCACCCCATAGTTCCCAGACTTCATTCAGCATGTTAAGGACCAGTATATTCCTAGACTTAACTAAAAATGATCATTCTCACCTGCTCTCACATCCTGGTTCTGCCCTTGCTAGCTGAGTTCTCATGACTTTCTCTCCACCACTGTGGCTTCCACAGAGACCAGCACTCAGTAAATATTTAGTGAACTGGTTATTGAGCAAAAAGAAGTGGTGGGTGATGTATATGGATAGAAAAGGGCAACTAATAAAGCAAGCATGGGAAAATGCTAATAGGTGGCTCTGGAAAGGGTAGCTGAGTACTTCTGAATTACTCTTGTAACTTTCTTATTAAGTTTAAAATTATTTCCAAGTGAAACGCTTTTAAAAAGAAGCTATTGTGGGTTGGGCGCAGTGGCTCATGTCTGTAATCCCAGCACTTTGGGAGGCTGAGATGGGCGGATCACCTGAGGTAAGGAGTTCGAGACCAGCCTGGCCAACATGGTGAAACCCCGTTTCTACTAAAAATACAAAAAATTAGCGGGCATAATGGTGGGCGCCTGTAATCCCAGCTACTTGGGAGGCTGAGGCAGGAGAATTGCTTGAGCCTGGGAGATGGAGGTTGCAGTGAGCCGAGATAGCACCATTGCACTCTAGCTTGGGCAACAAGAGTGAAACTCCGTCTCAAAAAAAAAAGAAGCTATTGTATTACTCAAGTAAAGAGATGACAAAATGATAGGGTCATAGTTGTGAGATATGATTTGTTTTAATGGTTCTTATTTTTTCTAAGCTTTTCTATGTTTCTAAGTATGTCTTGGAATTTTTCCCATGATGGACATCACAAGAAAAGCTAATTAAATTTAAAAGAACTAGATATGGCTTACAAATACTTAATATATTGGAAGTGGGAATAACTTAAAACCTAAAGAGAAATGTTGAAGCAGACAGCCTTCTGAAATGAATTCTCTCTGCTTTCATGGATTATACTAAGTCTTCCCGGGATGACTTCACAAGCAGGAATGTTTTTGTGGCTGCTGATTCATTCCTTCCTGGCAGACATAGCTCCAATGAAGTTGAAATATTATTGTTAATCCCTTTTATTTAGATGTGTGCTAGAATGGCACTCGAGGCACTAAGGATATAAACCAGGGCTTCTGTATGACTGTGAACACATAATTTATTTACTTGGGCCAAATTGTCTCCTAGCAGGGTTCAAGAAAGTTGAATTCTCAAGGACTAAAATACACTGTCGGCTGGCTTCTTTTTGAGGTTTCTATTTCAATTGGAGTCTTGCAAACTACAATTATTTCCCAAAAGAATATGTAAAATACTGCATTAGTTTGCTAGGGCTGCCATGACAAAGTGCCACAAACAGAAATTTATTCTCTTGTAGTCTGGAGGCCAGAAGTCCAAGGTCAGGGTGTCAGCAGGGCCACGCTCCCTCTGAAGGCCCTGGTGAAGGATCTGTTCCAGGCATCTCTCCAGCTTCCCTTAGCTCCTTGGCTTGTGGCAGTGTAGTTCTCTTTTTTACAGGGCATTCTCCCTGGGTGTCCAAATTTTCTCTTTTTATAACACAATCATATTGGATTAGGACCGACCCTAATTACCTTATCTTAGCTTGATCATCAGCAAAATAAGGTCACATCCACCAGTGCCTTTTTTGTTCTGGAGGAAGAACAATTCAACCCAAAACAAATACATTTAAGCAAATGTAAATATTTGAAGAAAGTATTATAGTTTTCCATTAATTCTAGCTTTTTGAAAAATTTAGTTTCACTAATCTGACAAAACTAAAACAAAATACTCAAAAAATTAGCAAACTCTTCTTTTTTACTCTGTGTAGATCTTAATTTATAAATGCTTTTATAAGAATGATGTTTGTATGTTAGTACATGTTGATTATCATTAAAATTATAAAACAAGTAGATTATCTGAGTATTTGACTGTGGAAAAGATCAAGTAATAACAAAAGATGATTTTTTTTGCTATTTTAAATAATACTTTTAAATAGAAATGCCATTGAGTCTTCCCTAAAATACCATATAGCTATCAATGTATACTCCCAATGGCTTTCTAAGTTACAGAACGCAGGAATGTAGGAGAGCCTCTGAGGTCAGGAGCTCCTGTTGCCTCCTCCTCAGGTAAGTGACTCATTCTCAAGGGATAAAATCACGTAAGAATCCCCAAAGACATACCTCATCCATGTCACCAGCACAACACCTTTAGTAAAGATCGAATCCATTTCCCCAGCGGTTTGGGAGTGAGTGTCTATCTTTGGTAAAATCTAGTACAGCAGTTCCCACTGGTTTTGCACTCTTAACTATGTCTTGAATAATTTATTACTCAACATATAGTTGAAAGGCTTGACAATTAATTGATTTTAAGTAGGACCAAGGAGAAGAAAAATTAGAGCAGATTCAAGGGTTTCCCTATTCAAAGCCATGTTCACTCAACCACTATCCCAGTAGACTTTTCTTGAGGGGAAGACAGAGGGTCCAAGTTACAGCTAGCACACATGGGTGTACCAATGTCATCATTCACTACACCAGTGTGGAGATTTATTCTATCTGATCTTCAGAATTCAAGTAAATATAGAATGAGGTTATACAAATCTCTGGGACTGTAGGGAGGAACTCTTTTCTCATGGTGACCTTCTTCCTGGCTTCTCTTGCTAGTTTATAATCAATTTAAGTATTACTGAAATACTAGCCCTTGTCCTTGAAAAAGTAGAGACCTTAGGAAAGTTTTCTGCTGCAGTTGTCCTGAGTTGAATAATTTTCCAGAGATTTGTGCTTGCCAGGGCCTCCTTGCAGTCTCTACTTTCATAAGTTACTGTGGTTTTTTTTTGACCAACATCCTTGTCCTGTTGCCAGGCAGGAGTAAGGAAATGTAATTATTAAAGTTTAGAAATATGCACTGACCTTTGAAGGACCTACAACACCCTGCACCCTGCAGAAGTTGAGCATCTTTTTTCAAAATCTGCAGGTGACATTATTTATAACTCTCATAGACAGCTGGTTTATTGGATGGTGGGTCAGAGTGGAGAGGGGAGGAACTGGATGCCTTGCACAGAAGGTGGTTATACTATACTATGCAGCCACAGCAATCAACACCATGTGGTCCTGACAGAGGGGAAGAGACAAAGATCCTTGGAACAGAATAGATCCCAGGAATAGAGATCCCAGAATGGACTCACACAAATATGCCAAACTCATCTTGACAAAGGTGCTGAAGCAATTCATTGAAGGAAGAATAGCATTTTTGACAATGTTACCGATGCAATTGAACATCCAAAAGCAAAAGAAAACAAAAAGAACTTGTACCTATACCTCATACCATATACAAAAATAATTCAAAATGGATCATGAACAATGTTTTATGCAAAACATGAAACTGTCAAATTTGCAGGAGAAAAAAACAGGAGAAAATCAGAAATTGGAACTTTAAAAATTGAAAATTTTTGTTCTGGCTTGGTGTGGTGGCTCACACCTGTAATCCCAGCACTTTGGGAGGCTGAGGCGGGCGGATCACTACGTCAGGAAATCGAGACCATCCTGGCTAACACAGTGAAACCCCGTCTCTACTAAAAATACAAAAAAATTAGCTGGGCATGGTGGCAGGCTCCTGTAGTCCCAGCTACTTGGGAGGCTGAGGCAGGAGAATGGCATGAACCCAGGAGGCGGAGCTTGCAGTGAGCCAAGATCACGCCACTGCACTCCAGCCTGGGCAACAGAGTGAGACTCTGTCTCAAAAAAAAAAAAAAAAACAAAACAAAACAAAAAAAAAAACCTTTTGTTCTGCAAATGACTTTATTGAGAGGATGGAAGGACAATCCACAGACTGGAGGGAAATATTTGCAGACCGCATGTTCAACAAAGAACTAGTATCTACAATATATAAAGAAGCCTCAGAATTCAACAGTAAAAATGTAAATAATCTAATTAGAAAATGGACCAAAATAATGAACAGACATTTCACTGAAGAAGATGTACAGATGGCAAACACATGAAAAGATGTGACTATCACTAGCCGTTAGGGAACTGGAAATTAAGACCATAATGATATATCACTACATACCTTAGAAAGACTAAAATAAAAAATAGTGACAACACCAAATGCTGGGAAGAATGCAAAGACCACATCACTCATACATTACTGATGGGAATGTAAAATGGTACAGCAACTATGGGAAATAGTTTGGCAGTTTCTTATAAAATGAAACATGAAAACTTATCGCCCAGAAATTATCTGGATCATAGATCCCAAAGAAGTGAAGACTTAGGTTTACATAAAAACCTGCACATGAATGTTCACAGCAGCTTTATTTGTGACACCTCTGAACTGGAAATAGCTTTCACTGAGTGAATGGTTAAACAAACTGTGGTCCCTTCATATCATGGAATGCTACTAAGCAATAAAGACAAAAAGACTATTGATCCACACAGCCACCTGGGTGAATCTCCAGAGAATTATGCTGAGTGAGTGCAAAAAGCCAAACTCAAAAGGTTACATACTATATGATTCTATTTATATAACTTTTTTTTTTTGAGGTGGAGTCTTCTGTCGCCGAGACTGGAGTGCAGTGGTACAATCTCGGCTCACTACAACCTCCACCTCCCGGGTTCACGTGATTCTCATGCTTCAGCCTCCCAAGTAGCTGGGCCTACAGGTGCACACCACCACGCCTGGCTAATTTTTGTATTTTTAGTAGAGACGGGTTTTCACCATGTTGGCCAGGCTGGTCTCAAACTCCTGACCTCAAGTCATCCACCCACCTCAGCCTCCTAAAATGCTGGGATTACAGGCATGAGCCACAGCGCCAGGCCAATATAACATTCTTAAAATGACAAGATTATAGACAAGGGAAGCAGTTCGTGGTTGCCAGGAGTCAGGGATGAAAAGACGGTGAGGAAGGAAGGAAGAAGGCTTAGGTGCATCTATAAAAGGACAGCAGAAGGGATCTTGGTGATGGAATGTTCTTTACGTTAATTGTATCAATGTCAATATCCTGGCTGGGATATTGTTTTGTAATTTTGCAAGATGTGACCATTGAGGAAAACCTGGTAAAAGGTACATAGGAGTGTTCTGTATTATGTCTTACAACTGTGTGTGAATCTACAGTTATCTCAAAGTAAAAAAAAAATAATTAAAAAATAACGAGGTTGTTATAGCATACAAAATTACAATAAGTTGAAAATGGTATTAACTTAAAAACCAGTGCAAATATTAATTATTTTTCCTAGCAAACAAGAGAATAGTCTAGTCACAAATGTGCATAACAAGTGCTCTTTCTGGGCACCTCCTTTCTCCCACCCAGCCCATGGTTTATCCTTTCCCCAAGTGTCTTTTATAGATGAAAGCTCCAAAGCATGAAGGCATCTGAGCTTCTGCAGTATTTGGACATCCCGAATTGCTCAGATTTCTACCTAATGAGATTTTGGCCTCATCTGTGGGCCCCGCACCATATGTTCGCACTTTCTGCTGGACCAAAACCCAAATAGGGGTGGAGGGAAGAGCCTGTGTCATCTTTTAGACTCTGTAAAGGTGGAGCCATTCTCAGACGCTAAAAAAATCTGAGTTATTTGGGACAAGAGTAATATGTTTGTATCAGTAACCAAATATCTCCGTAGAGAATATCAGCAAGAAGTGTGGGTGGAAGAGTAATTAGAGAATCTGACCAAGACACAGAGATACAGGAGCTGAGCCTGAGTTATGGCCTACTCCCACTGGTGGTATCATTGAGTTGGCTGACAACTTGCTCCTCAAAACACACCATGTTTCAGCATAATTTAACCACAAAAGTCTCACGAGCATTTTGAACAGCATCGTATCCCAGACAGAAATTGACAAAGGAAACTGAGTCTGCCAGTGGCTGCAAAAAGCTGTCCACACACACCACCTTGATAATTTGATCTCTGCTCTCAGGTGATGGGGCCTGCTTGATTAAAAACATGCAGCCATCTGACCTATTGGCAAGACATCTGCCATCAGCAGTGTCTGATTTCTTCCACTTTTGGATCCACATTTGCTGCTTAGCCTAAAAAATAAGTGGAAATGTCTGTGGCACTGGGCAGGGCACAGTGGTATGTTTTTGGCATTTTTCAGAGCAGATAAATTACTTGAGTGAAGGGTAGGAAAGAATATGTTTTCAAAGACTTGAGATTCTCTCCATAGGACAAGAACTTCTAGTTTAGTTACTAATATAACAACCTGTTAGCTGAATATCATTTTTTAAAAACGATATGATCGCCAGTGTCTGTTCTATGGGCACAATTCTTTCCAGAATAAAAAGTTCTGCCTTGCATTTGAAGTAAGTCCTGTTCAAGAACAGCACTGCCTTTGAGGTCAGTGGGAAGTCAGTGTCCAAGCCTGTTCCTCAGCATGCTGGGTCAGAGAAGACATTCATGTGCTAAAGGCCAGTCCTGAAATTCAAATTCTTATGAGACTAAGAAACTCATACAAAGATGAGGATGACTTTTAAAATCATAAGTCTCCTATATATCAGTAATACATAGTCTCATTTCAATTGCCCTTATCTCTATACTAGACTTAAGCACACTGGAAGTTGGTAAATCATAGGTCAAAGACCTTTACAGCAGATCAAATACAGGTGCATTATTGTTTGTAAGGGAAAATGTTTTCTTCATCTTCACCTGTTTGAGGGCTATAATACCTCCTTGATGAGCCACCAGGTCTGTATTATCTCCTCCATGTGACTCACTGGCGTTTCTTTATTCTAATCATGAGTGACTTCAACTGCTATTATTCTTTTGTTCTTTTGTTCCCTTCTGATGTTGAGCCATAACCTGCTCTGTAAACTCCACCAAATGGAAGGTCTTTGCCCCGGAGTCAAAATTAATCATTTAACCACTTCTCCACACGATAATCTCTCACACATGTGAGGAAGTGTTGTGTTCTTCCTCCTGCCTTGGCAGCCCTGGTGGTCTTCCTTCCCCAGCCTAAGCCCCATCAGCCCCCACCACCACCGTCCTCCCATGATGTGGCTTTGAGTCACCTCATCTGCTGGTTGGCTCCTTGTGATTCTCCTCTGGCCTTGTTTGTACTTCTTGTGTCTCCTCTTAATGATAAACAATAGTCCAGGAGTACCATGATTAGGAAAAATTTGTGCTATGCTAAATGTTGATGGCTACCAGCATCCATCTCTGTCTGTCCCTCACTGCCCAAGCTTTGTCCAGGCCCCAGCTACTGCCCAGGCACTGACGCCACCTCCCCTGCAGCTCCTCACAGCCCCTATAGAGAGCAATGTGTCCTGCTTCTGAACTTGCTCCTGAAGGCATCAGGCATGTGCCTTTTCATGCTCTTTTTTCTTTCCCAAGTGTGAGTGATACCTGGAGCAAGATTAGAAGCCTTGTGCTGAAGATGACAGAGCTGCCTTTCTAGGATGAGAACTGTGCCAACTTCCCCCTGCTTATGTGAAAAATAAACCTGGATCCTGTTTTGCTCTGAGGAATCTGGGGGCTCTTTGTTATAGCAGCAGCATGGCTTTTACCTAACTAATTTCTCACACTTCACACTTGCCTTAGAAACTATACTTACACTAATGCAGCCCCCAATTATATTATTATTTATAACCTTTGACAATAGTTTTGACTGTAAATGATGTAAAACATGACCCTAATTGACTGAAACTGCAAGGAAATGTGTTATCTACAAAACCAGAAGTTGAGAGGTAGGGCAGATGCCATCTCTGCATTCTGCTGTGTGCTGGCTTTGCCTCAGGATGGAGGACACCCTGCTTGGTTGCAGGATATCTGCTACAGGTCCAGGGATCACATCCAAAGATGAAATGTCCATGGAAGGAGGAGACCATCTCCTTCGGTCTTATCATTAGATATGAGGAAACTTTTTCAGGAAGTCCCCAAGAATATTTTCCCTCAAACTCATTCCTAAATTGATCATGGTGAAATGGAATTATCATGATTAATTTAGACTAATCATTTGGGATAGTCAGAATTTAAGTGTCAGCCGGGTGTGGTGGCTCGCGCCTGTAATCCCAGCACTTTGGGAGTCTGAAGTGGACGGATCACTTGAGGCTGGGATTTCCAGGCCGGCCTGGCCAACATGGCAAAACCCCATCTCTACTAAAAATACAAAAATTAGTTGAATGTGGTGGCGCATGCTTGTAATCCCAGCTACTCAGGAAGCTGAGGCGGGAGAATTGATTGAACCTGGGAGGCGGATGTTGCAGTGACCCAAGATTGCACCACTACACTCCAGCCTGTGTGACAGAGCAAGACTCCTTCTCAAAAAAAATAAATAAATAAATAAAAATAAAAAAGAATTTAAGTGTCAACCAGTAGGATCTTTGGAGGTCTCAACACCTCCCTACCCATCCTTAAATTTTATTGCGGAGCAATGTCTTTGCTCCTGTACCTTTCTCTCCATAATGGTGCTATTTATTGCGTGGTCATAAATACAGTTCATTATTATTCCTGTTAGACTTCCTATGTTTATCACAGCATTCCAGGTTGAATTGGATTCTGGTAACACTTATGTTCAACCTACCTCCCAGCTTCAAAACTGAATCCTATAATATTTACCAAATACCTACTACATTCTCAGCACTGGGGTATGAAGAAAAAAATTCCTCAGCCATCTCACAATCCAGTAAAAGCAAATGAGCAAACAGGTGTGGAGATGCGCTAGGCTTGGGGCCATGCTGAGTCAGCTGCTGGAGCAAATCAGGGTGCATCAGAGCTGGAGCTGAGAGACCTGGAGGAGAATTCCTCAAGGGAGAAGCAGCCAGTGACAATGGGGGACCCTGGGTTTTGTTTTTTTGTTACTGTTCTTGTAATGTCTTTATCTCATATTAGTATCAGGATAACGCTGTCCTCCTAGAATAAATTTGGAAATATTCTCTCTGCTTCAGTTTTCCGGATGGGTTTGACTAGAATTGGAACTATTTCTTTCTTAAATGTTTGATAGAATTCACCAGAGATGCCATCTAGAATTGAAGTTTTTTATTAGAAACTTTTTAACTATGAATTCAATTTTTAAAGAAGTATAGGACTATACAGCTTATCTATTTCTTTTTGAGATAACTTTGGTAATGTGTATCATTAAGGAATTTTTCTATTTCATCTCAGCTGTGAAATGTATAGGAATAAGTTGTTCATAATATTTCCATTTTATCCTTTATCTGTAAAAAGTGTAGTGTTGTCACCTCTCTCATTCCTGATATTGGCAATTTGTGTCTTTGTTGTTGTTGTTATTCAAAGACAACATATTTGTGTCTTTGATATGTTGTTATCATCCTGGCTAGAGGCTTGTCAATTTAATTGATCTTCTCAAGGAACTAGCTTTTGGTTTCATTCGTTTTCTCTATTTTTTTTTTTTTTCTGTTATCTACAGCACTGGTTTCTGCTTTGATCTTTAGTATTTATTTATTATTTACTTTTTTCTGTTTACTTTGAGTTTAAGTTGTTTTTCTTTTTATAGTCTTTCACATAAGAGCTAAGGTCATTTAAGACCTTTCTTCTTTTAATATAGGCATTTAGTGCTACAGATTTCTCTCGGAGTATTGCGTTAGCATTCATCCCTGAATGAAAATGATATGTTTTCATTTTTATTGAGATAAAAATACTTTCTAATTTCCCTTTTGATTTATTCTTTGATTCATGGGTGATTTGGAAGTATATTATTTAGTTTGTATGTATTTTGAGATTTTCCTGATGTCCTTATGTAGCTGATTTCTAATTTTATTCTGCTGTGGTCAGAGAACATCCTGTGTCTTGAATCGTTTGAATGTTATTGAAGCTTGTTTTAATGGCCCAAAATATGATCTAACTTGGCAGATGTTTCATTTGAACTTTAAAATATTTGTATTCTGCTGTTGTTGAGCAAAGTGTTCTGTAAATGTCACCTTGGTCAAGTTAGCTGATGGTGGTGTTCAGGTCTGATCAGCACTTGCTGCCTTTCTGCCTATTTGTTCTGTCAATCACTGAGAGAGGGGTGTTGTTTCAGTATGTTTTTCATTTTTTCTTTTTAGCCAGCAGACATCAAGGACTTCTGAGGAGCCTGGTACCTTGCATAGGCACTATGGACCCTGTTTTGCTTAACCCACCCAACAGCCAATTTTAGCAGACATCCTAGTTTTGCAGGTGAGAAGAGCTGAGGTACGAAGAAGTTTTGTTAATTTTTCCAGTTCACGTAACAAGTAAATGGGAAACCAGGATGAAAATCAAGGTTTATCTGTCATCAGACTGTTACTCATAATCACCATTCGGAGAGTTCAGATGTGGGACAAGATTCTAACTCCAGCCTTCTCCCAAATGGTTAATTTGCCAGTTGCCCTAGAGTTACATATTGTCTTATTTGTTTGTTTTACTGAATCTGTCTGAGTATTAAAAGCCTTGTATCTTGTGAAATTTCTTTCAGGTCTCATAAAAGCGATGAAAGAGACCAGGATAACATTCTAATATTTAAATAAGATTTTTGAAGTAAAATCCTTATTTTGTAAATTTAACAATTGAATCTTGCTAGATTAATAACGCATCTTTCCTGATTTACTAATTCAATATAAAATGGTTATTCAAACTGAACTTCGAAGTTATCTGGGCGGCTGTTTTGGAATCCATTTAAAAACCTACGTGCTCAGATCAGAATTTGCTAAGGAGATTATTAAGTTTGGAGTGCATGCTATATTTTTGGATTCTAAATAGTTTCAATATGCCTGGTTTGGCATGCATATCAGTGACAGTGGGTAGAAGTGGATGGATGGGATGGAGGTGCCTCCAGTGTCATGGAAACACACCGTGCTGTGGCCTCCCCGAAGGCCTGGGGCTGCACACTGGGAAAGGACAGGGGTAGGGGGTCTGGCAAGCAGACCTGGGAAAGATTTTTAGTGTAATCATTCGTTATGTAGAAACTGAGCAAGGGGCATGGCCATCTTAATCCACAATTAACTCATGGGCAAAATGGGAGTATAATGGAACCTGCCTCAAAGAGTTTGTGTAAAGCATGTAGCACAGTGCCTGATGACATATGGCATCTCTGTGTCATTGATTTGACCGAAGCTAATACGAATTCTCTGTGTGCGTTTATGTATTTGAGAATGTACAGGTCTCCTCAGGGAGTAGATTGTATGATTGGCAGGCTTTGCCTCATTTCCACATTGATGGACAGTGAGAGCGCATCCAGACTGGAGACCTCTGCATGAGCCAGGGCTGCCAGGTGGTTGGGTGGTTTGGAGAAGACTCTTCCCTTCCCCAGTGAAGTAATAAGGCATCACAACATACATCTTCATCCAGTTGTATCTTGTTTCATTCCATCAGCTATGCTTTGACAGACTCTTTTCATGGATTTTTTCATTCCAAATACTTTCATGGAGCACTCACCATGTTCAAGAGCTTTGAAAAATACAAAGAAAGCAAGACCCATGCCCCTTTTACAGGCAGCTGTTTTAGGAGGGGAAGCAGTAAGTCCAGCAGTGAGTTCTGTATAGGGAGGTAGAACGAATCCCAACAGAGGTGACACTGGCGGGCTGCTGCCTTTCCCATAGCACACAGAACGCAGGTTAGCAGGGTTAAGCATGCCCGAGGAGCTTCAAGAGTGGCTCTTCTCACATGCTCTGGGTGGTCTGGATGAGGAGGTGATGTATCATGGAGATCAGACAGTCTTAAAATGAGGCTGCGTTACAGAATGAGCCACTGTGAAAACCTTTGGGATAACTTTCACTTCTGCATACCTTAGGCCCACAATGGTGATGGTAATGAACATGGTGACAGCATCACATATAGGAGGTTACCTGAGCAAGGCACCCTGCTAGACTGCAGTATCAAGTTACCACAAACTTAGTGTTTAAAACACTAATGTGTCATCTTACAGTTCTGGAGGCCAGAAGTCTGAAGGAGTCTCACTGAACAAAAATCAAGCTGCCATGAGGGCAATGTTCCTTCTGAAAGCTCTAGGGCAGAGTCCATTTCTTTGCATTTTCTGGCCTCCAGAGGCCACCTGCAATTCTTGGCTCATGGCCCCTTCCTCCATCTTCAAGGCCAGCAGTGGTAGGTTGAGTCCTTCTCACATCCCATCACTCTGACACCAACTCTTGCCTCCTGCCTCCACTAATAAGGACCCTTGTGTTTACATTGGGCCTGCTGGATAATCTAGGATAATCTCTCATCTTAAGGTGGCTGACGAACAGCCTTAATTCCATCTGCAGCCTTATCCCCTTTGTTATGTAGGAAACGTAAGTACCAAGGGTCAGGCTGTGGAGGTCTGGGAGGAGCGATTGACCTGCCTCCCACAGAAGCCTCCCTCTTTTACAAGAGCTCTTCGGGGCACAGCTTTTACTAACCCCACTTCACAGGAAACAGAGGCTAGAGAGGGCAAGTGGCTGCTGTGGAAAGGGAAATGCCGTTATGTGCCAGTGCATCTTCTAAGGGCTACTGCTTCAGCTCATTCACTCTTCACCACTCTGTTATTATCATCCATTTCACAGATGAGTAAACTGAGGTCCAAGGGTGGTTAAGCACCTTGCCCAAGGTCACACAGGGAGTAAGTCACTGGCTAACTCTCCAACGCACAGTCCATGTGTGTCCTTACTGAGGCAAGTGGACCTGGGAGAAGGTTCTGTAGGGGAACATTATTAGGGAACCAACCCAAGGGGGAAGGCGTGAAAGGAACTGTCACACCAAATCTGGAGAAATGAGGATGTTATTGTATCAATTGCTGCATTTGCCCCCATTGGTCACGTTGATTTCTAGCAATGTTTGGGAATGACTGGTCACCCTGGCCATTTTAGAACTTCGGAATGTCACACATTTTTAGCAAGTAAAGTTGCATAGAGGTGGTAGAGGGGCTGAATGCATGTTTTTATACAGTTTGGGGCTCACATTGGGCTCAGAGAAACTAAGCTAATATGCAACTTCACAAAATAAACACAATTAACATTTTCCCATAGGCGTGAGAGGAGTTCATGAGATTGTTTGTATTAAAGTGATTTGTTAACTGTGAAATTCTGCACCGACAACCACTTTGTTTTTTCACCACACATCCAGGTCCTAGCAGCTCCTTGCTATAAGAGCCTGCTTAGAGGGGAGTGGCCTGGCCTCGAACCAGTGACAGCTAAATTCCTTCTGAAATCTATCCATTCCGTGCCTGCTCTGAACGTGCTTCTCCCATGGGCATTTCTCCACTTCTTTGATAAACTATTATTTCCTCAAAACAGTCTTTCATTCCATCCCATTGTGTAAAATATGTAATTAAATTCTATTCTTGCTGACCTTAGCTGTGTGACCCACCAGGGCACAGCCAGCTGATGCCACTGGGCTCCCTTCATCCAGTTTTAACCTGCGCCCTGAGAGTTTTCATCCTTTAGACCTGGGATCCTGTTTCCACACCACAGGGAGAAGAATGAGAAAAGCAGGGACATTTTCTAGGAATCTGGTTGTATAGTCACATATGAGACAAGTGGAAAAATTGCTTAAGGCTTTATTTTTGTTTTTATAAAAATACTTTCATTGTGAATAGGAGTGAGTTCTGTTTTTCTATTTCCCTTTCTACCTGGCCTCTCTCCATTGAAAACCTAAATCAAGACAGTGTATAAAGAAGGATGTCCAGACTACACAGTAGTTAATAAAAAGTCATGGAAAGAAAAACAAATGACCCCAGGAGGAAAATTAATCACTGAAGTTAAGCTGCTGATGGCCAAGATGAAGAAAAGACTGCGGCAGACACAGCCCTTGCTGTTAGAGAGCTCTCTAGTGGAAAACACACACTGGCTGCCATCACACCATTGGGCATGCACCCCTAGGCGCCGCCCAGGCTGCTTGGAACACTGCAGTGAATGAACAAATGTGGATTTCGGAGCTCACAGTCCAGCATTAATTTTGAAAAGGAGTTTCTCACATGACACCTTGTAGAAAGAACTCTGAACAAAATTTCAGGAAACTGATGTTATCTGGAAGTCATTCTCTTACCACAATGTGACCAATTAGATATACAAAAGGTAAAAAGATAATTTGAAAACAGTCATGTCACTGAAAATTTAAAATAACTCTGAAAAAACTCATGAATTACAGAGAAAAATCACAATGCAAACTAAAGTATATGATGCATCTCAATCAGTATTTAGAAGGAAAATTATATTTTAAATATGTTTATTTAAAACCAGGAAAGTTTAAAAATAAATAACTTAAAATGCAACTCAAGAACTTAGAGGAAGATAAATCAAACAAACATAAAGAACATAGAAATATGGCCAGCATGGCGCTCAGGCTTGTAATCCCAGCACTTTGGGAGGCTGAGGTGGGTGGATCACCTGAGGTCAGGGGTTCGAGACCAGCCTGGCCAACATGGTGAAACCCTGTCTCTACTAAAAATACAAAAATTAACTGGTGTAGTGGTGCATGCCTGTAGTCCCAGCTACTCAGGAGGCTGAGGCAGGAGAATCACTTGAACCTGGGCAGTGAAGGCTGCAATGAGCCGAGATCACGCCACTGCACTCTAGCCTGGGCAACAGAGCGAGACTCGATCTCAAACAACAAAACGCCATAGAAATATAAAACTTAAACATATAAGCACAAAAATGAAAAACAATGAAACAGTAGAGAAACTCAACAAAGTCAAAAGATGATTTTTTGAAAGAATGCTAAAGCAGATAGATTTCTAGCAGAGTTGATTTAGAAATAATGAGAAAAATAACAAAAAAAGCATAAAACAGCAAATTCAGACATCATAAAGATTAAAAAATTAGTAAGATAATCCTATGAACAACTTTATTTCAATACATTTGAAAACCTAAATGACATTTTCTAGAAAATATAAACAATTTGAGAAGGAAAATAGGAAATGTAAACCATAGACATTAAATATATAGAATTAGAAATCTAATGGTACTCAAAATTCCTAGAGCATTTTTACAAGCAAATTTTACCAGACATTCAAAAAACAGATCTCTTTATCTCGTACAAATTCTCCCAGAGAATTAAAAAAAGAGGTAAACTTTAGCAACTTGTTCTATGAAACTAGTATAATCTGGTTTTTTTAAAAACTTAAGAACATCATACAAAAATGAAAATGATAGACCCCTCTTACTAATAAACATAATCTCAAATATCTTAAAATACAAATCAAATTCAGCAGTGTATAAAACTAACATGTGATGACAAGTGGGGTTTTATCCTGAAGATGGAAATATGGCTTAACGTCAGAAAATATGTTAATGTAATCCACCACATTAAAGATTAAAGGAAGAAAAGTACTTGGCCGGGCGCAATGGGTTACGCCTGTAGTTCCAGCACTTTGGGAGGCTGAGGCGGGTGGATCACCTGAGGTCTGGAGTTTGAGACCAGTTTGGCCAACATGGTGAAACTCCATCTCTACTAAAAATACAAATATTAGCTGGGCTTGGTGGCCCACAACTGTAGTCTCAGCTACTTGGGAGGCTGAGGCAGGAGGATTGCTTGAACCCAGGAGGTGGAGGTTGCAGTGAGCCAAGATTGCACCACTGCACTCCAGCCTGGGAGACAGAGCGAGACTCCATCTCAATAAATAAATAAATAAGTACTTCATAAAATTCAACATTATTTCATAATAAAACCTGTGCAAGGAAACCAAGGTGGCTATCCTCCAAAATCATTAGCAGACATCATACTGAATGGTACAATCTTGGAAGCATTCCTAGGAAAACAGAGGACAGGACATGGATGTCTGCTATTTCCGCATGTATCCTGTAGGTTGAAAACCAATGTAATAAAAAAAAATGCAATCAACCAGTAAGATAAAGCCAATGGAATAAGGTGCAGAAAGGATAAGAAGAGAAGACGAAGAAACCAAACAAACAGTCCTCAGTTGCAGACGACATACTTGCCTACCTTCCTCCCCAAATCAAGACAGTCAACTAAGAAAGCATCTTAGAAGATCGACATAAAAAATGAGTACTATTCCTATACACCAACAATTAGAAAATGCAAAAGGAAAAGATCTTATTCACTGTGGGGGAACAACAACAAAAAGAAAATTATGAGTGTACCTAGTAAATCTAGGAAAACATGTACATATCTTTCATTTAAAAAAAAAACCCAATGTTTACTGAAAAACTTTAAACCTGAATAGAAAGACGTCCCATATTTATGGATGGTGTTCATGTCAAATGAATGTATAAATTCAATGCATTTCCAATCAAAATTCCAATGCAGGTCTATGTGAAACTTGGTACATTGATCATAAAATTCAAATGGGAAAAGAAAGGGCCAAGAATAGCTAAGATAATTTTTATAATGATAGCAAAATGGAAAGACTTAGATCTCAACTCAGTGCAACTATTACCAAAAAAGATTTTATCCTTCCCAATGGAAAATTTTGCTTTTTCATTCATTCATTCATTCATTCATCCATTTATTTGTCATGTTTTAAAACTCTACTGTGTCCCAGGCTCTATTCTTGGCTTTGAGAATAGATCAAACAACAAAACCAACAAAATGCCTACCCTCAGGGTGCTTACATTCTAGCACATGGGTCAAGTAATAAAAAGAACACGCTACAATCGTGGACAGTGGTGAATGTTATGAAGAAAAATTAAGTGAATTAGGGAGGGCTCTATTTTAAATAGGGCTCTGTTCTTCTTTAAAGGGAAGGCCCCTCTTGATAATGTGATGTTTGAACAGAAACCTTGAATGAGGTTCAAGCAAGCTGTACAGCTCTCTGGGGGAAGAGAAATAGCAGGAAGAAGAAACAGCAAATGCAAAGGCCTGAACTGGGAACACAGTCATTGTGCGAGGAATCACAAGTGTTTCTGGAACACAGCAAGAGAGAGAGAAAGCGCAGTAGAAAATGAGGTGCAAACTGCAACCAGCAACCAGGATATAGGAGGTCTTATAGACACAGTAAGACTGCAAATGTTATTCTGAATGTGAGCAGGGAAGAGCACGATCAAATGTATTTTTAAAGACATAACTTGGCCTGGCGAGGTGGCTCACGCTTGTAATCCCAGTACTTTGGGAGGCCTAGGCGGGTGGATCACCTGAGGTCAGAAGTTCGAAACCAGCCTGACCAAGATGAAGAAATCCTGTCTTTAC
This sequence comes from Homo sapiens, assembly GCF_000001405.40. Taxonomy (NCBI): domain Eukaryota; kingdom Metazoa; phylum Chordata; class Mammalia; order Primates; family Hominidae; genus Homo; species Homo sapiens. Next base: position 47,768,136 of record NC_000007.14, on the reverse strand, counting down.
TAAAACTACAAAAATTAGCCGGTCGTGGTAGTGCATGCCTGTAATCCCAGCTACTCGGGAGGCTGAGGCAGGAGAATCACTTGAACCCAGGAGGTGGAGGTTGCAGTAAGATGAGATTGTGCCATTGCACACCAGCGTGGACAACAAAAGTGAAACTCCTTCTCAAAAAAAAGAGAAAAGAAAAAAGACATAACTCTGTTGCTGTGTAGACAAAAAACTGTAGGGGAGCAAGAGATGAAGGGGTAAACTAATTAGGAGGCCATAGAGTAGTCCAGGCAAAAGGTGGCAGTGGTTTGGCCCTGAGTGGCAGTGTTGGAGGGGATGATGAATGGGCTGGCTTCAGAAAGTCTGTTTTAAGGTAGAGCTGTCAGGATTTGCTAATGGACTGGATGTCAGGCACAAGAGAGTCTGGATAGCCCCAAGGTTTTCAGCCTGAGCAACTGGCAAGGTGATATATGATACGACGGAATGAATATTTTACATGTCCGCAGGGAAGGAAGGAGCATCCACCGAAAGTTGATGAGACAACTGGTTGTCCACATGTAAAAATAAATTAGATTCATACCTCACCCTGCATAAGAGGTTAAGTTCCCCATGTATTGATGACCTAAATGAAAAATGCAAAACTTTCATATTTTTTTCTTTTTCTTTTTTGTCTTTCTTTTCTTTTTTTTTTTTTTTTTTTTTTTTTGAGACGGAGTTTTACTCTTGTTGCCTAGACTGGAGTGCAGTGGCACTATCTTGGCTCACTGCAACCAGCACTTCCTGGGTTCGAGCAATTCTGCCTCAGCCTCCGGAGTAGTTGGGATTACAGATGCCCGCCACCATGCCCACTAATTTTGTATTTTTAGTAGAGACGGGGTTTCACCATATTGGTCAGGCTGGCCTCAAACTCCTGACCTCAGGTGATCCACCTGCTTCGGCCTCCCACAGTGCTGGGATTACAGGAGTGAGCCACCGCACCTGGCGTAAGTTTTATATTTTAAAAAGAAAAATAAGGCACTTTGGGAGGCTGAGGCAGGTAGATCATGAGGTCAGGAGATTGAGACCACCCTGGCCAACATGGTGAAACCCCATCTCTACTAAAAATACAAAATTAGCCAGGTAGGGTGTCGTGTGCCTGTGGTCCCAGCTACTCAGGAGGCTGAGGCAGGAGAGTCACTTCAACCTGGGAGGCAGAGGCTGCAGTGAGCCGAGATCACGCCACTGCACTCCAGCCTGGGCAACAGAGCGAGACTCTGTCTCAAAATAAATAAATAAATAAATAAATAAATAAATAAATAAATAAATAAAGAATAATAATTATGGCCTTATTTATAAGTAGGACAGGGTTTCTTAAACAAGATGCAAAAGCAAAATCAAAATAATTAAAAATAAATAAACTTTATTATTTAAAGCTTATAAAATGTTCTCTGAAACAAAAACCCAAAAACAAATTGAGAAGACAAGCCACACAGTGAAAGGAGATATTATTAATGCATATAAATGACAAAGAATTAGTACACAGGATATACCAAAAACACCAAAAAAATCAATTTGAAAAGGACACACCTACAAGAAAAGGCAAAATATATGAAAAGGCCAAGGACCGAAGAGGAAATTGAACGATCAGTCCAACAAATGACAATTGCTCAAACTCATCAGTAATCAAGGACACACATAATGAATAGCCTGCATCATCGTTTGATACTTATCAGCTTAGCACAAATGAAAGTGTCTGACAACGCAAGAGTTAGTCAGGAAAAGAAGACGCAAGAAAATTCCTATATGCGACTGGGAATTGTCAGTTCCTGAAATCACTGAGGGAAATAATTTGGCAAGAAGCAAATCTGCTTCGTGGATGTACGGTGCAAGGAGACAAATTGCAGTGTTGTTTATACATGTGTAAGAGCTAACACTTGGAAACTTTTGGAAGAAACAGTCCTCCACAGGCTTCCTGTTCTCCTACAGGTCTTACTGGGTGCACCAAGACTATAAAGCCTTGACTCTTCTTTACTGGATCCATTTTTCGGGGTCGTAGTTGCAGGGAGGAACCTCAAAGGAGAGGGCTTGCCTGCTGCCTGCTATAGGTCCACATGGTGCCCAGCTCAGTGGTCCTCTACTGTGACTTGACCCAATGCATGTGCGGGAGTCATAGGGTCTCTGCATCACCCCGTGGGCATCAGGGCTTGAGGCACCAGTGCAAATACACTGACACTGGCCATTGCTTTAGCTGTGACAAATAAATGAAGTCTTCTGTCTCTGATTCAGAAATCTTAAGTCTTCTGCCAGCATCCATGAAACTGGGGCAGCAGCCTCACTTGTGAATCTGTAAGTAGTGAGTGAAATGTCAGCCTCTTCACAGTTCTTGACAGAAGCCACCCAAATATCCATTATCATCATCATGATTAAATTGTATGATTCATGTGAAATGGAGACAGAGCAGGGATCCCTTTGAGGGGCCTGCCACTCTTCCCAACCAAGCATGGAAATAAAGAAAAATCTTGAGTTCCTTTGAGGGAAATTCCGGGCACCTAGCTAGCCCTGAGGAGTAAGTGAGCAACCTGATAAGCAAGGAGGTAACAATAGCTGAAGACAATAGCCGAGGAAGTTAGAGCCACCAAATGTTTGGTTCCCCATAGAAACTAAAGACAACATCTTAATATATATCCCTGAGTTGTTTTCAAAAAACCTGGACTCCCACCAAATGGAAAATGACATCTGCTGGCACATAGACCTTAGATAACAGAGGAACTGGGGACTGAACTCTGACTGCCATTTTTTGTTCTGAATTTCTTCCTGAGTGGCCTGGAGGAAGTCATGCCTACAGGTCGGAGCTCAGCATTCCTTTCTGTGGACCCCTAGGCTTTAGACAAAGTTTCACTCCCTTAACCAATTCGCAAATCAGAAAATCTTTGAATCTACCCATGACCTGTGCCTCGCCCCACACTTCAAGATATCCCACCTTTTTTGGCCAAACCAATGTAAGACCTCCATGTATTGATTTATGACTTTGCATGTAACTTCTGCCTTCCCACCTTTAAAAACCCTTACACTCAAGCCATTCGGGAGTTTAGGTCCTAGGCGAGAGCTATCCGGTTCTCCTTGCTTGGTGCCCTGTTATAAATGCCTCACTTTTTTCACTGCAAATCCCACTGTCAGTGTTTGGCTTTGCTGTGCCAGGATGGGTGGACCCAAGTTCGGTTTGGTAACAATAAAATGCAATACACTAGTTAAATGGATGTAGCTACATCTGTTGGCATTATCAAATTGCAAAAACATAATGTTCAGTGAAAAAAGCTTGTTAGAGACTGATGTAATCAACAAAAGTTCAATACTTTGCTATATATAGTTTATGGAGCCATTCATCTGTAGCATTAATGTAGCGTCATTCTGGGGATGAAAAACATCAGTTTAAGGACAGGGTGGGAAGCATGGAGAGGCTTCCATGATCCTTGTGTGTGTTGTTTCTTAAGGAAAAAGAGCTGATGAAAATCTGCCAAAATGTTACAGTTTTGTGTGTGAGAATATAGGCGTTCATTATGTTGTTTTTATGCTTTTCTGGATATTTGCAGTCAACCATAATTTCAGAATATCAGTGATGGTGGCGCTTCCCATTTTGTACCATCAATCTGTCTAAGATTCACAGAATTACCTCACATTTCCCTTTAAATATGAATCTTCGTTCTCACAGTTGGAGGCTTAATGTTTCCAAAGGTATAAATGTGGTTTTTTGTTTTTGTTTTTTTGAGACGGAGTCTCGCTCTGTCACCAGGCTAAAATGCAGTGGCGCGATCTCAACTGACTGACTCTGAACTCGGGGTTCAAGAGATTCTCCTGCCTCAGCCTCCCAAGTAGCTGGGACTACAGTCATGCGCCACCATGCCCAGCTAATTTTTTTATTTTTAGTAGAGACGGGGTTTCGCCATGTTGGCCAGGATGGTCTAGATCTCTTGACCTCATGATCCTCCTGCCTCAGCCTCCCAAAGTGCTGGGATTACAGGCGTGAGCCACCATGCCCGGACAAATATGTGTTTTTGTAGGTGGAAACTTCTCTCAAATTAAAACATCCTCTATACCAGAAACCTGGGGAAAAAACATCATTAGTTGGCCTGACAGGAAATCAGGCAGTTTTGTTTTTTTTAAACAAAAAAAAAAAACATTAAAGTCCTAATGTGGAGGCAGAGAAAAACCCATGCTGCTCACTGTCTGTGGCCTGATGCCTCCATCTCTTTCTGCGGGACCTTTGTCCCAGGTCTCCCTCTCCTGACCTAGATGAATGAATGAAATGAACTAATGTGTACACAGACTCTGTGTACATATGGCTTTGATTTGGGAGAAAAGATGAATCACTCTGAGCTGGTAATCTGATCTTTGCCCTTCTGCTAGTAAACAGTTGAAAGATAACTCAATACATTCTCCGTCTGCCTTTTAAAACCAGAATAGCAAATAAAGGCCCTAGAGGGGCCTGGTTTGGATGGGGGAAGCCATTTATCACCTTCAGGGAAAAGAGAATGTAAATAGGTCCACATTTATTCTCCGGTCCTCCCGTGGCCACGACAGCCTTAGAAATACTCACCTTGTTTCAGTTAGCAGGCCAAGGGTCAGCGGTCAACAGAGCTGCTCCAGCAAGCTCTGTGTGGTGCCTCAAACAGGCCACACAAAGAGATGCTGTTTAAAATCGGAATTCCTTTCACCCTGAGTAAGTTTCCAAAGCAAAGGGGTCACCCGGTGAGTGTTGGTGCAGTCCTCACTGTTTGTCCTGCCTCTTGCTACAGAGGACATCTGGCAAAAGCAGATCAGAAAATGAAAGAAGTCTGTCCCAGTTCTGCCCTCCCCAGGTGGTAGAATTTCTCATGCGATTGTTGCTTGGGGTGTGTCACTCTGTACTTGAGTAGGTGGAGGGTGAACAGACTGATCAGCTGGCTATGAGATGAGAGCAGGATGATGATCATTCACTGGGATGTGTCTGGCCAACTGGGAAGAGTCAGGTAGCTCAAGGCCTGGAGATTCTCATCAGGGAGAGCACAATGGGGCCAGGCCTATAGCTGAGGTCCAGGCACAGAGGCTGGGCTATGAGAACCAGTGTCCTCAGTGACTGCGACAATGACATGTCCTCTGTCACCACCTGCTACCGTGAGGCCCCAGCCCCGGCTGACCTGTAGACTCAGATCTGGGCCTGAGAGGGAGGCTTGACTTCAGCCCCTCTCATGAACAGAATCCACAGCACCAGGGCTGAGAGTGGTGGCAGGGCCCAGGAACAGTGATATCCAGTAGAATAAGTGTGACCCACCCCAGCCCCCCACAAACCAGAGGGAGTGCTGAGCACCTCCGCCCAGCCTCAGGCAGCTGACTTCACTAAAGGAGGCCAAAAGGAAAGAAAAATGTGACAAGTGTGTTTTGATGGCTGATGCGCAGGCTCCCAGAGAACCTTCAGAAATCAGGTGGGAGTTGGAAAGATTTTTGAATTGTCCTCCTGCAATAGCATGTTGAAGAAAAACTAGCTAAATATACTTTATGTGTAATTCCATGTCCATATGCATGATTTCTTAGGTGGCAACCAAAGGCAAGGAGTTCCTGTGCAAATGGTATTGCCAATATTAAGGTTCTCAATACAGTATATATTTTGTTGTATTCATTTGCTAGGGCTGCCAGAACAAAGTTCCACAAATTGGTTGCCTTAAACAACAAAAATGCATTGTCTCACAATTTCTGGAGGACAGAAGTCTAAGATCAAGGTGTTGGCAGTGTTGTTCCTTCTAAAGGCTGAAGGAGAATCTGTTGCAGGCCTCTCTCCTTGGCTTGAGGACAACCATCTTCTCTCTGTGTCTCTTCCCATCATCTTCCCTCCAGGCATGTCTGGGTCCAAATTTCCCCTTTTTATTATTTTTTATGTATTTATTAATTTTTTTTTTGAGATGGAGTTTCACTCTTGTTGCCCAGCCTGGAGTGCAATGGCGCAATCTCGGCTCACTGCAACCTCTGCCTCCCGGGTTCAAGCGATTCTGCTGCCTTAGCCTCCCAAGTAGCTGGGATTACAGGTGCCTGCCACCATGCCCAGCTATTTTTTTTTCTTGTATTTTTAGTAGAGATAGGGTTTCTCCATGTTGGCCAGACTGGTCTTGAACTCCTGACCTCAGGTGATCCACCCACCTCGGCCTCCCAAAGTGCTGGGATTACAGGCATGAGCCACCATGCCCAGCCAAATCTCCTCTTCTTTATAAGGACACCGGTCATATTGGATGAGTCATATTGGATTACATGCCCACTCTACTCTAGTATAACCTCATTTTAATTTGATCACATTTTCAAAAACCCTGTTTCCAAATGCAGTTGCATTCTGAGGTACTAGGGGTTAGGACTTGGACATAGACATTTTGGGGGACACAATTCAACCCTTATTTGCCAAATCACTTTTTAGAATGATTAAGGCAATTAATGATCTTCTTAAAGTGAAGAAACAACCCACAGAATGGGAGAAAATATTTGCAAACTACCCATCTGACAAGGAATTAATAACCAGAATATATAAGGAGCTCAAACAACTCAACAGGAAAACATCTAGTAATCCAATCAGAAATCAAAATCTAGTAATCCAAATAAAAAATCAGAAATGAATAGATATTTCTCAAAAGAAGACTTACAAATGGCAAACAGGCATATGAAAAGGTGGTCATCGTCACTGATCATCAGAGAAATGCAAATCAAAACTACAATGAGATATCTCACCCCAGTTAAAATGGCTTTTATCCAAAAGACAGGCAATAACAAATGCTGGTGAGGATGTGGAGAAAAGGGAACACTAGTATATTGTTAGTGGGAATGTAAATTAGTACAACCACTATGGAGAACAGTTGGGAGGTTCCTCAAAAAACTAAAAATAGAACTAGCATATGATCCAGCAATCCCAGTGCTGGGTCTATACCCAAAAGGAAGGAAATCAGTATATTGAAGAGATATCTGCACTCCCATGTTTGTTGCAGCACTGTTCACAATAGCTAAGACTTAGAAGCAAATTTACAGTCCATCAACAGATGAACAGATAAAGAAAATGTGGTACATATACACAATGGAGTACTATTCAGCCATAAAAAGAATGAGATCCTGTCATTTGCAACAACATGGATGGAACGAAACTGGAGGACATTATGTTAAGTGAAATAAGCCAGGCACAGAAAGACAAACATCACATGTTCTCACTTATTTGTGGGATCTAAAAATCGAAACCATTGAAATCATGGACATAGAGAATAGGAAGGATGATTACCAGAGGCTGAAAAGGATAGTAGAGGACTGGGGAGATAAGGTGGGAATGGTTCATGGGTACCAAAAAAAAAAATAGAAGAATGAATAATACCTACTATTTGATAGCACGACAGGGAGACTATAGTCAATAATAATTTAAGTGTACATTTTAAAATAATTAAAAGTATAATTGGATTGTTTATACCACAAAGAATAAATGCTTGAGGGTATGGATACCCCATTCTTCATGATGTGCCTATTTCACATTGCATGCCTGTATTAAAACATCCCACGTACCCCATAAATATATACCCCTACTGTGTACCCACAAAAATTAAAAATAAAAAATTTTTTAATCTTGTCAACAGTGTATTAGGACATTGTGTTGTTGCAATTTCCTTAGCATCAAGTTCCGTCTTTAAAAAAAAAAAAAAAAAGCTTACTGATAGGTTTTTAGAGCCTGGTAATTCATTCTTTTTTGTTTTTTGTTTTTGCTCCGTTGCCCAGCCTGGAGTGCAGTGGCACAATCTGGGCTCACTGCAACCTCCGCCCCCTGGGTTCAAGCAATTCTTCTGCCTCAGCCTCCCAAGTAGCTGGGATTTTAGGTGCCAGCCACCACACCCGGCTAATTTTTGTATTTTTAGTAGAGATGAGGTTTTGCCATGTTGGCCAGGCTGGTCTCAAACTCCTGACCTCAGGGGATCCACCCGCTTCAGCCTCCCAAAGTGCTGGGATTACAGGCATGAGCCACTGTGCCCGGTCGGTAATTCATTCTTAAGTAAACTGGCCATATATGAATTGGCCATTTGAGTTCTTTCACAAAATATAAGACTATTTCCCCCCTTACAGTAGCTATTGTTGAATAAGATGCCAAGAAGGACAGCCAGCAATAGAGAATCAGTGCACAGATGCACTGGCAGGATTACCGGGTACATCTCCACCTCACTAACACCTTCTAGAGGTCACCATGAGCGTGGTGGGAAGCAATTTAGAATCAGAAGCACAGGGGTTCAAATCCCAGCTCTGGGACTTTCTAAATGTGCTCTTTTTCCAACTTTTTGAAGCCTGTATTATCTTATACGAAAAATCTTATCCTCTTCACCCAACTTTTCAAGGATTAAAAAATCCTCACATGGCATATTGCTGCACCACACTCTGTGGTGCATTATGGATGTCCAGTAAGGTGCATGGACCCTAAAGCTGCTCTGAGGACCAGATTCTCCCCATGGAGTAAACAGGCCACAGGTTGTTAAGGGAACCAGATGCTCGTGAACAACAGACCATTCATATGGATTAGCGAGTTTCTGCAAGGAAGAAGAGGGCTTGATCATCTCATTATTTGTTTCATGTGTCAGAATTGAATCACAGTGGAGCATTCATTGACCTAAAATTAAATTACTTGTCATATTTTTTATTCAACCATTTCCTCCTTTCCTTGGTAAATATAATTTTTTCTCATTCTAATGAAGCTCCTTGGAAACATCAAATCACTGCTTTATTTTAATCAGAGTAATTAACCAGTGATGGATGAGGCACAGGTAGCACGTGGATTTGGTGGGGGAATCTTCAGTAAGCAAAGGGTGGTGCCAGGGTGGCTTTACATTGGTCCCTGGAAGAGTGGTGAAGTTGTGCCCACACCCCGAAATGTGTAAGATCAGCTGTGACCCCTGGTGGAGCAAGAAAGCAAGGCTGTGAAAAATATAAATTGTCTTATCATTTTCTTAGAAACAAAAGACAACTCTAACTCAATAATTACCTTCTGTGTATCTATTCTCTTAGAAGTCAAGGAAAACCCTATCTATAGAATTTATCTCATCATCAGTTTATCCTCATAAAATAGATTCTTTCAAATCAGCCCCACTTCCAATTTTGAAATGGATCTTACCCCTATTCAGATAAAGTCTGAGTTCATTGTGCACCTTCACCTTTCTGTATGTAGGTCTTGGTCACACCAATGGACGCGCCAGGCCCAGGCTGTGGGTGCTTCCTGGGCTCTCTGTCTGTCACTTCTCCTGAGCCCTAGAGGAACACTGCACCCAGCTGCAGCTTTTCATATACCCCTGCACCCCCAGGGCACGGCCCAGAGGGAAACTTGACTCTTTGGCTGCTTCAGTGTATCTGGCCTAAGACCAGAGCTCCTGCTTTGGCGATCAGTCATCTACACACCAAGGTCCCTGAGATCTTGCCATTTTTCTAGAGTACTCCCCAGAGAGCAGGACTCAGAGGCCCAACCTCAGGAGACACTTCTGTCTATGCCTGTCTCTCTCTGTTCTGTCTCTCTTTCTATTTCTGTGTCTGTCTTCCTCTGTCTGTCTCTGTCCCTCCTGTCTTTGTCTCTCTGTCTCTCTATCTCTGTCTCTGTCTCTCTGTCTCTGTCTCTCACACACTCCTCACATCTGTCACTTCCTTCCATAACCCATGGGGTACAGAGGAATATATTTTTCTTTTTCCCTCACAATCCTCCCCACAGGTAGTAAAGATTGTGTGTGTGTGTTTCTGTTTTTCTCATGCCTTCTTAATTACTTGACTGATTTGCTTTGGGAAATCAAAGCCAGCTGGGCTCAGGAGTTTTGTTGTTGATTGTTTACTGTTTTGCTTTGCCACTGTCATGTCCTTTCTCGGGTGCAGTAGAGATCTAGCTATTGCTGGAATGAAGAAAAGGGAAAGGGGAGAGGGAGAAGGGGAAAAATAGCAGGGAGCAAAAAGAATTTGACCAATTTCTGAGAAAAGTGTAAAAATACTGTCTTCCCACACCATGAAATGCCTGCATTCCAAAAGCAGCTTTGTGGGTGAGAGTGATGGTGATTCGGTCCCGTGGCCGGCAGGGCAGCCAGCGAAGGGCTGGGCCATCCTGCAGGAACAAGATGTTCTGATGCAGTGTGGGCGAGCGTGCCTGACTGTGGGGAGGAGCCGCCGCGCCTGCAAACAGGAGTGCCATGAGACACTTAGTGGAAAAAGCATTTCTGATGACAGTCTCCATTCCTGGGCACTTTCAGATGTTTTATAAAATTTTCCAATGTTTATTTCAACTGCCAAGTATATGATGTTTTCTTCATTTTACAGCAGAGGAAACTAAGGTATCAAAAGACTAAGTAACTTCCCCCAAAGTGTGCCCCTAACTCTTGAGTTTCCTATGACAGTGACTGGCCCAAGCATCCATCCAACATCTCAAGCCAGAGGCCCAGTTCATCCTGGACTTCCCGTCCTTGGCCACTTTCTCCCCTGACATCCAATCAGTGAAGCAACCCCTGTTGCCGGCCACCCACCATTTGCTTCACCTGCTTCAACCACCTTGTTTTCTGCCTGGGTTTTTACAGTGGCATATCCAGGTGGTTTCCTGCCCAGTCAACTCTCCAACCAGGCTCTAAAAATATTGTGGCCAGGTGCGGTGGCTCACACCAGTAATCTCAGCACTTTGGGAGGCCGAGGAGAGTGGATCATTTGAGGTCAGGAGTTCGAGACCAGCCTGGCCAACATGGCAAAGCCAGTCTCTACTAAAAATACAAAAAAATTAGCCGGGCATGGTGACTCAGGCCTGTAATCTCAGCTACCTGGGGGACTGAGGCAGGAAAATTGCTTGAATGCGGAGCCAAGATTTCACCATTGCACTCCAGCCTGGGTGACACAGCGAGACTCTGTCTCAAAAAAAAAATACATTTTATATATATATATATTTGGGCTTCTCTTTTGTCTAATGGGGACACCCACTGTAGGTTTTACTTTCAAAGAAGTCCCATTCACCTCCATTCTCAGGAAGAATCGTGATGATTTTCTCTCTAGACAGTTTGTTATAGCATTAGGCACACGTCTGAAATTCCCATTTTCTTACCATCAGACTGAAGCATGTTTTTCAGAAATCTAAAATAATTTAAAGTTTATGAAGCCAGGAGGTTTTGATCTAGATATATGCCCTTAGCAACCAAAAATATTTTTTCTTTTAAAAGTAATCTATTTTATTTTACCTGAAACTTGGAAGACACACACAGTCTGATCCATTTAATTCTTTAATGAGAATTAAAATGTCAGTCCATCAGTCTGTTTCAACTTTCCACATGGTCATTCCAAAACTATGGCAAGTATCTTTTTGTTATGTATTTTCTGAGCCACAATCTGGGACAGAGACTGAAGCTGGCGGGCAGGGCATGGTGTGGGCGAATTACAGCGTGGAGCTCCAGGGTCACATCTGGGGTCCTCCACTGGCTCTGAACGGTGCTGTCTGAACTCTTGAGACACCCTGAACCCCAGAGGCAGCAAGCTCCCAGGAGGAACAAAGGTTAAAGTATATAACAGGAGGCAGGACATTTGCCTTCGTTTTTGGAAATATTTTTTAAAATAAGAAATAAGGGCCAGGCGCGGTGGCTCATGCCTGTAATCCCAGCACTTTGGGAGGCTGAGGCGGGCGGATCATGAGGTCAGGAGATCGCGACCATCCTAGCTAACACGGTGAATCCCCGGCTCTACTAAAAATACAAAAAATTAGCCAGGCATGGTGGCGGGCACTTGTAGTCCCAGCTACTGGGGAGGCTGAGGCAAGAGCATGGTGTGAACCCGGGAGGCAGAGCTTGCAGTGAGCTGAGATCGCGCCACTGCACTCCAGCCTGGGAAACAGCAAGACTCCGTCTCAAAAAATAATAATAATAATAAATAAATAAATAAATAAATAAATAAATAAAATAAGAACTAAGGAGCTCTCATTGAGCAGAAAGTGTTGGCTGTTTCCTGACTCTTCTGATGTCACTTCTGCTCCATCCTCACCTGCTCTGCCCTTTGCCCTCGTAAGCTACGGCTCCCCCATCTCCACCTCATTCATCAGGCACTTCGGGCGTCCTGAGCAGGGCATCATGCTGGTTGTTTGGCATCATTTTCTCCTTCTTCAGCTCCACTAGGTAGATACTGTTCACTCTTCCCACATGAGGTTCACCATCTTGCCCATGGCCATGGACAGCAAGCGCTAGAGCTGGGATGGGAAGCCAGGGTCTGTACACGTCCTTTTCTAAGCCATGCTGCTTTAAGGACCTGATCCCGCTGGAGCTCCTGAACGCTCAGACTTTCAGCACATCAAGAACTGGGATACATCTTCACTATGAGATATTTAATACCTTAATCTCCCTATGGGAAAATGAAAGTTCTGAGAAGATGGGCTGCCTTCAAGTTGAACAAATTCAGGCTTGCAATCAGAGGCCTGATTTTAATCCCTATTTTGCCAGTTTTTCGCACTTTGGATAAATCTGGTACTCCCCACCATACCCTGGAAATCAGATACTAGTATATCATTCATAGGAATCAACCGAAATCATTCTTACAACAAGCAGTCTTTACTGTCTATTTCCTGGTAAGTAAGCACTGAGGTAGGGACTGAGTTTAGGGTCTGTTCTTCGACATAACTCTTGCCCTGATGGGTCCTATGTCTTGTGAGGTAGGTACTTGGAAAACAAATGTCAAAAATATACCATTAAAATTGTGCTGAGATATGCAAAACTCCTGGCACATAGTTGATTTCTCCATAAATGATCTCCTTACTGGCTTACAATTTGACTGTTTAAAAACAGAATCATGGGCCAGGTGAGGTGGCTAATGCCTATAATCCCAGCACTTTGGGAGGCCGAGGTGGGAGGATCACTTGAGGCCAGGAGTTCAAGACCAATCTGGTCAATGTGGCAAAACCCCGTCTCTACTAAAAAATACAAAAAGTAGCTGGGCGTAGTGGCGAGTACCTGTAATCCCAGCTACTGGGGAGGCTGAGGCAGGAGAATCGCATGAACCCAGGAGGTGGAGGTTTTGGTGAGCTGAGATCATGCTGCTGCACTCCAGCCTGGGTGACAGAGTGAGACTCTGTCTCAAAAACAAAAACAAAATCGTGAAAAACAGAAATATAGAGAAGATTGTTCTAGATTAAAGAGACATGACTTTAAAAGGCAATGTAAGATCCTTGACTGGATTTTGTATTTTAAAAATCTATAAGAAGGCCGGGCACAGTGGCTCACGCCTGTAATCCCAGCACTTTGGGAGGCTGAGGTGGGAGGATTACCTAAGGTCAGGAGTTTGAGACCAGCATGGCCAACATGGTGAAACTCCTTCTCTACTAAAAATACAAAAATTAGCCGAGTGTGGTGGCACATGCCTATAATCCCAGCTACTCAGAAGGCTGAGGCACAAGAATTGCTTGAATCTGGGAGGCAGAGGTTGCAGTGAGCTAAGACTGCCACTGCACTCCAGCCTAGGTGACAGAGGCAGACTCTGTTCAAAAAAAAAAAAAAAAAATCTGTAAGAGATATTTTGGGGACAAAGGAAAACATTTGAATCAATAGTAAGTTTCTTATTAAGCATAATAATGGCTTTGTATCATATAGCAGAATGTTCTTGGTGAGGCATTTACTGGTGAAGTGTTATGATGTCTGTCACTGTTTTTAAATGGTTCAAAAATATGCATGTATATATGGGCAAGTGCTTCAGGACATTGGTCGGGGTAAAGATTTTTTGGGTAAGACCTCAGAAGCACAGGCAACAAAAGTGAAAGTAGACGAATGAAATTATATCAAGCCAAAAGCTTCTGCACAGCAAAGGAAACATCAACAAAGTGAAAAGACAACTTATGGAATTGGAAAAAATATTTGCAGACTTCTCATCTGACAAGGGATTAATAACCAGAATATGTAAGGAGCACAAACAACTCAAATAGCAGAAAAAAAATAAGTAAAATTTAAAAAAAATCTGGTTGAAAAATGAGCAAATGATCTGAATAGACATTTCTCAAAAGAAGACATACAAGTGGCAAACACACATATGAAAAAACGCTTCATATCACTAATCATCAGGGAAACACAAATCAAAACCATGGTGAGATATCTGCCCAGCCCTGTTAAAATGGCTGTTATTCGCCTGGCACAGTGGCTTACGCCTGTAATCCCAGCACTTTGGGAGGCTGAGGTGGGCGAATCACCTGAAGTCAGGAGTTCGAGACAAGCCTGGCAAACATGGTGAAACCCCATCTCTACTAAAAATACAAAAATTAGCCGGGCGTAGTGGTGGGTGCCTGTAATCCCAGCTACTTGGAAGTCTGAGGCAGGAGGATCGCTTGAACCTGGGAGGCGGAGGTTGGAGTGAGCCAAGACCATGCCATTGCACTCCAGTCTGGGTGAAAGAGTGAGACTCTGTATCCAAAAAAAAAAAAGTCTCTGTTATCAAAAAGACAAAAGATAATAGATACTGGCAAGGATGCAGAGAAGGAAGGACGCTAGTACACTGTCGGTGGGAATGTACATTCTTACGACCGCTATGGAAAACAGTATGAAGGTTGCTCCTAAAACTAAAAATAGAACTACCATATGATCCAGCAATCCCACTGCTAGGTATGTATTCAAAAGAAAGGAAATTAGAATATCAAAGGTGTATCTGCACTCCCATGTTTACTGTCACACTGTTCACAACAGCCAAGATAGAGAATCAACCTAAATGTCCATCCACAGATGAATGGATAAAGAAAATGTGGTACGTATACAGAAGGGAATATTATTCAGTCATTATAAAGAATTAAATTCTGTCATTTGTGGCAGCACAGATGGAACTGGAGGTCATTATGTTAAATGAAATAAATCAGGCACAAAAAGACAAATATCACACGTTCTCACTCATATGTGGGAGCTAAAAAGATGGATCTCGACCAGGTGTGGTGGCTCACGCCTGTAATCCCAGCACTTTGGGAGGCCAAAGTGGGCAGATCACTTGAGGTCAGGAGTTCGAGACCAGCCTGGCCAACATGGTGAAACCCCGTCACTACTAAAAATAATAAAATTAGCCACGCATGGTGACGGGCACCTGTAATCCCAGCTACTCAGGAGGCTGAGACAGGAGAATTGCTTGAACATGAGAGGCAGAGGTTGCAGTGAGACAAACTCACGCCACTGCACTCCAGCCTGGGGGACATGCAAGACTCTGTCTCAAAAAAAAAAAAAAAAGTGAATCTCATGGGGATAGAGAGTGGAATGGGGGTTACCAGAGGCTAGAAAGGGTAGTGGGAGGGGGAAGATGAAGAGAGGTCAATTCATGAGTACAAAAATATAATAGAAGAAGGAATAAGTTCTAGTGTTTGGTCACACAGTAGGGTGACTAGTTAGCAATAATTTATAATATGTATCAAAATAGCTAGAGTGTGGATCTGAAATGCTTCCAACACAAAGAAAATATAAATGTTTGAGGTGAAGAATATCCTAATTAGCATGATTTGATTATTACACATTGTATATACATGTGGCAAAATACTACCTGTAGCTCAGAAATATGTACAATTATTATCTATCAGTGAAGATATGTTTAAATATATATGACAGGGAGAAGGAAGAGAAAGAGATTGAGAGAGAGAGCACAAATGTTGAAAAACATTAACATTTGGTGAATCAGGTGACATTTATATAGGTATTCAATGTATTAGCCTCTCAATGTTTTTATAAGCTTTGAAACAAAAAAAAATGAGAAAAAGTAAATGTTAAATCAAATCCTTTCTAGGAAAAGAAATGAAGTAGAGTCCTGTAGTTCCGATCAATTTGTTTATTTTGGTTCTCACCATTGAGTGTGGATCTGAAGTGGCTTCTCTCACACAGAGGTGGTGGAGGAGTGGCCACCTGGCACCTCTGTGGTTTGCTGAGACACAGCAGGGGTGGAGGATTCCTTCTGCTTCCCCATGGGAAAGGGGTGTGCATGGCTTCCATTTCCTACTATGTCAGGAGTTGGTTTCTTCCGGTGGGTTCTTGGTCTTGCTGACTTCAAGAATAAAGCTGCACACCTTCATGGTGAGTGTTACAGCTCTTAAAGGTGGCGTGGACCCCTAGAGTGAGCAGCAGCAAGATTTACTGTGAAGAGTGAAAGAACAAAGCTTCCACAGCATGGAAGGGGACCCCGGTGGGCTGCTGCTGCTGGCTGGGGTGGCCAGCTTTTATTCCCTTATTTGTCCCCGCCCACATCCTGCTGATTGGTCCATTTTACAGAGTGCTGATTGGTGTGCTTACAATCCTTTAGCTACACACAGAACACTGATTGGTACGTTTTTACAGAGTGCTGATTGGTGCATTTACAATCCTTTAGCTAGACACAGAGCACTGACTGGTGCGTTTTTACAGAGTGCTGATTGATGCATTTACAATCCTCTAGCTAGACACAGAGCACTGATTGGTGCATTTACAATCCTCTAGCTGGACAGAAAAGTTCTCCAAGTCCCCACTCGACCCAGGAAGTCCAGCTGGCTTCATCTCCCACCACCAGGACCCCAGGTTATCCCCACTGTTCCCAGCCTGTCATATAAGTTCTTGGAGGAAAGCGCACCTAATTTTCTTGCCAGTTCTGCTTGTACATTTCCCCAGTAAATCTGGGTTGGTATCTACAGCAAGAGAGTCTGGCATTGCCTGGGCCCATCAGCCACACCACCTCACAAGCAGAGCCTCCTCCAGGGAGGACACTTCTCGTTTGAGGGAGAGGGCAGCCTTCTGTGACCTAGAGATCCCTAGAGGTTCTTGGTAGGCACACAAGAGTTTACCCTGTCTTCATCACCGTCCTCCCCAGGACCACACGTTCTCTCTTTCAGTTATCACTCTGTGTTTTCCTAATCATCTTTGGCTTGCTCTAAGCCCTTCTTTGCCTTGCTCTAGCTCCTTGTGGTAGCCCACCACAAGAACCACATCTTTGAAGGCCACCTCCTGTTGTGTCTCTAATTTATCTTTCAATCTGGAAAACCTGTGCCTCCTCCGAGATGAGGTTTCTGCAATGAAGCTGCGCAATATATTTATACAACATCGACTGCTTTAT
Source organism: Homo sapiens (assembly GCF_000001405.40). Classification (NCBI taxonomy): domain Eukaryota; kingdom Metazoa; phylum Chordata; class Mammalia; order Primates; family Hominidae; genus Homo; species Homo sapiens. The sequence continues at coordinate 47,751,117 of NC_000007.14, read as the reverse complement.
GTACCATGCTGCCCCAAGGCACAGTAATCAGTTCCAAGAAAATGAGCTCAAATACTTTGTTCCAAAATGGAAAGTGAAATTCAACAGAACAGCCAGCCCTGCTTGATGGGATTCTTTCACATCACGATTACTACTACTTTATCTGAAAAGCTTAAAATACTACTTGCCATAATTATCTCTTAACATTTAGGTGGTGAACATACTTCACCAGGAAACTCTGAAATGACACTCACCCCTCAACAAAATCTTGTGCAAATCTAAGACGGACATTACTTTTGATTCAGTAATTATACCTGCTTAAACGTATCCTAAAGAGGCTGGGTGTGGTGGCTCACGCCTGTAATCCCAGCACTTTGGGAGGCCGAGGCAGGCAGATCACGATGTCAAGAGATAGAGACCATCCTGGCCAACATGGTGAAACTCCGTCTCTACTAAAAATACAAAAAATTAGCTGGGCGTGGTGGAGTCCCAGCTACTCGGGATGCTGAGACAGGAGAATTGCTTGAACTCAGGAGGCAGAGGTTGCAGTGAGCCAGGATCACACCACTCCGTCCACCCTGGTGACAAGCAAGACTCCATCTAAAAAAATAATAATAATAATAAAAACATCCTAAAGAAATAATAATCATAGATCCAGTTTGACTTCTTTGCCATTGGGTAGAATCGGGCAGACTGTAATCAGAGACGCCACTGTCTCCTATGTGACAGGTGAGTGCACCCCCAAGTGGATATCCCCCGCTAGGATTTGAATCTTGAACGGCAGTACAAAGAAATGGAAATGATTGCAGTTTCACTCCGAGAAAGAGTGCTGTGCCCTTGGGTCCTGCCCATCCAGCCCAGTATCAACCTCATGTTAATTATAAGAGACTCCTTGGTTCTGTGAGCCCCCAGGGTTGGTATAAGCCCCATTTCACTGAATATAGACAAGGTTGGTGCTTTTGTTCACAACCAAGGAAACCTGCAACAAATATAATAAAGAAGCCCATTTGTCAATCGTATTAGGTACACTTTCCTATCCCTTTCAATAACTCCATTAGCCAGCATTCCAATTGCAGATTCATCTGAGTTGTTCTAATCAATTAAACCGGATTATCCCTATATATGTTTCTGTAAATCTAATGTTCTGTCACTGTCTTAAAGTGAGAGTAGCCATAGCTAATAATGTCACCGGTGCCCCTCTAGCCACCTGCTGCAATGGTTTTGCAGACCCCCACACCAAAGAACAAAACTGCAAACCCAGATTTGCCTTACCTAAAGAACAGCTCTAGCTCCAGAATACCTCCCTGACCAGCGAGCCCACTCTCCAGTGGGCTACTTACCCTACCAAAGCCATGAAGCACCTTGCATGTTACACCGTCTAATTAATGTTAAGTCCACAAACCAGGGATCTTTCCAGCTGTCACCCCAGACAGTATTGGGATTCCCAGTCCCCAACACAGCACCTGACCTCAACAGGTATTCATCAATATTTATGAAATAGGCAAGCAAAGAAGCAAATTAGTATGTAGCACCTACAAACAAAGAAAAAAAACTAGTGGCATAATTGAAATAGGTTATAGCCCATGAGCATTAAAAGGATAGTAAAAGAATATTACGAACTACTCTATGCCCACAAACTTGATAACTTAGATAGACCAATTTCTTGAAAGATACAATCTATCAAACTCATTAAAAATAGATAATCCAAATAGACCTATATTAAATAAATTGAATGCATAATTAATAACCTCCAAAAGAGAAATCGCTGAGCCCAGATGGTTGATTGGTAAATTTCACTAAACACTTAAGAAAAAAATTATGCCAATTCTTTATAATGTGTTCCAGGAAATAGAAGCAGAGGTAATGCTTCCTAACACGTTCCATGAGGCCAGCATTACCTTCATACTAAAACCAGACAAAGGCATTACAAGAAAGGAAAACTATACACCAATATCTCCCGTAAACATTGATGCAAAAATCCTCATCAAAATATTAACAAATCAAATCCAACAACATATAAAAAGAATTACATGCTATGACCAAAAGGCAGTTATTTCAGGTATGCATGTCTGGTTCAACATTCAAAAATAAATTAGTGTAATCAATCACAGCAATAGGCTAAAAAAGAAAAATGAGTCTGTTAATTTAAAAAAAGAGAATATGGGAAAAAGCTGTTGCTAAGGAATGTATTGTCCCCCTAAGAGAATCAGGTACTTAAAATTCTCCCTATAAATATAAGATTTAACATCCTCCAAGCTAGATCAAATATATAACCTATCAATTGCCCTTGAGTAACCCACCCTTCCTGTCCAGGGGTCACTGGGCGGAGTTGCTTGCTTGGCTGGGAACCCTCAGGCCCACTGGGAATCTCTGCCAGCCTGCCTCCTAGGCCCACTCATCCTCTCCCTCTTCCTGCCATCTCTCTCTCAGGGATGGACACCACTGTGACCCTGATTTGGCAAGAAGGAAACTTGGGTGTTATCCTTGATTTCATATCTCCTACCCAAAATATCCCATAGATGTATCTTCCTTGTTATTTCTGGACTCTGCCCCCTCATCTTAGTCTTTATTTCAAATACTGCAGTTAAAGCAGCACAACCTTTCCCCAGGAATTTTATAACATTCTCCTAACTTGTCTCCTTTCCTCAGATCTCGCCACTCCAGTCCATTTTCCAATCAGTATCCAGAGTTAATTTCCAAGAATAAAAATCCGACTTTCATACTCTGCTTTAAGCCCTTCACACCAGAACCTGGCTTTCCTTTCCTCCCTCTCTATTACCCAGGATCCAGGCATAGTAATCCACGGCGACCCACCAGCAGCACTCTCTCTCTTCCTGGTATGTGTAGGGCACCAATTGTGCGTGCAGCACTGTGCTAGCAGCTGGGGATGCCTTGCAAACCAAGCAGAGCTCCTGCCTCATAGAACAGACATGCTAGTAGGGAGAAACAAACGAGACGTGTCAACAAGCCCACGGGCAGACAAACAGAATGCTTCCAGGACCTTACAGATTTTATGAAGAAGATAAAATGGTTAATGGGATAGAGATTTCCCAAGGGTAGCCACAATAGTAACATGAAGAAACATTTGAGTAAAAACTTTGTAAAGAGGAGGCAGCAGCGTGAAGATCTGGGAGAATGGAGAAGAAAAATGGGAGGAGGAGATAACAGTTAGCCAGGGTCAGATCACAGAGGGCCTTGTGGTGCTCCGTTGGAAGGATAAGAATACTAGGGTGATGGGACCAGACACAGTGGCTCACACCTGTAATCCCAGCACTTTAGGAGGCCAAGGCAAGTAAATCACCTGAGGTCAGGAGTTCAAGACCAGCCTGGCCAACATGGTGAATCCCCATCTCTACTAAAAATACAAAAATTAGCCAGGCATGGTGGTGTATGCCTGTAATCCCAGCTACTCAGGAGGCTGAGGCAGGAGAATCGCTTGAACCTGGGAGGCGGAGGTTGCAGTGAGCCGAGATCATGCCACTGCACTCCAGTCTGGGCAACAAGAGCGAAACTCCATCTCAAAAAAAAAAAAAAAAAAATAGAATGATGGGAAGCCACGGGAATAATGAGATGTAATCAGAGCATATGTGTGTTGCCTCTGGCTCTTGGCTAGAAAAAAATCAAGAGTGGAGGAAGACAGGCAGCCCTTGCAGTAGCCCAGGTAAGAGGTGGCCATTGCTGGATTTGGGCAGTAGCTGTGGCTCTATTCAAGCTGTGTTGTGGAATTAGAACCCACAGAGTGAACCGGATACGGAGGCGGAAGGAACACAGAACACAGAAGCTGATCTGATCCTAAGATTACAGCATGCCCGGGAAGGCTCGGCAGGAGAAATCAGGAGCTCTCTTTGCCATCGCATTTGACACTCAAACAGAGGTTCAGAGTAGGCTATTGGGTGCCTGTGTCAAGAAGCAGGAGAGAGGTCCAACCAAACACATTCCTAATATTTAAAGACATGGTTCTTACCAAGATGACCTAGGGGACTGAGAGAGAATAGAGTAGGGGATTAAAGACAGAAATCTGAGTACAGTTGTGCATTCAGGGTTCTTCTGGAGAAGACCACCGCCTCCTACAAAGGAGATGCAGAAAGAGCAACGGAGGAGATGGAAGAAGCATCAGGAGGGTGTGCAGGCAGGGAAAGAAGGCTGGGAAAGAAAGTGTGCCAGGACAGGCGTAGCCAGAAATGGAGTGGGGTGCTGCTGACAATGCACTCAGGTAAGGGCTGAGCACTGATTCCTGCCCAGGCGAGAGGTGGATCACTGCGACGGAGGACTGGCGAGTGTGCAGCCTGGCTGGAGTGGGGCAAGGAACCAATGAGACCTGTGGAAGTGGAATAACCACAGACAACTGGGCAAGGAGTTTCGATAAACCCTGGCTCAGGAACGCCTCATCTGGAAAGTCATGCTGGACACTCAAGGCTGGAGCAGACATGTCCTGTGTGCCCTCAGCCCACTCAGAGGTAACAACAGCTTGCTGGCCGGCTGGCCTCAGCCCTGTCAGGAGGCTCCTGCAGGCCATCTTCACTTGGGCTACAGCTTCCATACCCAGCACTGCTCTGGCACCTGGGAACCATCAAGCAGCATTTGCAAATCAGGGAAACTACTCCAGAATGTGTAAAGAATTCTCAAAACTCAACAGAAAGAAAGCAAACAACCCAATTGAAAGGTAGTAAAAAGACAGCCAGATGCAGTGGCTCACACCTGTAATCCCAGCACTTTGGGAGGCCAAGGCAGGTGGATCACCTAAAGTCAGGAATTCAAAACCAGCCTGGCCAACATGGCAAAACCCCATCTCTATGAAGAATACTAAAAATTAGCTGAGCATGGTGGCGGGTGCCTGTAATCCCAGCTACTTGGGAGGCTGAGGCAGAACTGCTTGAACTGAGTGACAGAAGTTGCAGTGAGCCGAGATTGAGCCATCGCACTCAAGCCTAGGTGACAGAGTGAGACTCTGTCTCAAAAAAAAAGAAAAAAGAAAAGTAGTAAAAAGACTTGGATACTTCAGCAAAGTACCCAGGTCTTTTTACTCCACCAAAATATCCAGGTCTTTTTACTACAGGTGGCAAATAAGCACATAAAAAGATGTTCAACATCATCAGCCATTAAAGAAATGTGAATTAAACCACAGTGGGATATTACATACCCATTAGAGTGGCTGGGATAAATACTGACGATATCAAGTGCTGGTGAGGGTGTGGAACAACTGACAACTCTATATTGTTGGTGAGAATACAAAATGGTACAGCCATTCTGGAAAATAATGTGGCACTTTCTTATAAAGTTAAGCATACACTTAACATATGACCCAAGAATCCCACTACTAGGCATTTACCTTAAAGAAATAACCTAAAGAAATTTAGGGTGTTTAAAGTCTGACACAAATGTTTATAGCAGCCTTATTCATAATCACCCAAAACTAGAAACAACACAAAAGTCCTCCAGTGGTTGAAAGCATGTTACATCCATACAGTGGAATACTATCAGCTCTATAAAGCAAAGGACTATTGCTATATGCAGCAAGAAGAATCTCAAAGACATTATGCTATGTGAATGAGGCCAGTCTCAATAGATGTTATTGCATTGACATGACATTCTGGAAAAGACAAAATTATAGCAACACAGAACAGCTCAGTGGTTGCCAGCGATTGGGGTAGGGGTGCCTCTAAAGGATAGTGTGAGGGGGGTTTATGGGTCAGGTGCGGTTCTGTATCCTGATTACCATAGCAGTCATATAAATCTATACATGTGCTCAAATTCATAGAACTCTACACAGAAAGCTAATATTACTGTGTGGTACTTTAAAATATATCATTTAAAAATCATCATTTGCTGAATGGATGAATATATGAATTAAGTTTATCCTCAATAAGACCAGTTTTCCAGCATTTCTTAGTTATTTTGCTTCATTCTATACAAAATGGGTGAAACTTTTGGGCTGGAAATGAGAAATTTCACTCAGAACACTTTAGGGCTTGGCCGGCTGCAGCGTGCTGTCGTCCTTTAATGTTACTACCATGGGTCCAGAGCTGCAGTCTTCTCAGGCCTATGAACATCGCCCTGGTGCAGCCTCTCTTCTGCCGGCATGAGAAGGCTCGGCTGGACCAGGTCCCTGCTCGGGGGGGAACCCTGGTTCTGAGACAGTGGGTAAGGCACCCCTCCTCCCTGAGACTCAGCTTCCCTACCCAGGAAATGGATCAGATAGCCCAGTTTATAAGGTATACAATGTAGTCGTAAGGATCATGTGAGAATATTTTCTTTTTCTCTTTTTTTTTTTTTTTTTTTTTTTTTTGAGACTGGGAGTCTCACTCTGTCACCCAGGCTGGGGTGCTGTGGAATTATTTCGGCTCACTGCAACCTCCGCCTCCCGGGTTCAAGCGATTCCCCTGCCTCAGCCTCCTGAGTAGCTGGAACTACAGGCGTGTGCCACCACGCCCAGCTAATTTTTGTATTTTTAGTAGAGAGGGGGTTTCACCATGTTGGCCAGGATGGTCTCGATTTCTTGACCTCATGATCCGCCCACCTCGGCCTCCCGATAGTGCTGGGATTACAGGCATGAGCCCGGCCTGTGGGAGTATTTTCTAAAGTGCGGCACCACGTAGAACGGAGGCCATTCCGCGTCCCATAGCCACTAATCTCTTCCTCAACCCTTCCATCCATCATTCCCCTCAACCAGGGCCGAAGAGCTCCCCCAGCCTCACCCACCACCTCCACCTCCACCCCTCTGGGCGTCCAGGGCTCCCAGTTCAAGCTGCCCTGCCACTGTAACCTGACTCCGCCTGTGTGACAGCACGGGATCTGGGCGCTGGCACCTCGTTTGGGGCTGATTAACAAGCTGCGGAGGGTCTCCAGGCACAGCCAGCAGGCAAGCTCCTTGCTAGCGCCAGATTTGCCGATTCTCTGTGTTTTCTTTGGGGGGAAAGGGAGGAAGTGGGCTGTCAGTAAAAGCAGACTCATTTATTTTAATAAATTGTTGTGAAAAGTAAAACAAACATGACCCCGCTCAGAAAGGGTGACTCTGATGCAGAGAGAGCCCTAGGAAGGAGAGGACGACCCAGAAAGAAGTACATGAACGTTTTCCCCTGGGTAAGGCCAGCCGGCAGCGCTAACCACGTGTGCTGTTTTTCAGCCACGGTGCCGGCATTCCCGTAGCAGCTTGGTATTTTTGTTACACGAAGAGCTCATATAAATTATGAAAATTAACAAGATCCTGTAAACAGGTGAGCAATAGGCACAGATAATTCCCAACAGAAGAAAAAGAATTAGGGAACACGCATATGGGAAAATGTTCAACCCTACTAGTGATTAAAGAAATAAACATCAAAGTAATTAGGTTATTTCACTGTCTATCAAATTAACAAAACTTTAAAAATAATATAATACCTAAAGCTGGTAAACTCAGGGAAACACATATGATGCTGGTAGACTTATAAATCAGTGTAAATATTTTCTTTCTTTCTTTTTTTTTTTTTTTTTTTTTGAGACGGAGTCTCACTTTGTCACCCAGGCTGGAGTCTTGGCTCACTGTAACCTCCACCTCCCGGGTTCAAGGGATTCTTCTGCCTCAGCCTCCTTAGTAGCTGGGACTACAGGCGTGCACCACCACGCTCAGCTAATTTTTGTATTTTTAGTAGAGAGAGTGTTTCACCATATTGGCCAGGCTGGTCTTGAACTCCTCACCTCGTGATCTGCCTGCCTTGGATTCCTAAAGTGCTGAGATTACAGGCGTCAGCCACCACACCTGGCCATACAACCATTTTCAAAGGCAATTAGGCAATATATACTAAGAACCATAATAGATAACCATGACTTTTTTAAAATTATTATTATTATACTTTAAGTTTTAAGATACATGTGCATGACGTGCAGGTTTGTTACATATGTACACATGTGCCACGTTGGTGTGCTGCACCCATTAACTCGTCATTTAGCATTAGGTGTATCTCCTAATGCTATCCCTCCCCCCTCCCCCCACCCCACAACAGTCCCCGGTGTGTGATGTTCCCCTTCCTGTGTCCATGTGTTCTCATTGTTCAATTCCCACGTATGAATGAGAACATGCGGTGTTTGGTTTTTTGTCCTTGCGATAGTTTGCTGAGAATGATGAGAGATAACCATGCCTTTTAACCTGATGTTTAGATCATTTAACCAGTAATCCATATCAGCAAATCTTACTAAAGAAAATTCTGAGTCCTGGCACAGTAGTTCACACCTGTCATCCCAGCACTGTGGGAGGCCGAGGCGGGCGGATCATTTGAAGTCAGGAGTTTGAAACCAGCCTGGCCAACATGGTGAAACCTTGTCTCTACTAAAAATAAAAAAATTAGCCAGGCATGGTGGTGCATGCCTGTACTCCCAGCTACTCAGGAGGCTGAGGCAGGAGAATTGCTTGAACCCGGGAGGTGGAGGTTGCAGTGAGCCGAGATTGCACCACTGCATTCCAGTCTGGGTGACAGAGTGAGACTCCGTCTCAAAAACAAAATGCTTAATATATATTTTTAAATGACCAAAAGAAACAACTCTAAATATACGAAAACAGTGCAAAATTATTCATCACAGTATGCTACTAAATAATCTAACTATCTTTGGACTGTTTTAAACCTTTTACAAATGGTCACAAAGAATTATAAATATTCTGGTGGGATATTTATGATCTAATGTTGAATTAGAAAGCAAGTTATCAAGTTGTTTATATACAACGGTTCAATTATGCAAACATTTGCAGAGAGACTGGAAGGAAAACATGGCACTGGTGGTCGTATTTGGATACTTAGACATATTTAATTTTGTATTCTATTTAACTTGGTATTTCTAATTTTTTTAATGAAAATGTGTTTTTAATGGGAAAAATAAACACAGAAGACATAAAGAGGGGCTCAGCTCTTCCTAATGACCCGGCTGCTCACGGATCATTCCTGAGAGTGTCTTCATCTTTCTTGAGTCTATTTATGTTGTTGACCCACATGACCTCCTCGGTAATGAATTCCTTATGTCCATCCCTACGGTACAAAAGACTGCTTCTCTCCTCCGGAATCTACCTTTTCAGATTCTAAGCATGCCCCTAGATCATGGCAGTATTTCTGTATCAACTGATTAGCTACTGTCCAAGACCACAGGTCCTGTAAGAATTCTATAAACCCCAAATCCTGGTAGAGCGTAAATTAGTATAGCCAGGGCACAGTCGTTTGGCAACATCTAGGAAAGTTGAAGATGCTCACATCCTGCAGCTGGCAGTTCCCCGTCTAAGAATATTCCACAGAGAGCCAGGCGCAGTGGCTCACGCCTGTAATCCCAGCACTTTAGGAGGCCAAGGTGGGTGGAGAGGTCAGGAGTCGAGACCATCCTGGCTAACACGGTGAAACCCCATCTCTACTAAAAATACAAAAAATCAGCCGGGCGTGGTGGCGGGCACCTGTAGTCCCAGCTACTCGGGAGGCTGAGGCAGGAGAATGGCATGAACCCGGGAGGCGGAGCTTGCAGTGAGCCAAGATTGCGCCACTGCACTCCAGCCTGGGCAACAGAGCGAGACTCCATCTCAAAAAATAAAAATAAAAATAAAAAAGAATATTCCACAGAAAAACTCACACAGGGAGCCCACACCACGACCTCTTGAGTCTGTGGGTGCCCAGGTCAGGTTGGTGCAGTTAACACATTTATATGGGAGAGTCTTTTGGAGAGGAACTTAGTGAAGAACTGAGAGTGAAGAGTAGTGAGGTTGGAGCCCCAGCTGAGGGGTTGGTAAAGGAGCACCTTTCTGATTGATTCTGGAGGAGGTGGGAGGACACAGGAAGAGTTCTGAGAGTCTGGAGGAGAGTTTCTGGTTTGGGGTCAAGGCAGGAGGCAGGCGATGGCTCTCTTTCTCAGTAGTGGCAGCTCACCTGCTGGGGCAGTTTGGGGCGGGTAGAGGGCAGGAGACCTGGCTTGGGGAGACTTGACTTGAGGAGGAAGAGAATTTTCCTCACCTCCATTAGGCTTTATTGCAGTATTATTTGCAATAGCCAAGATATGAAAACAACCTCCATGTCCATTGACAGATGAATGGACAAAGAAATTGTGATATATATTCACATTATTCATGTTATTTACATGTACTGTAGTCCCCGTTTTGCTTTCCAAAGTTTTAGTTACCCTGAGTCAACTGCAGTCCAAGAATAGATGAAACAATTATAAAATAACAAGACATTCTGAGAGAGACCACATTCACATAACTTTTTTTTTTTTTTTGAAACAGAGTCTCACTCTTGTCACCCAGACTGAAGTACAGTGGCACGATCTCGGCTCACTGCAACCTCCACATCCCAGGTTCAAGCAATTCTCTTGCCTCAGCCTCCCAAGTAGCTGGGATTACAGGCGTGTGCCACTATGCCTGGCTAATTTTTGAATTTTTAGTAGAGACAGGGTTTCACCGTGTTGGCCAGGCTGGTGTCGAACTCCTGACCTCAGGTGATCCACCTGCCTTGGCCTCCCAAAGTGTTGGAATTACAGGCGTGAGCCATTGCACCCGGCCGCACATAACTTTTATTACCATATGTTGTTATAATTGTTCTATTATTTTATTATTATTCATTGTTGTTAATCTCTTACTGTGCCTAGTTGATAAATTAAGCTTTACCATAGGTGTGTATGTAGGAAAAAACATAGTTTGTATGGGGGTTGGTGCTAGCCACAGTTTCAGGCATCCAGTGTGGTTCCTGGAAGTTATGCTGCTCAGGTGAGGGGGGACTATTGTACAAAGCATTTACATGGAGACTGAAAGAAAACAGAGCAGAATGGCAATAGCGTCATGGTCATATTTTGATCCTTGAGCATATTTAATGTTTTGTTCTGTCTAACTTGGCATTTCTTTTTTTTAATGAAAATGTCTTCCAGGTTCATCCATGTTGTTGCAAATGACAAGATCTCCTTTTGAAAGCTGAATGATATTCCATTGTGTGTGTGTGTACACATTAGTACATTTTCATTTCTGTACAACGGCCTCTGAGCAGCCTCCAGGCCCCCTCTGCAGAGGAGGGGCTTATAAACACAAGTAGAAAATAAATAAACTGTCTGCTGAGTAACGCTTATGCCGCTTCCACATAGTAAGGCTTCCGTTCTTATGATCGTGTGCCCGGGACTTGGGCCACCTGCATTAAGTCCCAGAGGCACAGGGACCCTGTACCCACAGCTGCGGATGATTAACTGGGGGCGGGGGGCAGGGGCTGGACTTTTGAGTCCAGCTGTTTAGTTCCCTGTCAAGCCACAGATGAGATTTAGAAGTAAAATAAGTAAATAAAATTAATAAACATAAAAACGCAGCCCTCCTGGTTGATGTTCCCAGGAGCCACCATGTATCAAAGCCGCACAGCCAGTCTCCCAAAGTGACCATCCTCTCGTCCTCTCATTGCGCTAAGGAGCCGGTTCTTTTGTGTTGCATAAGAAAGCCATAGAGAAAATAAGGAGCCCTCCTGCTGAGGGAACACTGCAGAGAAAGAACTGGAGGCAGAGAAGCCCCAGCAACAAGGAAAAGATCCTCAAGGCTCAGGGCAGGCAAGCTTCAAGGGGAGGCCAGCGTGGGTCAGAGCGAGAGGCAAGGAGGACACCACATCAGGCCTGGGCCAGTCCACCCAGGCTGTGTTTAGTTCAGTGAAAGTCTCCATACCAGAGGGCTTCCCGTCCCCACTGTGGCCCAGGTCAGGACATCGGGAGAATGCCACTCTTCAGCCCTCAGCCTCCCTTGGGCATCACCTGGGGATACAGAGGCACCTGATGGGGCCTGTTCCCTGAAACTTTGAGGAATAAGAAGTGTGTTCCTCCCAAAAATACTGTGTATGCTCTGTGCCAGACATTTACCATGCTGGGGAACATCTGGGAACTGAAACTGACGAGAATCCCTGTCCTTGTGGGGCAACAGCCATCATCACAGGAGGTAAATGCTGCATCATCTTAGGAGGTGGGAATTGCTATGGAAAAATGAAAAATTAGAGGAAGGCAAAAGGGACCAGGAGTGTGGTGTGGGCTAGTGGAAAGCAAGTGTCAGCATCAAATAAGTTGCTCCAGAGAGGCCTCTGCAGATGGTGTCATTTGAGCAGAGACCTGAGGGGGCTGGGAGAGCAGACTAGGCTGGGGCTATGGGGCAATGTCTCAGGCCCACAGGATGACCTGCAAAGGCCCGAGGACCTGAGGTCAAAGGCCAGCCAAGGCCAGGCTGCTGGAGGCAAGGGCAAGTGAGAAGGGGCAGCAGGTGGGGGAGGGTCTGGTGGAGGGACTCAGGCTCTGTCCGTGTGGGCTCTGCAAAGAGCTCTCCGCTGCTTGTTGAAGGCAGAGGCAGAGACCCTGAGGAGGCTGTTGCCTCCTCACACTCAGGTGTGAATGTGGCTTGTGGCTTAGGCCCACAAGAAGGGTGGGGCAGTCCCCAGAAATGTCCAAGTCACTCACTACGGTCACACATCGTATAGCATACAAGTCAGATTCTATTTAGAAGTTTAACAACTCAGCCACTGATGTGATTATTGTTCAGTCTTTGGTTTGTGAGGCTCATGGAGCCGGTTTCTTGTTAAACACTTTACAAAAGGTGGAGCCACATACAGGAGCCATAAGACACCACAGAGGGGGAAACTCAGGGCACCTTTGATCCAACTGCTCATTTTACAGACAAGGAAAGTACGACTCTGGGAGATGGCATGGTTTCCTAAAGCCAGGCCGTGATTCTCGTGCTTGAATTTGCACAAATGCCACCTGGGGCTTTTGGTAAAATGAAGATTAGAATTCAGCAAGTCTGGCATGGACCTAAAGTTGTGGACTTTCTAACCAGCTCTCCAGAGATGCTAAGGCTGCTGGTCCGGGGACCACACTTTGAGCAGCCACAGTCTGGACTGGATGGGAGGCTGCAGTGAGAGCCTGGGGAAGTGTGGTTTAACATTTTGAATCAGGAAAGCTATGGGCTGTAGGATGCAGACACCAGTCTTGCTACACACCTGAAGATGAGGGTCTGAAACCAGGGAGGGCGAAGGCTGTGAAGCCCAAGTGAAAGATGGACCAGCCCCCACATAATTGAGGCAACTTGCAGCATATGTGAAACGCTAGGAACATCATCATGGGACCGGAGGACAGGTGTGGCCTAAAAGGTTCCTCACATGGTCTCAGACAGGGCAGGGGATGGGAGATACTCAACATCCATACCCTTAGCCTGTGGCTCAGGACCCGGAAATTGGAACAAGCTGGGCCACTGTGAACAGCTCAAGACTGAACATTAAAAAGGCTCCGCTGGTTCTGTGTTTCCCACGAGAGAAGGGCAACATGAGCTGAAGGCAGATGCCCTTGTGTCCCTGTTGCCACTGTCTGCCCTGCAACAATGAAAGAATGTCAGCTGTGCTTTTGGCAGACCCCAAAGCCCAGCCTGGAGCATTTAAGTTGCACAACGGTCCTGCTTTGTCAGATTGTGACTGAGGCAGAGGAATGGTTCCCTCCCTCTGGGCTTGTACAAAGAGGGAAAGGATGGAGGTGGGAGCTGAAGCCTCCCTCCAGGTCAGGACCTGAGCACTGGCTGCAGGGAAGTCTGTCCTGCTGCCAGCTGTTCAGACATGGAGGCCCCTCTGTGGGTCCCAGTTTGCTCCCCTCACTTGCTCCCCACATCCCTTCTCACAGTTGGCACCCCAGGCGGACAGCCCTTGGTCAGATGGGCCTTGTTGGGGACTAATTATTTTAAATGGCTAAAGTGAAGGAGTGAATGAGGAGTAAGGAGAAATTGAGGGGAATCCCCACAACATCTCTGCAATCTGCAGAATAATGACCCCCAAAGATGTCCATGTCCTGGGCCCTAGAACATGTGGGTACGGCACCTTACATGGCAAAGGGGACATTGTAGATGGGATTAAATTAAGGGTCTTGAAGTAGATTGTCCTGGATTGTGGGGCTGGGCCCAATGTCATCACAGGATCCTTATAAGAGGGAGGCTCAGAGTCAGAGTGGGAGATGTCACAATGGAAGCGGAGGTCAGAGAACAGAGGGAGAGGGATGTGAAGATGCCGTGCAGCTTGCTTTGAGGATGCGCGAAGGAGACACAACCCAAAGAATGTGGATGGCCTCTAGAAGCCGGACAATGCTGGGCAATGGATTCTTTTTTAGAGCCTCAGAAGGAGCACAGCCCTGGGGGCCTTTCTCATCTCCAGAACCCTAAGACAATGCAGTTGAGCCGTCTTAAGCTACTAAATTTGTGTTCCTTTGTTATAGCAACAATAGGAAACAAATAGAATGTCATGATTTTCTAGGATGAGGCCAAGATCATGAGGACTCAGCTATGGCGGGTAGGGGGCTTTGAAACTTGATGCTTCCCCAGTCCAGGGCATGTTCTCAGCAGCCCAGCAGCCAACTCGCTGATTCGTAGAGAGCCCTAATTCCTGCAGGCATTCATTTGTCTCGTTTAAGAGAAACGCATCTCTCTCTCCTGAACCCTATCAACCCTCAGAAAACAGTCTATTAGAAATATGAGACATCAGCCGGGCGCGGTAGCTCATTCCTGTAATCCCAGCACTCTGGGAGGCCAAAGCGGGTGGATCACAAGGTTAGGGGTTCAAGAACAGCCTGGCCGAGATGGTGAAACCCCATCTGTACTAAAAATACAAAAATTAGCCAGGCATGGTGGCGGGCACCTGTAATCCCAGCTACTCTGGAGGCTGAGGCAGAGAACCCAGGATGTGGAGGTTGCAGTGAGCCAGCTGAGATCACACCAGTGCACTCCAGCCTGGGCGACAGAGTGAGACTCCGTGAAAGAAAGGAAGGAAGGAAGGAAGGAAAAGAAAGAAAGAAAGCAGGGAGGGAGGGAAGGAGGGAGGGAAAGGGAGGGAGGGAGGGAGGGAAAGAAAGAAAGAAGGAAAGAAGGAAGGAAGGGAGGGAGGGAGGGAGGAAGGAAGGAAAGAAAGAAAGAAGGAGGGAGGGAGGGAAGAGAGGGAGGGAGGGAGGGTGGAAAGAAAGAGAGAGAGGGAGGGAGGGGAGAGAGAGAGGGAGGGAGGGAGGAAAGAGAGAGAAAAAGAAAGAAAGAAAGAAGGGAGGGAGGGAGGAAGGAAAAGAAAGAAAAGAAAGAAGAAAGAAAGAGAAAGAAAGAAAAAGAAAGAGAGAAAGAAAGGAAGAAAGAAAGAGAAAGAAAGAAAGAGACATCTTGGCAGTGGAAGGCAGTGGCCACGCCTTCCTGCTTGAAGTCTGGGCAACCCTCTGTGTCCATCCTGGAGAAAGGAGCCCTTGAGACCAGCATATTCTTAATGTGTTGCCTGCTCATGGTGAGAAGATATTCAGGAAAAAGAAGCTCACGCCTTTGTTTCCCCTCCACTCTTCACTCTCCCATCCAGAGAAGACACGCTCTGTAGGTTAGAGCGGGCAAGCATGGGATCCCACAGCGTAAGGATGAAAGTGCTCTGTTGGAATTAAGCACAGAGGAGTACACATTGTGGAAGCCACTAAATATAAGTGACACAAGTAACCAAGACTGCTGGCTGCCCTTCCTGTCTACTCTCCCTTTTCCCTTGGGAACAGAATTGCAGTTCTAAGTGGAAATACAGACCCGCATCCCATACACCCAGGTACTTGCATGCCACTCAGTCTGACAAATGACACATAAGTGGAGTTTGTTAGGCAAGATTTCTGCAATAGCTCCTTAAGAGATGGACAGAGCTCCAACCCAGGCCCCCTTAAACCTGTTCCCCCTCTTCCTGGAATCTCAATTTGAGAGCTGGATCTCCAGCAGCCACCTTGATTCATGAGAAGCTTGTAAGGGTGGGAGCCATCCGGAGGGGACAAGCAAAGCAGTGGGAGAGAAGAAACCCAGGTCCCAAGTGGCCCTCAAGTCTCCATAGCTTCTCTGGATGCCCTGCCTCCAGACTGATTTTATGAAAAAGAAGAAAAGAAGCTTTTATCTTGTTCCCCCCGCTCCACCGCCCCTGGTCTCTGTTAATAGCAGCCAATTGCAATTCTAACTGATGTAGCATATACTGGAAATAGCATTGCACAAAAGTAACGTAATAGGTAAATAGTCACTGTGGATCAAACCCCATCTCTGCAGTCCTCCCTGAGATTTGGGACCTTAGCACATGAAGCAACTTCTTTGGGCTTTGGTTGCCTCATCTATAGATTGGGCTGTTCATGAGGCTGAGTAGGGAGGCCATCATAAAGCACTGTGTTTAAGATGCATTGGAAATAATCAGCTGTTTAGGTCGGAAGTAGGATGACTAAGTAAATGCTGGGCTGTGTTGAAAAAGATAGAGATATCCTATATTGAGAACAGCAAATCATTAATAGGGTGAACTAGAAATGACCTAGACTCTGACGGAACATCAGTGCCTTGCCTGTGGATGGGCTGGTCTCACCTGCACACACACAGCGTTGTGATGATGGTGGCCAGCAGGAAAGCTCCCTGTCCTGGCCAGACTGGTGGGGGATCTGTAGCTGGTGACCTTCTCTGCCCTCCAGCTACGAGTCAGCCTATGTCCTGGGCCGGCAGGAGGATGGGGCAGGGAGCAAGGTCGGGTGGAAGCCCAGAGCCGGATGTTTCTTTTGCCTCTAAATATCCTGTGTACACAGACCCCCGTCACCATTCAGAAGCCCAGAACTGAGATGACAGGTGACAAAGCTTTCTGTCTCCAGCCCAGACATCCGTTCCTCATCTCTGTCATTGTCATCTCCTCTCATCACGTGACCACAGTTAGACAAGACTGGCCACATCTAGAAAGAGTTTCTCCCAGTTACACATTCACCAGTTTGGCCATGGGCTTTGCTGGAGCTATTCAAGCACTAAATCATCCATCGCTCAACAAATATTCAGGGGTCACGGACCATGGGCTGGATACTACTTCTTTCCAGTGAGAGAAAACTCAGTCTGTGGTGGACCAACAGACTGAACATGCATTTTATAGGACTCCAGCAGCTGAAGGTGGCTTCACATGATACTGTCAAAGTAAATTTTATTCTGCATGGCAAAGTCTCCACTGAACAGTAATGATTATTGTAATGAACGATTAAGGACTCTTTGTATATGCCGGGTACCCTGGTAACTATTTTACACCGTTATATTGATTCAGAACAAAAAACCAGTGGAGAGTTCCTCGTATTTTTTTAGTCTGAATTTACAGTGAGATTTGGTGTTGGCAGTAAACCGTGCACGTGCAGCAATACCTGTTGCCCACTGAATACCGTGGTAGCACGAGGAGGGATGTGGCTGCCTTGGAGTAGATGGAAACAGGAACCCAGCGTTCTCTGCACTGGACTCATTACATATTCACATTCTCCAGCATGGGTGATGTTATGCAGTTAGCTTTTTAAGAATAAAAATTTGGCCGGGTGCAGTGGCTCAAGCCTGTAATCCCAGCACTTTCGGAGGCTGAGGCGGGTGGATAACCTGAGATCAGGAGTTTGAGACCAGCCTGGCTAACATGGTGAAACCCTGTTTCTACTAAAAATACAAAAAATTAGCTGGGCGTGGTGGCATGCGCCTGTAATCTCAGCTACTTGGGAGGCTGAGGCAGGAGAATCACTTGAACCCAGGAGGCAGAGGTTGCAGCGGGCCAAGATCACACCATTGCACTCTAGCTTGGGCAAAAAGAGCGAAATTCCACCTCAAAAAGAAAACAAAACAAAAAGAATAAAAATTGGAGGTAGGGTGAAGGAAAGAGCAATGAAAGAACCGCATTGCAGGAAGAACTCAGAGGAGCAGCCCCTCATGGAGTTGACTGGCACTTTGGGAATGACAGGGCTCGTCTGCACAACCTTCCAACCTAGCTCTAAGGCTCAAATGCCTGGTGTCTGCTTTCCCTATGAGAAATACCTTCCCACCTACCTTCCAGGCTGCAGAGGAGGGCAGGAAGTCTGTTCTGTGGCTTGCTAGATTCTTTTCAGTTGACGAACACCTGAGGAGGCGTAAAAAGCTGCCCAGCCTTCCTTACCCACTCTAGATTTCTGTGCTTCCTTCTGATTTTGTTTTTTGGTTTGTTATTATTGTTGTTTTTGAGATGGAGTCTCACTCTGTTGCCCAGGCTGGGGTGCAGTGGCACCATCTCGGCTCACTGCAACCTCTGCCTCCGAGGTTCAAGCGATTCTTCTGCCTCAGCCTCCTGAGTAGCTGCTATTACAGGCGCCCGCCACCATGCCCCACTAGTTTTTGTACTTTCAGTAGAGACAGGGTTTCATCATATTGACCAGGCTGGTCTCAAACTCCTGACCTCAGGTGACCCACCCACCTCCACCTCCCAGCGTGCTGGGATTACAGGCATGAACCACTGCACCCTGACTGATTTTGTTTGTTTTCTCACAGACTTCTAATTCACAGAATCTGCATCTCAAAATGGGGTGAAAACTTAAGGTCACCTTGCCCAACTAGCCCCTCTACAAAAACTTCAGTTAATTAATCAGTCTGCATGGATATTAGGTGTCAGGGTGTTTGTGGAAGTGACCTCTACAGAGTTTTGACACCACATACAAGGATCAGAACAAAATTTCAGGGTGAGACTCCAGGATCCAGGCTAGAAGTAAGGGATGGATCCCCCAAGAATGGCACCAAGGGCTGTGGCCTCAGAGCACCCCACTGGCCAACCAAAATTGCTTTAGGAGAGACGACTTGAGAGGCATTAGACAGAAGCACGCTGCAGGGAGAGGTTTGCACATGTTTGCTGTGCAGTCAACAGTGACAGTCCTGTGTGCAAATCCTGCCCCATCCAGGATTCGCTGTGAGACATGGAGGAGGCACGTAACCCCACTGAGATTGTTTCCTCATCTGCAACCTGGGCTAACAACTGTGCCTCTCTCAAGGATGCCAAAGAGTTCAATGCAATGACCATCCAATAGGCACATGCATTTTGCATATTGCATGGTTATGGCGCCTCTCTATTTAACTCATAGAGAAGGTGAGGAATTTAGATCCAGGTGATGAAGAGGGCTTTGAGAAGACAGATCTGCCTTGTTTCTCTCTTTGAGCCTCTCTTTCCTGATTTCTCAAATAAAAACTAGGAAATGTCAAGGCTGGAGATGACCTCTGAAGTTTCTTCCACCTGGAAGATCCAGCTTGAAAAGCAAAACCAGAACAAAATGAACACCCCATGCAAGTTCCTGAGAGGAGATGAAGCCAGGCAGACTTCAACAGCCTCGCTCTTGTCGCCCACACTGGAGTACAGTAGCACAGTCTTAGCTCACTGCAACCTCTGCCTCCGGGGTTCAAGTGATTCTCTTGCCTCATCAGCCTCCCGAGTAGCTGGGATTACAGGCATCCACCACCACATCTGGTTAATTTTTGCATTTTTAGTAGAGATAGGGTTTCACCATGTTGGCCAGGCTGGTCTTGAACTCCTGACTTCAAGTGATCTTCCTGCCTCAGCCACGCAAAGTGCTGGGATTGCAGGCATGAGCCATCACACCCAGCCATTATCCAACTAATCTAATGAGGGGTCTCACAGCAGAAGCATGATGAGCTAGGCCAGCCATGATGAGACCATATACAGGGTTCCAGGCAGGGGAAGAGCCAGGAGGCTGAGGTGCAGACCAGGCAAGCCCAGTCATCTGGCCAGGGAGGTCTGGGAGTCGGTGCGCTCAACATCTGTCCTACTCTCCCAGAGCTGCCATTGCACAGTTCCACAAACCAGGTAGCTTAAACCGCCTAACTCTACTCCCTCACAGTTCCAGTTCTGGAAGCCAGAGATCTGAATCAAGGGTCAGCAGGGCTGTGTTGTCTTTGAAGGCTCCAGGGGAGGGTTCCTCCTGACTCTTCGAGTTTCTGAGGCTCCCGGTTCTCCTTGGCTCATGCGCATCACTCCAAGCGCTGCCTCCGTCTTCCCGTGGCCTCTGCCCTCTGCGTCTGTGTCCAGCTTTCCCTCTTCTTATAAGGACACCAGTCTTATTGAATCAGGGTGCACCCAAGTGACCTCATCTTAACTTGATCACACCTGTGAAGGTCCTATTTCCAAACAAGGTTACATTCACAGTTAGGGGGGAGTTGGGATTTCAACGTATTTTTTTCTTTCAGAATTAAATTTTATTTCACAATGAAAGAAAACATACAAAAGGCTTAAATTTTCCCATGTTACAGTACATTTCAATGCAATAAGACGTTTTGTATTATGAATAAGATCCTGCTGATGTGAATACTGGAAACAGCAGTTTATGTTCTTCAAGGCAACAGACAAGGACTTGGTAAATGAGTCCTTAAAATGTTTAAATCCAGACATAAATGTATGGCTTCATTATTAACCATTCCTTTATCAGTGAGCACCCATTTAAGATGTATTCTTAACATTGTCCTGGTCAGTTGGAATACAGCAAAAAAAAAAAAAAAAAATAACCAGTTCAAAAATATCGAGTGTACATTTTTGCTACATATTAAACTGTGTGGTTAGTACACCTTGTATACATATAAGGCTCTAACCTTTATTACCCATAAGTTTGTTTTCAAATGTCAGCATATCTTTTGGGGAACACCATTCAACCCATGGCAGTGTGCCTCCTCAAGGAAGGATGGAGCACCTCAAGAAGTGTGATGAGCGCTTCAGCAACCAATGCGCACAGCCTGGTTGTCATGTGTTTCCTGGGTTCTGACTCCCACCTGCAGTGGAGACTTGGAGACCCGGGGACTGAGAGCAGGAGGAATTCCTGCTCCTGGAGGGTGCTCCCCTAGAACCAGAGACAGCTGGGAAGACCACTCCTCCCCATGTGGAAACTTCTCTTTGTGAAACCCCCTCCAAGCTGCCTTGCCTTTGGGCAGGAAGCCACGCCTGATTTATGGAAATTCCTGAAAATGCCTTCAGCTGGGACCTCAGTCTAGCTCTGAGCCAGGAGGCACCAGAGCTCCTCGGCAAAAAAAAACACCAAGCGGTCGAAATGTGCATTAATATGATGGGAAACCTTCTCGGAGGAAATTGGGAGAAATGTCTGTGAGTTATGAGTCATGGGAGATCATGGGAGACTACAAAACAAGGGAAACGGAATAGATACCCAAGGTATCAAAATGAAAATATGAGCAAAACGTCGAGGAATTGTCTGATTTCACTGATCGTGATGAAACCACAAAGTGGGAGCTGGGACACCTGGCCCACTGAAGTGGGAGAACTTGGGTGGACATGTCCATGTGGTATTGGGGGTGTGTGGGGTGGGGTGGGAGGAGGGGTACCCTACTTTTTGGTGATCAGGGTCTGCCGGCCTCTTCATAAAACCTGGAGCAAGTATCTGCCTCTCATCTTGCAATTCTCTTTAGAATAAGCTGTACTTGATATCTTCTTTGTCTGAAGATTTGGGGACCAGCTATCAATTTCAGGGGAACAGAAGAAGTTCTTTTTTATGATCTCTACAACTATTAAAGAATAAGCGTTAAAGTTGGTGTAATTATGATAGTCTTGCTAGTAACAAATCAAGGCTTTTAACTGTGAGTATTTCTGTTTTTAAAAGAGGTGTGCTAAATCTCCTTCCTATAGGAAAATAAAGAGAAAGAAATCAACCTTGACTCTGAGTTTATGAGAATCTGCCAAGAGAAATTTGGTTGCAAAAATGAGTGTGCACCCACTAGGATGGCTAAAATACAATTTTAAAAAGGACAATAACAAGTGTTGGTAAGGACGTGGAGAATTTAAAAGCCTCATACACTGCTGGTGGGAATGCAAAATGGAGTAGCTGCTGTGGAAAACAATCTGGTGGTCCCTCAAAAAGTTAAACATAGAATTCCCACATGACCCAGCAATTCTACTCCAAGGGACATACCCAAGAGAACTGAAAACACATGTCTACCCAAAAACCTGTACACTAATATTTATAGCAGCATGATTCCAAATTGGCAAAAAGCAGAATCAACCCAAATGCCCATCAACTGATGAATGGAAAACAAAATGCATTCCAGCCAGACAATGGAGTATTATTCAGCTATAATAATGAATGATACATGCAACTGATGCATGCAACAACACACGCCTGAACCTTGAAAACATGGCTCTCAGTAGATGTGTATTCCAGAACTGGATTATGGTTATGGTTCCACAACCTTATGAAGATTGTAGACATTGATAATGGTGGCGTGTATGGTGTGTGAATTATATCTTAATAGAATAAATGACAAAAGTCAAGGGGAAAGTGAGGGTGCAGAAGTCCTCTAGTTTACTGAAGGGGGATCGTTAACATTCTAACTGACAAAAAGAGAAACTCCTTACCCTGGAGCTCTT
This sequence comes from Homo sapiens, assembly GCF_000001405.40. Classification (NCBI taxonomy): domain Eukaryota; kingdom Metazoa; phylum Chordata; class Mammalia; order Primates; family Hominidae; genus Homo; species Homo sapiens. Next base: position 47,728,990 of record NC_000007.14, on the reverse strand, counting down.
GTGAGATGCAGTGGCAGTGGAGGCTGGGGCAACACCAACCGTTGGAAAGGAAGGGAGCCATGGGCACTCACGTACGCTGCTGATGAAAATGGGCACAACCACTTCAGAAAACCCTTGGAAAGCAACTACTAAATATGAACATTACACAAACCTGCTCCCTAGAAACTTCCTTCCTAGGAAAAGCCCAACGTCAATGCGAGCACATAGACATAAATAGACATATAGGAATGCTTACAGAGGCATCATTTGCTGTAAACCAAAACCAGGGAACGAGGAGGAAACAGCCCACAACTGTCCATGGATAACAGGATAGCTGAAGCAGGATACTCACACAACAAAACACTATGCAGAATAAAAGTGAGTGAACTAATACTACACACAACAGCAAGGAGAAATCTCTCAAACGCGAAGCCGACCCTCAATCTCTCAAACGAGAGGCCTTATCAAAGGCATACTCAGTGGATAATCCCCATTATAAAAGTTCAGAGACAAGCAAATCCATTTGTGTCACTGGAAGTCAGATAGTGGCCACCTTTGAGAAGGAGAGAATGGCTTCCGGGGTGCTGCTGACCTTGGCATTTTAATCTGAGTGATGACGCTCATACAGGTACATTTATATACAATGTGTGATAACCTTCAAAGAGTGCGCTTGTGACCAGAGACCTTTTCTGTTTATTAAAATTCAATCCTTAAGCTAGAGTTTAAACTTGAAAGCCATCAGCCCTTTGATGAAATTGCTAAAAATACAATAAAAATTTTTCAATCTGGAGTTAAAATTTGAAAACAGCATGAAGTTGTATGCAGCCTACTCTCTCAAAATTCAAAAATTTCATCCATAAAACTTTATATCGATCCCTAACTTTCAGAACTAAAGTATTTCTGGATTATAACTAGTCTGATTCTCGTCTAAACTATAACCACATTAAACAAAAAAGTATGAGTCTTTCAATTGGGCGGTCAGTTTTAGTTTAAAAATATCTTTTTAAATATGAGCACATCTGGATCTTCTAATCATAAACAACTCCTTTTTAAAATGTGTTTAAAAAGCTTTTATTCCTCAGCAAAGGAATTGGATCTCTTTGTTGACTTTAACATTTGCAGAGAAGATGTTGACCTAAAAATTCTTAATGTATCTAGATATTTAATTTTGTTTTATAACTTCATAATTCTCTTTACTGATTCTTCACTCCTCTAGCATTTAATTTTAATTTGTTCACTTGTGTTAATTATAGGTTAAGATTTGTGTGTGTAAGCTTATATAAGTGTGTTCATATTTTTGTGAGAAAGACAGTGAGAGAAGGTTTAAAAACAAAGGAGAGAGTGAAAGAATGAGAAAAATAATTGGAATGAGAGAGAGAATATATGTAGTATAATTGATGCAAAGTACTGCATCAACATACATGATTACTTCAGGGCTGTTCAGCACGATTTTTTAACCTGTTTTTTTTAAAAAAAAAGCTGGCAGGGCATGGTGGTTCACACCTGTAATCCCAGCACTTTGGGAGGCCAAGGCAGGCAGATCACTAGGTCAGGAGTTCGAGACCAGACTGGCCAAAATGGTGAAACCCTGTCTCTACTAAAAATACAAAAATTAGCCGGACATGGTAGCGGGCACTTGTAAACCCAGCTACCTGGGAGGCTGAGGCAGGAGAATTGCTTGAATCCAGGAGATGGAAGTTGCAGTGAGCTGAGATTGCACCATTGCACTCCAGCCTGAGCAACAGAGCAAGACTCCATCTCAAAAATAAAAAGAAAGAAAGAAAAGAAACAACAGGGCACTCCATCTTGTGGAAAGATGGAATAAACTCACTTTTCCCTAAGCATAACTAAAAAGCCTGGGCACTGGGTATTAAGCACAGTAAGAAGACTCTGAAGGTAGAAAGAAGGCAGACTGTATAGAGACTTTGGGCCCCCACTGAATGGCTCAATGGTGAGTTCTTTGGGGCATCTTCCCCTTGCCTCATATATATCTCAGACAGGGAGATGGAGAAGCCAATGACCTGGAGATGCCAGTGGGCACAGACAAAAAAAAAAAAAAAAGCAAGAAGAGCCAACTCTCTTATGACCCTTGTGACAAAGTGTAGTCAACCATATGCAGAAATCAGTGTCATTCATTGCAAGAAGAACAGAAAAACAAGTTCATTACTATGGTAATAATCTGGTTTCTGTGCTTAATGTCAAATAACAAGTTGCTATTGCTAGGTTGATATTGTTCTGAATATTGAGGAAATGTGAAATCTCTTTATACTTTTATAATAAGATTTCCTATTGTTAATCTATAACTAGTCCAGCAGAGCTTTAATTTCCTCCTAATAGGACATTTAAACATTTACCAGGTTATGGAGAGTTCAAAAATCAGGTTTTCAATCAGCAATTCCTAATTCAACTTCTGCTCTCTACAGGCTAACACACACTAATGAGGAACATTGCTTCTTTACAAACCAGAACAGCAACATGCAGAGTAATCAGTTTAGCCCTGCACCCTCCAGCCAGAATGCCTCCAACTGGCTCGCTACAGATGCACCTGGCTGGATGTTAAATTGTTGAAGGAAGAAGCCATTGGTTGGAAACTCTGTGTTGGCTTTATAGTGGAGCAGCAGAGTGAAAAAATTAATAAATACATAAAAACCAAAAACAGAACTGGGAAACAGTTTTGGTGCCAGCCAGTCTGGCTGAGAAGAACCAGCCTCCACTTGATCATGCCTGCTGCCATGCCTACCTTCCTTTGGTCTCTGACCTCTCCAGCAACATGCACGGAAGGGCACCTGCTCTATGGGGCATGGCATTGACCTTCTTCCTCTCACTCAATCATCCCAGCCAGCCTATAAAGTAGGTAGAGCGACAGCTTCACTTTGCAGGTGAAGAAACTGAGGCACAGACACCTTAAGTAATGTGCCATAGGACACCAGTGTTTTACTGGCACCAAAGCCTATTCTCTCAACTGCTGGGCAACACTATCTATGTTTCAACTCTTCTTTTTTTTAATTGACTCTCACATCTCTCCATGCTGACCGTTGGCCTAATCCCCATGTATAATTCAGTAAAGGTAAATGTTCTACAAGGAGCCAAACACTGTGTTTAAAATATACGCTTCCCAATTTTGTTTAATCCAAGTTTGAAATGTAGTCTTCTTAGAAGAAAGAGACTTTCATGCAATCCTCCATGAGTGTAAACTTTGTGTTCATAGCAGAACATTTGATGAGAATCAGATCAAAGGTGTTTCTGGCTGTATCCTGAGTACAGTATTCTACATACAGTATTCTGTTTTGCTGGTTGGGAGCAGATTAATCATCTAGGAGAGGTTGAGTTGACAGAAATGGACAGATCGCAGGATGGAGAGCCTGCCCTTCCCAGCTCCGCAGGCCAGGGGGAAACCCCTGACACGTGGGGGCTAGGCAGAATGACTTACTGAACAAACACACCATGAGCTGAGTGCCCAGCCAACCAGATAAAAACATCCTTCACCAGGAAATTGAGGTATCAGGCCTCAGTGGCTTTTCAGGGTGTGGATTCCTTTAAGGGCAACCTTGTTCTCAAGAGTTCATTGTTTTGGTTCCTGCTAAACTCCCTGAAGGTAGTTTGCAGATAACCCCAGAAATGGGCAGGAGGGCCTGCCAGCAGCATGGGGCAGGCTTGTTTCTTTCTGAGGAGCCCAGGCCCCATGCCCTTCAGCATCACTCAAGACCACAAGGTCCCCACTCCCTGATGGAATAGCCACCCCCACCTGGCCTGGCCAGCTCCTGGCCACTCCTTTACTGCTGTCTAAATCTCAGAGTCCATCAGTGTGGAACATGTCAGATTCAGAGTTGCTCAGATATTTCCCCAGAGCTTGTATAGCACCAGGACCACCCATTGTCTGCCCTCATCATCCCAACTTGGCAACCTACCCCGCCCTTCTTACATTTCCCTCATTGGTCCTTGCACATTTCAGCTTTGCAGCCAGGCTCAGCCATTTAACCTTATTTCTGGGAATTTCAGAGTGAGCACTGGGTAGGCCTGGAACCTAAATCCCATGGCTTCCATAGGCAAACGTGTCTCTTTTGTCTGTCACCAGATCAAAGAAAGGGGGAAAGGGAAGGGTTTGGTTGGAGGTGGGGGAACAGTATTCTTTCATTCATAGGCAGAGACTGGCTTGTGTAAAAGTTTCAGGTTACATGAAATCTAAGCAGTATTGAAAGAATCCTGATGACTTCATCTCCAAATGCCTTGAATAGCCTTCCTCAACATCCTGCTGGGGCCACCCTGGGGTCGGGGACTTGCAGGCTTTTTAAACACATGGGCTTTGCCAGCTGCACAGGGTTTAGGGGACTGTTTGCAGCTTGGATGTATGTAGCTCTTTGTCGAGGGAGGCAGACCATTTCTAACCATACCTGGCCCTGCACCCTCCCAGGCTGTTCCACCTGCTTCAGGCCCTTTCCCTGCTCCTGACTCCCAGAGCAACGTCACGCCACACCTCAGGGGCCAACTCGAAGGCCGCACACCGGGCACACACCTTCCCCAACGCTGCTGCTCTGAGCTGGCACAGGGGCGTCCCCACATCCTGCCAGTGGCCCTTTAGGCCTTGCCTTGTAGGAATTGCAGGAGGCCTCAGACAATCGCCCCAGGATGACAGAGCCCTTGAGAACAGTGTCAGCGTCAGACTTGCCCTGTATCCTCCTCATGCATGGCCAGTGGGAGACTCCAGTAGACACCGGAGGGGTGGACTCAGGAAAGCATGAACGAATGGCCGAAGGATGACAAAGTCTCACTCCTCTAGGGGTATGGCAATTTCCACACAGCTTTCACACCCAGTATGCCAGCGGTTCCCAACCATTTTGGCACCTGGAACCAGTTTCCTGGAAGATAATTCTTCCATAGACTGGCAGTGGCGGCAGGGGAGATGATTTCAGGATGAAACAGTTTCACCTCAGATTATCAGGCATTAGTTAGATTCTTAGAAGGAGCATGTAGGCCAGGCGTGGTGGCTCACGCCTGTAATCCCAGCACTTTGGGAGGCCGAGGCGGGCGGATCACGAGGTCGGGAGATCGAGACCATCCTGGCTTACACGGTGAAACCCCGTCTCTACTAAAAATACAAAAAATTAGCCAGGAGTGGTGGCGGGTTCCTGTAGTCCCAGCTACTTGGGAGGCTGAGGCAGGAGAATGGCATGAACCCGGGAGGCAGAGTTTGCAGTGAGCCAAGATAGCGCCACTGCACACTCCAGCCTGGGTGACAGAGCAAGACTCCGTCTCAAAAAAAAAAAAAAAAAAAAAAGAAGGAGCATGCAACCTAGATCCCTCATATGTGCAGTTCACAATAGGGTTGGAACTCCTATGAGAATCTAATGGTGCCGCTGATCTGATGGGAGGCGGAGCTCTGGCGGTCATGCTTGTTCGCCTGCAGTTCACCCCCTGCTGTGCGGCCCAGTTCTTAACAGGCCATGGACCGGTACCAGCCCGCAGCCCAGGGGCTGGGGACCCCTGCATGAGGCCATCTCCAGGGTCACACAGACAGTGCCATTCATACTCGCTTATGGCTCCAACCAGAACCCATGGTGCATGAGACCCATGTCATGGAGAATAATGGAGTGACTTGAAATCAGGACTTCCATCTTGTACCTGGGAGGGCACAGAGGTGACCACAGAAGTAGCAGAAGTCAAGTCCACCCCTTGGGGCAAATGCAAACCAGCCATTGGGCTAAGAAGGTAGACGGCCATGTGTAATCCCCCTGAAATGTCACCCAGTACTCATTTCCATCTATGCGCAACTTCTGTGTTCCCAGCACAGAATAAGTAAAAAGTGGGGGAAATTAAAAATTAAATGTGGAGTTAGGAGGTCTTGGCTTCTGTGTCTCCAGCCATTGAATAGGAGAGCAGTAACGGAGTAGAAGATGATGGTTTGGAGGCAGAACCCCATGGGCTGGATGGCGGCCACAGGATGGGTTTGAAGCATAACAGGAGGTAACCACATCAACTCATTCAATCCTTTGGGGTCATCTTCAGGTCCAACTGCCAGGTGCTATGGGCTGAACTGTGTCCCTCCAAAACTCATACACTGAAGTCCAACCTCCTGGGCCCTCAGATGTGGCTGTATTTGGAGATAGGGTTTCAAAGAAGTAATTAAAGTAAAATGGGATGATTAGAGTAGGCCCTCATCCAATATGACCTGTGTCCTTATAAGAAGAGGAGATTAGGACAGAGACACACAGAGGGAGGACCATGTGGGGACGCAGGGGGAGGACCGTCATCTGGAAGCCCAGGAGAGAGGCTTCAGGGGATTCCAGCCTGACAACATCTTGATCTTTGATTTCCAGCCTTTAGGGCTGTGAGAGAGAAATGTCTGTTGTTTAAGCCACCCAGTCTGTGCTATTTTATTACAGCAGCCTGAGGTAACCGAGACATGAGGGTCAACCTTATTAACGCTTTGAAACTGAGGAAACCGAGGCTGTGAAAAGACTGAACTGGGATGGTTCCCAGATGTGTCTGGCTCCTCAGCGTCTCCTCTTCCCACCACACCACAACCACGGGAAGAGGGCACAGCACCCTTTTTCCCTGTCCCAGGTAGAAAGTCCAGAAGATAGTGAGCAGGTCTTAGGCCAAGAGGAGGTACTCAGAGCCGAGCTGAAGCCCCTCGGCAGAACTGTGTGGAGCCAAAGGAGAGTGAGGACAGCATGGCCGGAGGAGCCCAGCACACAGGCCTCCAGAGGGGGACAGGCCAACGTGAGGACAGACGCTGCTCATGGAGACTGGCCCACAGCCTGGGTGAAGGGTATCAGGGGCACAGAGTGATTCACCAAGAGCTGGAGGTAACTGGAGGGGCTGGGGAAGCACAGGTTTGGGGAACCAAGTCCAGAGAAAGAGAAAAAGCGCTAGTCTCAACAGGGAGAGAAAGTGTCCCAGGTGTGTAAGGAATGTGACAGCCTCTGTCAGCGAAGTCTGGGGTTGCTGAGCACTGGACTTGTCTGATCTGACATCAGAGTCAAAGCACCAGATGTGCTCCCCAGGAGGTTCTTCCCCCGCAGAAGCACAGACTCCCTACAGACGAAGACCCCCTCGGGCTGGCCAACTTGCGGCCGAGACCTTCCCAGGAGACTCTGACCAGTGGCCAGGGAAAAGGAGAGTTGGGGAGCAAGCAGCCCCATCACAGCCTTTCTGGAAGCAGTACCCCGTGAGAAGGGGCTCGGGGGGACACCTGTCGGCCAGGTAGAGAAGCGCAACAGGGCCATCCTGTTCTGCCCCTTGCTTCCTGCCTCCATGAAGGCCCAAAAACCCATATCTGTGTGTAAATAGGTCATGGGGTGGGGGTGGAACTGCCACTTACTCAGCACTGTCCTATGCCAGGACTGAGCATTCATTCATTCATCATCTCAATCAACACTGAGAGCCTCCTCCATGCCAGTCACTGGGAATACAGTGGGAAGCAAAAACAGGGCCCTGGCCCTACTGAGTTGGGATTCAGTGCTGCACACTTTCACACGAGTCAGAGACATTTCATCCTCACATCATCTCTGTAGAGTGGGCAGCATTAACTCGAAATTAGTAAAGAGATTCAGAGCGTTGGGCACCTTATCCATAGACACAGCATGGTGCAGGCCCCGAGGGTTCTCAACTAAAGGCCGTTTTGCCCACAAAGGGACATTTGGCAATGTGGAAGACATTTTTGGTGTCATAAGTGGATGGTGCCACTGGCATCTGGTGGGTAGAGGCCAAGGATGCTGCTAAACATCCTACGATTCCCAGGACAGGCTCCGTAGCAAAGATTTCTCCAGCTCCAAAGGTCAACAGCACTGAGATGAGGAGACACAGCTGCAGACCTCACTGGAGCTCACTCACCTCCAGTTCTGCTCACGGAGGCCCAGGATCTCCACACCCCAAGACCCTCGCAGGGGGATTGGCTTGTGGCTGCTCTGGATAAAAGGCATGAGAGGAAGTGCGTGTGTCACTTCTGGGCAGAAGTGTAAACATGCGGGTGACAGACCTCCATGGACGTTCCCCCACCATGAAGGTGAAGGTCGCTTTCTCTGGAGCTGGCCAAGCTTGGAGACAGGAGCAGCCTGCAGGGCTCGATTTCTGTACAAGGGACAGCTGCCCTGTGAAGTCACGGGCCCACAGAAGATTTTGCATATGTGAGAAATAAACAAGGACAATGTGAAACCACTGAGATTTAGTAGATGTTTCGTTACCACGGCAGAGCCCAGTCTAACCTGACAAATACACACGCTGGTGAGGACTCATGCCAACATTCAAGGCCAAGCTTCAGCCTCAGCCTCCTCACCTGCCAAAGGCATGTTGTGAGGGTCCAGTGAGATAAAGCATGTGGAGCACTCAGGATGGGAAGACAAGCCTCAAAGCCCAGGCCCTGGGCATGCTGCAGGCAGGTGGCCAGTGTCCTGGCCATCATCACCATCTGCATGCGGGGGAAGAAAGAGAGTGTGAGCTCACAGACAAGAAGGAGGCCAGGTTGTGAGACGGCCAGGCTGGGCCCTGGAGGCGTGGGAAGAAAGCAGCTTCCCCAGCCCTGCGCTGGCCCTGAGCCCTGAGTGCACGTGAAGAATGAGGTCAATCAGCCAGCATCTTCATCTTCCTGCAATGCTGCATGAATGAAAGAAATGAATTTCAAATGACTTGGACCAGTATCTAATTATTATGATTTATTAACACCAAGTACATAAAGCAGCCCCTGGACATGACATTCCCCATTCCCCCCGTGAGTCTGGGAGCCTGGCGAGCCTCCTGCTGCACCCTGAGCAATTCTTTTCATTATCAGCATTATTATTATTTATAGCAGCCCAGCCACCAGGAAGCAGGGCAATCACCAATCTCCATAAAGTTCGCAGCAAGTTCAAGGATCGGCCAGGAGGCCTTGAGGGCAGCTATGAAAATCAGAAAACAGCTTGGCAGCTGGGGAAAGGGGACCCCAGTGGCCTGAACGTCTCCAGAAGTTTTGGCCTGTCTGATCTAAGAGGCTCACTGACAGAAAGGTGAGCTGGTACAACTTCTGCACCTTCTCTTTCTTAAAAAAAAAATGTGGTAAAATACACTTAACATAAAATTTACCATTTTAACCATTGTAAGCGTACAATACAGTTCAGTGATATCTAAACACATTCACGTTATTGTGCAATCATCACCACGCTTCATCTCCAGAATGTTTTCGTTGTGCAAAATTGAAAGTCTGTCCCCATTCGACACAAACTCTCCATTCTGCGTCCCTCTAGCCCCTGGCAGCCACCACGCTACTTTCTGTCTCTATGAATTTGACCACTCTACATCTGTCACATGAATTTAGCTATTCTAGGTCCCTATTCTGGGTTCCTTAAATATCATGCAGTATCTGTCCTTTTGTGCCTGGCTATTTCCTATTTCCTGTAGCAGAATGTCCTCAAAGTTCATCCGTGTCATAGCATGTGACAGAATTCCCTTTCTTTTCAAAGGTGAATAACACTCCATTGTATGCATATACTACATTTTGCTTATCTATTCATCTGCTGGAGGACATTTGGGCTGTTTCTCCTTTGGCTACTGTGGATAATGCTGCCATGAACACAGGTATGCAAGTATCTGCTTGAGTCCCTGATTTCAATTCTTTTGCATGTATATCCAGCATGGACTCACAAGATCATATGGTAATTCTAGTTTTCATATTTTGAGAAGCTTCCATACTGTTTTCCACAGTGGACACACTATTTCATGTTCCCTGCCCCCCAACACAAGGGCTCCAATCTCTCACCACTTCTACGCCTTACTATTAGGACCTTTCGGTGATCACTATGACTGCTGGAATTCGCCATTATGGAGTACTTAACAGTGTACCCAGAACTTCCACATTCTCTCCAACTCCAAAGGTTGAGGGCGATGCTAAGCTCGTAGGAGCTTTGGAATACAATCATAGTAACACTTTCTCAGATTCAAGAAGCCGCATGTGTTCTCTAAACTTCATTCTGAATGGAGGTTGGTCAACAATGCTACATGAAGACAACATGTAATGCTTAATCACAGAGGAAGATGTGCAAATGTAAATGCTGTCATACTTGTCTATATAATAAACAGAAACCATACTCTCATCAGACACATTTCTTTGCTCAGCATATTACCTTCTCCTTCTCCCTCTGGGTTGGAAGTCACTGGCAGGATTTGAAGAGACGAATCCTGAAGAGATGTAAGGTATCTTGGTTAACTGGTGGGTTTTGGAAGCAGTGCAATCCAGCCCTGTGCCCCTAGGTGAGGCACCTTTTCCCTCAGAGATGGTTCGTCATGTGTAAATTGCGGCTGGTGACAGGATTTAATAGTCACAATAGTCGTCACTTACCAGGTGCTCCCTGGGTTTCAGGCACTTATTTTTAAAATTGAGAAAATTCACGTGTAATAAAATTTACCATTGTAAAGTGTACAATTCAGTGGCTTTTTAAAGCGTGTTTATAAACCATCATCATGATTTAATTCCAGAACATTTTCATCACCCTAGAAGAAACCCTGTACCCATTAGCAGTAATCCTGCACCCAATTCATCACCTACCCCCACCTCCTGGCAATGACAAATTAACCTACTTTCTGTCATTATGAATTTTCTTATTCTGGACACTTAATATAAATTGAATCATATTAAACATGGTCTTTTGGATCTGGCTTCATTCACCTAACATAAAGTTCTCAAGGTTTACCCACCTTGCAGCACGTGTCAATACTCCATTCCTCTTTACGGCTGAATAATATTTTATTGCACCTATATGCCACATTTTGTTGATCCAGTCATCTGCTGATGGACATGTGAGCTGTTTCCACCTTTTGGCTATTATGAATAATGCTACTAAAAACTCTCATATGCAAATTATTGTGTAAACATTTTGTTTGTTTGGTTTTTGTTTTTTGGTTTTTTGAGGCAGAGTCTTGCTCTGTCACCCAGGCTGGAGTGCAGTGGCGTGATCTCGGCTCACCACAAGCTCCACCTCCCGGGTTCACACCATTCTCCTGCCTCAGCCTCCTGAGTAGCTGGGACTACAGGCGCTCGCCACCACGCCCGGCTAATTTTTTTGTATTTTTAGTAGAGACGGGGTTTCACCTTGTTAGCCAGGATGGTCTCGATCTCCTGACCCCGTGATCCGCCCGCCTCAGCCTCCCAAAGTGCTGGGATTACAGGCATGAGCCACCACGCCCGGTCTGTGTGAACATGTTTTTAATTCACTTGGGTATATAACCTAGGGGCAGAGTTGTTAGGCTGTAGGGTAATTATATGCTTAACTTCCAGACTGTTTCCACAGTGGTTATACAATTTTACATTCCCACCAGCCTTGTAGGAGTGCTCCAATTTCTCTTCTTCCTCACTGACACTTATTGTTGTCTGTCATTCTGATTACAGCCATCCTGTGAATGTGAAATGGTATTTCATTGTGGTACTGATTTAATTCTCTTAAAGACTAGGGATGTTGAGTATCTTTTCGTGTGTTTAGTGGCCATTTGTGTATCTTATTTGGAGGCATGTCTATTCAGTTTGTATATTTTTAATTAGGTTATTCGTCCTTTTATTGTTGAGTTGTATGAGTTCTTTTTATATTCTGAATACTGAAATTATCTATTATTCTTTGGTTGTTTGTGCTTTTGGTGTCATATCTGAGAAACCACTGTTAAATCCAAGGTCAGGAAGATTCAGTCCTATGTTTTGTTGTAAGAGATTTATAGCTTTAGCTCTTACGTGTAGGTCATTGATCCATTTTTGAGTAGATTTTTGTATATGGTGTGAGGTTTGAGTCTAGCTTCACTGTTTTGCATGTGGATTTCAGTTGTCCTAGAGCCATTTGTTGAGAAAAAAAGAGTTGTCTTTGTGCTCTAATTTAAAATCAACTTCCCATAGATATACAGATTTATTTCTGGCCCAGACACTGTTCTAATTGCTTTTGCCTTGTAGAGTAATTGTGATGATTAAATAAAGGGAGAGAAAATATTTTGCCCACTTCAATACTTATCCCCTACACATATGACAAACTGTGAATAGTTGCAAGGATTTTTTTCACTTTTACAAAGCTTGATATTTGTTTTGTTTTGTTTTGTTTTTGTTTTTTAATATGGAGTCTCGCCCTGTCGCCCAGGCTGGAGTGCAATGGAGCAATCTCCTCTCACTGCAATCTCCGCCTCTTGGGTTCAAGCGATTCTCCTGCCTCAGCCTCCCGAGTAGCTGGGATTACAGGTGCACGCCACCATGCCTGGCTAATTTTTGGTATCTTTAGTAGAGACCGGGTCTCACCATGTTAACCAGGCTGGTCTCAAACTCCTGACATCATGATCCACCTGCCTCAGCCTCCCAAAGTGCTGGGATTACAGGCATGAGCCACTGCACCAAACCCCGATATTTCTTACTTTCTATTTTAATTCGGAATAATATTTGGCATTCTTCCAGGATGGATTTTAATGGCTTATGTATTAGGAATCATCAATAGACAATAAATTTATTTATTAAGTGCTATTAGGTCATTAGGTTAAAAAAATAAATAGGGCCAGGAGCGGTGGCTCACGTCTGTAATCCCAGCACTTTGGGAGGCCGAGGCAGGCAGATCATCTGAGGTCAGGAGTTCAAGACCAGCCTGGCCAACATGGCGAAACCCCGGCTCTACTAAAAATACAAAAATTAGCCGGACTTCGTGTCAGGTGCCTGTAATCCCAGTTACTTATGAGGCTGAGGCAGGAGAATCGTTTGAACTCGGGAGGCAGAGGTTGCAGTGAGCCCAGATCGCACCATTGCACTCCAGCAAGAGAGAAACTCCATCTCAAAAAAATAAATAAATAAAAATTTAAAAATATATAAATAAATAGACCTTTAACAAGTTAAATGTAAATAATTTAGTCCAACTAAATTATTAATGGATAAAGATCCCATCAAAAAAGAGACGCTTTACTTTTTCCACACAGAGTAATGATTGGAATTCTCTCCCCTTTTTCGGGTTAGACATCTGAGACATGAAAATTAAAGGACAGGCCTAGATCCAGCTGGAGAGCCGGGCACCAAGTCAGAGCCCTTTGCACCAAGTCCAGGGTCCTTGTGTTTCATGCATGCAAGCCCTGCCTTCTTGTTTACAGATGGGAAGCCCAGCGAGTCCTTCTTTAGCAGGGGTGACAATGTTGTACATTAATCTGTAACACCAGGGACATTAGGCCCCCATGTATGATTGTTAGGCAGAGACAAAATAGGTGGGGTCTCCCTAACAGAGCATGCTGAGGAAAGGACTTAGGCATGGGATGAGAGGAGGTGCCAATGGTTTCTTAGTTGAACATATGATCAAGCACTTTCCAGAAGTATATGTTGACATGTAACCTGCCCTGCCCCACGCAGGGCCTTCATGGGTCAAAATGGCTACCCGCGGGTCACAACCAATGACCTCTGGTTACTTCACAATTGTCATGTGCCTACTTGGGTTGGGGTGGGGGTGTCGCACTGTGGTGGTCCACAAAAAATGAATGGAAAAGATTAGGCCTTTCTGTAGCAAAGGAAGCTTACTTTAAGTAAAGACTGAGATTGCATCTGCTGTGATCATATTGGATGTTGGTCTGCATGGCTGGAAGGAAAGAAACCTGAAAGAGAAACTATGCAAATGACAACCATCCAAGACCACAGCATCTCCCCCACAGTCAATCCTTGTGTTCAAAGGACAGTTGTGTTTTCAGCACCCAATGGAACTTCCTCAAATTGCCGAGAAAGTTTTGATGGTTATTGCTGCTGTTTTATGAGGATTTATTCAATATTTCCTACATGTGATACTTACTAATTATATATTCAATATCTCCTACAAACCATACTTACGAATTATTTCTAATTCTTGCAAGAACTCTAGAGTTTAGGTATTATTTCTCATTTTACAGTTGAGAGAACTGAGACTCAGAGAAGGCGTGCCAGTGTCACTGAGATTTTAGGAGATAGGACAGAAACAGAACCTGTCTATCAAAGCACAGATGTTTTCACCCTCCGTACTGTGGGTGCTTACCTCATATTTTGACTAAAATGTTTTATTTGGTTTATTTAGCTTCTGAAATTTGTATTCCTCACACCTGTCTTTATGTGCCTGGGGGGGAAATCTTAAGCATTGGAACCAACATCCCAGTGATCAGAGAGCAGAAAGAATTCATGGCTTCCTCCCCAGTGGCCCAGGTAGGGCTGACCCGGAACTCTGCTCAGAGCATGGATGTCTCAGTTGCTCTGTGTGCAGCTGCCTTGTGTGGAGTGAGCTGATCAGGAGGAATTTCTTCAGGGGAATATAAAACTCTTTGCAATCAGGATTTTCAGGGCTAGCTTCAGGCTCCTGACTTCTGAGTAACTAGGTCAAGGCTATTTCAAAATTAGCAGAATGGTACTCATCTTCACTATTGGTATCTAACACTGACCTAGAAATAGCAAGTGATTCAGTACGATAAGAAGATGAAAGAAAAATACTGGAAGTGAGGGGGTAAACTATTAGTTTATTACTTCCAGATAAACTAATTAAAATTATTACAAACTAATTATTTAAAACTAATTTAAAATATCTACACAAAATCTTAAGAGATGCTGGGCGCAGTGGCTCACGCCTGTAATCCCCGCATTTTGGGAGGCCTAGGCAGGTGGATCACGAGGTCAGGAGATTGAGACCATCCTGGCTAACACAGTAAAACCCTGTCTCTACTAAAAATACAAAAAAATTAGCCAAGCGTGGTGGCGGGCGCTTGTAGTCTCAGCTACTCGGGAGGCTGAGGCAGGAGCACGGCGTGAAACCGGGAGGTAGAGCTTGCAATGACCTGAGATCATGTCACTACACTCCAGCCTGGGCAACAGAGCGAGACTCCATCTCAAAAAAAAAAAAAAAAATCAAGAGAATCAAGTAAAGCTTAATTGATGAAATAAGAGAATTCAGAGTGTGGTCGGTTATAATATAAATATTTAGAAATCAAAAGCTTTTTCAATATTAGCAAGAGAATATCATTTTTAATAAGTATTCTACTCACAACAGCAAAAAAAATCTGAAATATCTAGGATTAAATTTAAGATTTACAGAAGGCTATAAAGAGAATAACTTGATGAATAGAGTGATATCATAATTCAGGATTCAAAGCTCAGTACCACAAAAGAGGCCAGGTAGTAAATATTTTTCAGCTTTAGGAGCCACATGGCCTCTGTTCCAGCTGCTCGATTCTGCTGTGATTGTGTGAAAACAAAACATAAACGAGCCACCAAACGTGGCTGTGTTTTAATAAAACTTTATTCACTAAAACAGCCGGAAGGCCAGTTTGGCCTGTGGGACATAGTTTGCCAACCCCTACTACAGGTGATTGTCTTCTTCCTCAAGCATAAAATACTACAAGGAGAATTATGCTGCTTCTAAAGTGTTCCCTCTTTTGAAATATTTCCTTAGGATAGACTCTTAGAATTTTGATTCCTGGCCAGGCGCGGTGCCTCACGCCTGTAATCTCAGCACTTTGGGAGGCCGAGGAGGGCGGATCACAAGGTCAGGAGATCGAGATCATCCTGGCTAACACGGTGAAACTCTGTCTCTACTAAAAATACAAAAAAAAAAAATTAGCCAAGCGTGGTAGCGGGTGCCTGTAGTCCCAGCTACTCAGGAGGCTGAGGCAGGAGAATGACATGAACCCAGGAGGCGGAGCTTGCAGTGAGCTGAGATCCCGCCACTGCACTCCAGCTTGGGTGACAGAGCGAGACTCCGTCTCAAAAAAAAAAAAAAGAATTTTGATTCCTGGGCCAGGGAAAATAAAATATAGTTTGGGACAGATATTGCCACATGCATTCTAAAATGCCTCCTACAAATTGCAGTGTGAGCAACTCATGAGGATAACTACTTCACACTACCACCAGTATTAGATGAGTTATTTTAAGATTGTTAAATTAATCTTTTTAAGTGTTTCAAATAGAACTTCTGTGATCGCTGTTGACGGGGAAATTTTTTCTTTCTTTTTGGATTTTTTGGAATTATCAGGTTACCTACTTTGTACCCGTACCCCTTGAAGTTGAAGTGGAAGCGTTTTTAAAATAAAACGTCCCATGGGCTATTGACAATATACGATGTATCATCTACTTTGGGGCTCCTAAACCTCAAATATTTTAGTTCTTGTGCATTTAAAGATGACCTTTTTATGTTTACTTTAAGGAATTTCCTTTGAAGGTTTTAATTTAGCCAAGATAGTTTGCAGTCAAGCTGCTATGAAGTGTAGGGACATAATTGAAGTCAGGGTTTCCCAAGCAATGTCTCCTGGCAATTTTCAAGGCACTTTATAGATATTTTAGAATACAGCTCTTTCCAGCCCTTCTCACATTCTTTCCTTAGTCCTCCATTTGGAAGGTCCTGCTCCCAGGAGAGGTCAACTTGAAGCGCCGAGAAGCAGCAGAGAGCGCGGGGGGCTGAGTATGCGCGCAGTGCTTGTCGCCTAATGCGTTTATGGCTTTTATGCTTATGAAGACAACTGTGATGCCTCAAGCTCAATTTTCAATGTAATTACCTGCATGTGATATTGACGTGAATCCCTAGGTGATAGGTTACAGATATTCCTATTTCATTTCTGACTTGTTGGTGTCAAATGAATGGACCCGTGAACGGGACTGTCATGGGAAAAAGTGACTCAAAGATAGTATTTAGCTGCCCCAAATAGCTCACTTAAAAAAAAAAAAACGCAAGCAGATTTTAAAATTTTAGGACTATTGCAGTGAAATCTTACCTGTTAAGAGCCCATGGAAAGATCACCTTCCTGAAGAGCTGATGGACTGCTGTTGTAAATGTCAGGTCGGGGTGGGGGTGGGGGTTGGGTTTTTTAACCCATTTAGATGGAAGCCCACACAAGTACACCAAGTCAAAGGCTCCTTCCTCAACGACTCTGCGCCAGTCATGATCATTGCTGAAATCTAACAAGAGCACAGCTTCTGCTGCATGTGGAATCCTCACAGAAACCTCTGAGGGAGATTGCTATTAGCATGCCCTTTTTACAGTGGGGGAAACCGAGGCACGGAAGATAGTACCAGTTACTTTCGTAAGAGGACTGCTTGGGCAATAGACCTTGCGAAGAGCCTCATTCACACCCACCATGCCGTGCAGCACCCCGCCGTCAGCCTGTGGGCTAGGATCACGGAAGGGGCTGTGAGGATGCGACAGGCTCTCACCTGCAGGGCCCAACCCTGACTCCACACTCAGTGTGATTTTCTTCATCCTCCTTCTCCTCACTTCTACACCTGTTGCTCCTGGCCTTCTTTCAGCTGGAAATTCACGCCATCCAGATTTTTAAGATTTTTTTTTTTTGTAACAGACTTTCACCCTTTCT
Organism: Homo sapiens; assembly: GCF_000001405.40. Lineage (NCBI taxonomy): Eukaryota > Metazoa > Chordata > Mammalia > Primates > Hominidae > Homo > Homo sapiens. Next base: position 47,711,728 of record NC_000007.14, on the reverse strand, counting down.
TTCTTTTTTTTTTGAGACAGAGTTTCACTCTTGTTGCCCAGACTGGAGTGCAATGGCGCAATCTCGGCTCACCACAACCTCCCCCTCTCAGATTCAAGCAATTATCCTGCCTCAGCCTCCCGAGTAGCTGGGATTACAGGCATGCGCCACCATGCCCAGTTAATTTTGTATTTTTATTAGAGACAGGGTTTCTCCATGTTGGTCAGGCTTGTCTCGAACTCCTGACCTCAGGTGATCTGCCTGCCTGGGCATCCCAAAATGCTGGGATTACAGGCGTGAGCCACTGCGCCTAGACAGGAGTTTCATTCTTTTTGCCCAAGCTGGAGTGCAACAGCATGATCTCGGCTCACCGCAACCTCCGCCTCCCGGGCTCAAGCAATTCTCCTGCCTCAGCCTCTTGAGTAGCTGGGATTACAGGCATGTACCACCACGCCCGGCTAATTTTATATTTTTAGTAGAGATGGGGTTTGTCCATGTTGGTCAGGCTGGTCTCGAATTCCTGACCTCAGGTGATCCTCCCTCCATGGCCTCCCAAAGTGCTGGGATTTAAGGGTTTTTTTTAAGAAGTGCAAGCAAATTTCCTCCTTATATAGGCCTATGGCATTCACTGAAGAGTCACAGTCAGCAGGCAACAGTCTGCAGAGGCATATGACATCTATTTTGAATGCTCAGAGAGATTTTTTATTCAGAACTTAATTTTCAACCCTGTTTTCACACAGAATAAAGTCCTGTGCTAACTGCCCTCTCGTTCACTATTTTCTCCTACTGAATTTAACCTTTTCATGGATGCCCACACTAGACGATCAGAAACTCTAGTGGCCGAGAAAGTCCAGGTATACCCCTATGTGGCCCTTGCAGCATGCGACTGCATGGGACCCAAGGATAAGTCCTTCCTCCACTCCCAGGGGACGTTCCTTGAGGTCCTCTGCCTGCTTCTCATCCTCCTGGGGTGGAGCCAGCCTATACCATTGAGACCCCCCAGACCTTCAGGTTCCAGACAGGCCCAGGCTTGCCTCCATCTGACCAGGGCCCTGCTGGAGTTCTTAGGGGCCACCCACACCTCGCCCCAGGATCTGCCCTCCGCGTTGGGGAGGGGGTTTCTCTGGAGCCTGAGCTGGGCTATGCCCAGCTTTGCTGGAGTCCCCTTGGCTCACACAGTGGCTGCTGAGCTCTGGTTTCAAGGAGTCATTTATCTCCAATCCATTCCATATTTTGGATGGAGTCCCAGCCTCTTCTCTTTGACACATTACACTGCTTACTTGGACAGTGGAGTCTGTTTTTCTTCACCTTGCCTGGAGACTGTGGGCAGGTCCAGTTCTCTGACCTCTGGCCCCTCTGCTGGTGCTGCAGGAGTTGGGAGGCTGCTCAGCCCACATGGGCCCGTCCGGGCCCCTCACCAACAGCGTGATTCAGACAGTGGCGGGCGGCGGGGTGGGGGGGTCCTCCCCCTTAACTGCAGGTAAAAGCTCCTGCGGAGATTTCTAAAAATATGGACTTATGAGCCTCACTCCCATCCTCGTTTCTGACTTGATGTCACGGGTGGAGGCTAGCAACAGTGTTGTTTACAACCTTGCAGGTCCTCTCCTATGCACTCAGTGATGGGAACCATGTCTGAGACCACAGGTGACCCCAACAGCACTGAAACCCACCCAGCCTGGGGAGCTGGGGCCCAGAAACAGGGCCGGTCCACTGGCTGGTTGCTTCCACCTCCTCATGGAGAACACATGTCCTTTCCAGATACAACCCCCAAAGCATGTATCAGCCCTACCGAAAGCCACCGTGGCTCATCTGCTATGGGGAGACTCCCGCCAATGCAGAAAGATGTGTGTCGTCAAAGCCAGGCGGTGGGCCTCGGCAGAAATCAAGAACCTGTAGCTGGAATATCGTGGTGTAATCAACTCAGCCATGTGCTGGACTCACCAGGGGTCAGCAAAGGGCTCTTCCCATGGGACTAAGGGCCTGGACTCTTTGAATCCGTGGGCCCCGCAGGAATGAGAAGGGCAGGTCCTCTGCTGTGCCCGAATCTCTCACTGTCTAGAGAGAAACAGGTCTCTGTGGGTGACTGTGTCAGCTCCTCTTCCTTCTGGCTCTGGCTGAAGGCTGCCTGGAGGGAAGGAGAAACAGGGCCTTGCAGGCCAGACTCAGGGATGCCTTCTCCCTGGGCGCAGACAGAGCGATTCCTGGGTAAAGGTGTTCATCCACCCCTCTTTCTCAAATGGCCAGGTGGAGTGGAAGATCCCTCAGAAATGGCTTGTGTGGTGGCTCCTGAGCCCAGCCTGTGCCCCACCCCCACCTCCCCCTTCCCACCAAAGCTTTGCAGGTGACATGGCTGATTCCTGCCCACCTCTATCTGCCCATGCCCCCGTCGAGGCCTGAATCATGTGCCTCTCTGAGCCCCTCCCTAGCCTTCTGCCCGTCCTCCAACAGGACTTTCCATTTCCTTTAGCTTTTCTGTGCATGATCAGTCAGCCCCAGGCATCACTCAACCGTGGAGACACTCTGGCCCTGGAACCAGCCTGTCCCTAGAAGATGGTCAGTCAGAGTTTGCTGCATTAGGAGATGAATGCAGTTGCCTGAGGTGAGGGAAAGGCAGTGGTTGGCAATAGAGGTGGAGGTGCAATATTATCACTGTGTGACTGTGGGTGACCACCCCAAATGAGCTCTTGAGTGATTCTCTGCTTCCTGTGAAACAGGGACAGATGCTGGCCCTCGGCCCCAGGGCAGCAAGGCAGGACCAGCATAGGGTGGGCCTGCCTAAGGTGTCAGGCACAGCTGCAGAAGCAACCCCACCACAGAGTCCCCAGACTAACTGCTGCCACTTTCTATAGGGAAGCTGCCAGGGCACTCCTGCATGCCAGGCTGCAATTCACAGGCCTGGTCTCTTTCGGAACTGGAAGTGGCTTTGTCTATCCTTTTAAAAGTTGAGATAGGCCAGGCGCAAGGCCTCACACCTATAATCCCAGCGCTTTGGGAGGCAGAGGAGAGAGGATCGCTTGAGTCCAGGAGTTCAAGACCAGCCCGGAAAACTTAGGAAGACCCCTGACTCTACAAAAAATTTCAAAAATTAGCCAGGTATGCGTGCCTGTAGTCCCAGCTACTCAGGAGACTGAGACGAGAGGATCACTTGAGCCCAGGAGGTCAAGGCTGCAGGGAGTCATGTTCATGCCACTGCACTCCAGCCTGGGCAACAGAGCGAGACACCCCCAACCCCATTTCATATGAATTAATTAATTAATTTAAAATTGTGGGCCAGGCGCAGTGGCTCACGCCTATAATCCCAGCACTTTGGGAGGCCGAGGTAGGCAGATCACGAGATCAAGAGATAGAGACCATCCTGGCCAACATGGTGAAACCCCGTCTGTACTAAAAACACAAAAATTAGCTGGATGTGGTGGCGCATGCCTGTTGTTCCAGCTACTCGGGAGGTTGAGGCAGGGGAATCACTTGAACCCGGGAGGCAGAGGTTGCAGTGAGCCAAGATTTCGCCACTACACTCCAGCCTGACGATAGAGTGAGACTCTATCTCAAAAAAAAAAAAAAAGAAATTGTGATAACTTTTACTTTCCTGGCTCATTTGGGGTAAATATTAAATGAAGATATTAAATTATGTAAATATTAATTAAATGTTAAAGAACAATTAAGATGATATTCATAGACCATAGGGCCACATAATGTCTCTGAAGCAGAAATAAGTAAATAAAATTCTATTTCAAAAAAATACATAACCACTGTGAAATGTTATTTGGTTGAAGGTACCTTCTCTCTACTTTTCTTTAACTTGTTTCCTTCTACTAAAAATAATCCATTTTTTGCATCTGAGTATTTTCTGCTATGATGGTTATGGATATTTCCACCTGACTACACCCGTATTGCTTTCCTGGTCTCACAGCCCTGTGCCAAAGAAAGAATATTAAGACCCGCTACAGTACATCTTTCTGTCAGCCAGTGTATTCTATAGGAAAATCTTGAGGTCAGATGTTGTCATATTTTAAACAGTGCTGATAGCCAGAGAGCTGCTCAGAATCCAGGCAAGCGACTCCAGTGTGAGTGGGACACGCGTTGCAAGGGGCAGCTGCTTCACTGCGATGGGGTCTCTTCTGCTTACTTTGCTTTGTTCTCCCTTTTGTTCTCTTTTTAAAAATCTCTTTTCATCTTTGCACTATGTGTTCCTTTGTTTCCATCACGGCTCTATCCATGGACTAAAATAAATAAATAAATAAATATATATATATATATATATATATATATTCGTTTGTTTGTTTTTCTCTTGAGATGGAGTCTCGCTCTGTCGCCCAGGCTGGAGTGCAGTGGCGCAATCTCGGCTCACTGCAAGTTCCGCCTCCTGGGTTCACGCCATTCTCCTAACTCAGCCTCCCAAGTAGCTGGGACTACAGGCGCCCGCCACCACGCCCGGCTAATTTTTTGTATTTTTAGTAGAGACAGGGTTTCACTGTGTTAGCCAGTATGGTCTCGATCTCTTGATCTCGTGATCCGCCCGCCTCGGCCTCCCAAAATGCTGGGATTACAGGCTAAAATATATATTTTTTAAAGAAACAACAGGGGGCCGGATGTAGTGGCTCATGCCTGTAATCCCAGCACTTTGGGAGCCAAGGCAGGCAGATCACCTGAGGTCGGGAGTTCAAGACCAGCCTCACCAACATGGTGAAACCCCATCTCTACTAAAAATACAAAAAATTAGCAGGGCATTTTGGTGGGCCCTTGTAGTCTCAGCTACTCCAGAGACTGAGGCAGGAGAATCACTTGAGCCCAGGAGGTGGAGGTTGCAGTGAGCCAAGATCTCGCCATTGTACTCCAGCCTGGGCAACAAGAGTGAAACTCCGTCACAAAAAAAAAAAAAAAAAAAAAATCTGTTTTTCCAAGTCTTCTCCTTCTCCTGTATCCTCCTCTCTCCTCAATCCTTTTCCCATCCCCATCCCTCCCTCTTTTCTGTGACTTTTTATGGTTTTTATTTTTTCTCCCTCTGCTTCCATCATGTACCATTGCTATCCCTAAAAATAAAACTTTGTGCCCTAAGTTTTTTTTAAACCTCGACTTCATTTTCCCCACAATTTTGAATTTTATTTATTTTATTTATTTTTGTTGTTGTTGTTGAGATGGAGTTTCGCTCTTGTTGCCCAGGCTGGATTGCAACGGCATGATCTCGGCTCGCTGCAACCGCTGCCTCCCGGGTTCAAGTGATTCTCTTGCCTCAGCTTCCCGAGTAGCTGGCATTACAGGCATGTGCCACCACATCCAGCTAATTTTGTATTTTTAGTAGAGACAGCATTTTACCATGTTGGTTAGACTGGTCTTGAACTCCTGACCTCAGGTGATCCACCCACCTCAGCCTCCCAAAGTGCTGGAATTACAGGCGTGAGCCACCGTTCCAGACCTACAGCTTTGAATTTTAAAATAAATAAACTCCCTGAGCTGTTCCCTGCAGTGGCTGTCACAGTCACGGTAGGAGCTAGAGCCGGTAAACTCTCCTCCCCTGTCAGAGGAGCACACCCCACCAGATGAGCGCACCCCACCTGCACCCAGCTCTCTATTCTGAGTTTGGAGTTGGAAGCTCCTTTTTCCCTCCCCGCAAAGGGCTTTCCCTCCTGCTCCATGTCAAGGGTGGGAGATGTCTGTGTTGAGAAGCAGCAAAGCAGCATAGCGGCTTCCAACGCCTCATGTCAAAGACCACCTGAGCTAAAGTGATAATTCATGTCTCTCATCACTTTGATCGGAGATGTGAAAAATCTCCACACTCCTATATTTTTCCAAGAGAAAAAGAAAACCCCTCTGAAAACGAAAACTGAGAAGTTTGCTGCTGGAGATGTTATGTGGGTGCATTCTATTGCTGTTTTTAGTCTGTTTCCACTCATCCCAGCTTCTGGGATGCCCCTAGGCAGGCAGCTCAGCTGACTGGACCACACCTCGGTGGGGAGAATGGAGTACCTGTGCTGCTGGGAGAAAGATCACAGAATCTAAAAGCAAAAGGCCTGCTCTGAATCTCAGGTCTGCCCTTAGTCACTCAGTGTCCTTAGACAAGCAACTTGACCTTGTTGGGCTTAGTTTCTTAAAGCAAAAAGTGAGGATAATCTCAAAATTCTGAGTGAAGATTTTATATATTTATAATCTGCATATATACATCATGAACACACATATAATGTGAGACTATATACATAATGCATAAATGCAACATTTAGTACTTACAAGAAACTCAATGAAAAATAACAATTACAACTTTATAAAGACAAAAATTTTTTGAAAATGATGAATTCTCACTGTAGAATGATTTGTGCAGTTAGGATTTATGCAGTTAATTTCCTATGACTATATCTTTTAAAAGCTCTAATTAAGACATGATACAATTCTGAGGTTAGCCCCAATCCCTCCCCACTATAAGTTGGTGAAATCCTTAGCTAGTTTCAATAGCAGAGACACTTTTCTTTTAGCACTTGGTTATGCTTCTGTCTATATGTTCTTCCACATACTGCATCTGTTTTAGTAGAAATTAATACTACCCTTTACATGAATTCTGTGTTAATTACAGTAAATTCTTGGTTTCAATCTTCAATTGCTCAATGCTCAGACATCACTATGTTTTCACTGAAAATATTACGTTGGTGCAAAAGTAATTACGTTTTTTGCATTGTTGGAATTTGCCATTTGATATTGGAATGCATTCTTAAATAAATGTGGTTATGTCATATATCATTTTAATGGGCATTTCTCACTTTATGTTCTTTTGCTGATGACTTATTACTTGCTGTTTATTTTATGTTTATTTTAGACTATGAAAATGATGTTAGACCAAAAGCAAAGTCAAGCAATTTTCTTATTTGAGTTCAAAATGGGTCATAAAGCAGAGGAGACAACTTGCAATATCAACCATGCATTTGGCTCAGGAGCTGCTAATGAAAGTACAATGCAGTGGTGGTTGAAGTTTTGCAAAGGAGACAAGAGCCTTGAAGATGAGGAGCATAGTGGTCGGCCTTCGGAAGTTGACAACGACCAATTGAGAACAGTCATGATAGTTGATCCTCTTACAACTACATGAGAAGTTGCAGAAGAACTCAACGTTGACCATTCTATGGTCTTTCAGCATTTGAAGCAAATTGGAAAGGTGGAAAGGCTCAATAAGTGGGTGTCTCATGAGCTCACCAAAAATCGAAATAATCATCATTTTGAAATGTCATCTCCTCTTATTCTACACAACAAGGAAGCGTTTCTCGATCCGATTGTGATGTGCAATGAAAAGTTTATTTTACAGGACAACCGGCGATGACCAGTTCAGTGGTTGGACTGAGAAGAAGCTCCAAAGCACTTCCCAAAGCCAAACTTGCACCAAATAAAGGTCATGGTCACTGTTTGGTGGTCTGCTGCCGGTCTGATCCATTACAGCTTTCTGAATCCCAGCAAAACCATTACATCTGAGAATATGCTCAGCAAATCAATGTGATGCACTGAAAACTGCAATGCCTGCAGCCAGCATTGGTCAACAGAAAGGGCCCAATTCTTCTCCACGACAATGCCGACTGCATGTCACACAACCAATGTTTCAAAAGTCGAATGAATTGTGCTACAAAGTTTTGCCTCATCCACCATATTCACCTGACCTCTCACCAACTGGCTACCCCTTCTTCAAGCATCTCGACAACTTTTTGTAGGGAAAACCCTTCTGCAACCAGCAGGATGCAGAAAATGCTTTCCAAGAGTTTGTCTAATCCCAAAGCATGTATTTTTATCCTACAGGAATAAACAAACTTATATGTCCTTGGCAAAAATGTGCTGATTGTAATGGTTCTTACTTTGATTAATAAAGATGTGTTTGAGCCTGGTTATAATGACTTGAAATTCCCGATCTGAAACTGCAATTCTTTTTGCACCAACCTAGCTCTAGCCATCATTGTTCCTAAATTGCCATTGCACAGAACCAAGCAATACTTGAACTGAGGGATATGACTCCTTCTTACCTGTGTACCCTACATATATCATGCAGGCACTGCTGAAAGCCATCCAGGGACTGGCTCCTCCCTTAAGATGTTTGCAGCAGGAGGGCATGCATACATAGCCTGGTTTTGCCAGGAAGAATAATCTCCTAATTCATTGCCATCTGAAAGCAATCTTTTTATTTATTTGAAGATATACCCTTTATGCTTTCTTCTGGGATTCCTTTATCAAGCATTTTCTTGGCTCAATGAAATTCCTTGTTATGTCATTTTTAAAATTAACAACCTGAGAACAAAAAAAAGAACCTGGAAGTTAAAAAGATGATAGTTAACTAAAAAATTAAACAGAATGATGAAAGATGGAAGAAGGTGGGGGAAAAAAAGGAAATTAGAAGGGGGGAAAATGACCCACCCAAAATTAAAGGGTTATTATGGGAGATATCACATTCAACCAGTTGAAGTTCCAGAAAGAAATAAATGGAGAAAATGAGAGGTGAGGTCTTGGAGAGAGGCTGAAGAAGAAAATGTCAGAGAAATACTGCCAAAAAAAAAAAAAAATTCCAGGAACTAGAGAACATGCCATACCAGATATACAAGGCCCATCAACACCACACAAATTGTACGTCTTTTAACATTTCAGAATACTATGGAAAAGAGAGGTCCTTAAGAAGTCTGAAGACAGGAAAAGAAACAGGTCCCATGAGAAAGATCAGGAAACAAAAAAACTCCAACTTTTCAAAGGCAACACTGGAAGACAGAAGACAACGGAACAATGCCTTCAAAAGTCTGAGGAAACATCATGTTTCTTAGAGTTCTCTACTCAGCCAAATCATCTGTCAAGAATAAGAGTACAATAAAAAAGTATTTTCTTTTTTTTGAGACAGTGTGCCTCCGAGGTTCAAGTGATTCTTGTGCCTTAGCCTCCCAAGTAGCTGGGACTACAGGCACGTCCCACCACACCCAGGTAATTTTTGTATTTTTAGTAGAAACAGGGCTTCGCCATGTTGGCCAGGCTGGTCTCAAACTCCTGGCCTCAAGTGATCTGCCCACCTCAGCCACCCAACGTGCTGGGATTACAGGTGTGAGCCACCATGCTCAGCCTAAAAAGGCATTTTGAAACATGTGAGGACTCAAAAATCTTACCTCTCTGGTGTCCTTTCCTTTTCCTAGAATATACTATAAAATATGCTTCATCAAAAAAAGGAATAAATTAATAAAGAGGCAGACATAGAATCAGCAATGTGCTGATAGAACAGATCCTCACCACCCTCCCAAAAAAGGCTTGATTTCTGGCATTTGGCAGTTTGGGTGGTATACATACTCCCACCGTGGCTGCCAATGATTGTGGTTTGCAAAACTCCCAAATATTTAGCAATCAATTTTAGAAAGTTAATATAATATGAGGAGGCCCCAGCACAGCATTGGATCCAGGAAATAAGGCCTGATCCAAGCCTGATACACAGCTGTCACTCAGGATATTCCAGCCTGAGAATATCCTGAATGACAGCTGTGCAGCAGGCCTGGGGTGAGCCAGTGCAGGCTGGAGCAGGCAGACATGCATATTCAAGATGGGTTTGCAAGAGAAATATGAAGTAGGCTATCAGATTGAGCATACTGAAGAAATGAGCTTGAATAAAAAGGAAATCTAAGCAATGAAAAAAGCAGTCATTAATAATTTCAGGAAAAAAGTTTGAAGTGAAAAAGAAAATGTAAACATGGAACAGACACCTCTTAGCCCAAGAGTGGACAATATTTACACAAGTGCAATGATATTAAGGTCAACCAATGATTTAAGTTAACTTTAGGACCCAAACCCACTGTTGGGAGAGTGTGGCAGAGGCACTGCATGTACCCTTTCTTACCAGGTAAGAAAGCTAAGTCTCACTTGTCATAACAGGAAGTTAAATTATTGTCTAAAATTAATAAATCCACAAGTATCTATATAAGAAATGTTTTTTGGAAATATGGAAATACATGTCAAAAATAACTTAGAAGAATAGAGATTTCCTCTGGGGCATGAGAAAGTAAAATAGGGGGTGTGGAGTAAGAGACCACTATGTATCATCATAAGATTATTAGTGGTGCTTAATTTTTTGTTAAGTATGGGTTTGTATCACCTTGATAAAAATTCAAATGTATATTTTAAATGCTCACATACAGATTCTCTTTTCTCATATTCTACCAGTGGCTGAAAACGTGCAACAAATTTGCATATTCTGGACCTCATCTGTCATATATTTTGACCATTCTCCCTTCTTTCCTCCCTCCTTCCTTTTCTTCTTTCCTTCCTTCCTTCCTTCCTCTCTTTCTTTTTAATCCTGGGATTCTGAATGCCCTTCTTCACAGTGTGGAGGGAAAGGGTATAGAGAAGAGAGGAAACACATGCCAGCCCTCTAAACTTTTCTAATCTCTTTTTCATTCAATAGCTAAGAATCCATTTTTCCCTCTTAAGGCCCATTGACTTCATGTTTCTATTCATATGTGTTCACGGCTTTCTCATCCAGTGTTTTGTTTTACCTAGGGTAAAACTGCTTATTTATAATCTTTCCCTCTGTGCCTTTTTCCTGTCTTCAAGTTCTTCCAGTTGTGGAGCCCACTCTCTATGCTGTGCTCCTGGAGACCATCCTTCAAGAGCTCTTGACCCCGTCTGGTCTCTGATATCCTGGAGCCAGTCCCCTCCTCTTCCATTTTGGAATTCATCTTCAGAGACTTCCTGCAAAAACATCTGTGGGTTCTTAAAAGTCTAAAAGAATTTGTTCTGCCACCATACTTGATAGTTTCTCTAATGTATAGATATTCCCTCAGACCTTTTTTTTTTTTTTTGAGACGGAGTCTCCCTCTGTCGCCCAGGCTGGAGTGCAGTGGCACAATCTCGGCTCACCTGCCTCAGCCTCCTGAGTAGCTGGGATTACAGGCATGCGCCACCACGCCCAGCTAATTTTTTTTGTATTTTGTTTGCATTTTTTTTAGTGGAGATAGGGTTTCAACATATTGGTCAGGCTTGTCTTGAACTCCTGACCTTGTGATTCTCCCTTCTCGGCCTCCCAAAGTGCTGGGATTACACGCATGAGCCACCATGCCTGGCCCCCTCAGAACTTTTAAAGCTTTGTTCTTTGCCTTCTAACATTTACAGTTAATAATGGAAAGTCTGGTGCCAGTAATAGTCTTATTATTTATGAGTGACTTTTTTTGTTCCTGGGAGATTTTACCACCTTTTCTTCATTCCTAGTGTTCTGAAATTTCACCCTACAGTGTTAATGTGCTGACTAAATAAGTTAAAATGTGGGAAGTACCTGAAACAGTGACTGGATTGTAGTAAGTGCTCAATAAATAGATGTTATACTTATTGTTCCTGGTGGTAAGCATGGTGGTGACAGTGGTGATGGAGGCGGTGGTTATAATGCTAATGATGGTGGTGGAGAGGATGGTGGCAATGGTGGCAGTGGTGATATTGGTAGTGTTGGTGGTGGTGGTGCTGTACTGATGATGGTGGTGATAATGGTGATGATTGTAGTGGTGATAGTGGTGGTGGTGATAGTAGTGATTATGGTGATGGTGGTTGTAGTGATAATGGTAATGGTAGTAATGGTGGTAGTGATAATGGAGGTGGTGGTGCTGATAGTGAAGGCAAAGGTGATTATGATGGAGGAGACACTAATTGTGGTGGTGGTGGTGGTATTGGCAGTGGTGATAATGGTGGTATTGGTGGTGGTGATGATGTTAGTAGTGACAACAGTGATGGTGGTGATGGTAGTGATGGTGGTGATGGTGATGGTGAAGGTGATGGTGGTTATGATGGCGGAGATGGTGATGGTAGTGATGGTAGTAATAACAGTTACATTGGTGGTGGTGATGGTTATTGTGGTTGGGGTTGTAGGGGTGGTACTACTGGTGATGGTGATAGTGGTGGTAGTAATGGTGATGATGATATTGGCGATTGTGGTGATAACGGTAGTTATGATCATTGTGGTGATGGTGGTGATGGTGATGGAGGTAGTAATTGTGATGGTGGTGGTTTTGGTGGTGGTGGTGGTGGTGATGATAGAAGTGGTAGTGCTGATAGTGGTAGTGGTGACGGTGGCGATGGTAGTGATAGTGGTGATGGTGATGGTGATAGTGGAGGCAATGGTGGTTAGATGATAGAGATGGTGATTGTGGTGGTGGTGGCAGTGGTGATGATCATGGTATTGGTGTTGTTGGTGACAATAGTGATGATAGTCGTGGTGGTAAAAATCCTGGTGGTATTGGGGGTGTGGTGCTGATGGTGATGATGGTGGTGGCGGTGGTGGTAATGGTGGTGATGGCATTGGTGATTGTGATGATGATACAAGTCATGATGATTGTGGTAATGGCAGTGGTGGTAGTTATGGTGGTGGTGGTAACAGTGGTGATGGCATTGGTGATTGTGGTAATGATGCAAGTAATGACGGTTATGGTGACGGTGGTGGTAGTGAGGGTGATGGTGGTGATGGTGTGTTTTTGGTGGTGGTGGTGGTGACTTTTTATTATTTTTGGAAGTGAAATTTTCATTCATACTATTTGACAATGAATGCTCATGTCTCTGTCAAAATGGAAATTTTCTTTTACAATCCATTTAACAATTACACATTGGCTCTTTCTTTTTTATTTTTAGAAATCCTGTCAATCAGCTAATACAGTCCTGGGCTAATCCTTAGTGTTTTTTAATATTTCTTATTCATATTTTTAATTAAGTTTTTGTTCTACGTTCCAAATATTCTTTGACTTTATCTGTTAACATTTGTATTAAATTTTATTCTTTTGACAATCAGACACATAATTAATTTCCAAGAGGCTTTTTTATTCTCTGATTGTTACTTTACGGTAGCATCCTTTCCTTACTGTATGGATGCAGTTCTGGGTGGACCATACTTAAACTTTATGGTAGTTGTTGGTAATTCTTTCCTATTCTTCTGAATTACCTTGGCTCATTTTGTCTGTCCAATTTATATTGCAGATTTTTCTCAAGGGTCTGGTGATGCTCAGTAACTGTTTACATCTAAGAACCAGACAGTCAGAAACTCTGTAGGTGGGCTGTACTTGTCAATTGGCAACGTCCATTTTAGGTTAAGTGGGCTAGCAGTGATTGAATTCAAGGGAGTCAGTCAAAGCTAAAATGAACAGGGCTTGCTCTAGAGTGTCAGCCTCAATAGCAGCTGCTCAGACTTTGCACAGAGGATTAGTTCAGTTTACTTCAAGAAGGACCTTTTGAATTGCCAATGCCTAGGGAATGCATGCTTGGTGGAAAAAGGGGCAGGGTCAACCCTCTGCCCACAAGCTCCTCAATCCTTTCCCTGCTTGAGCTGTGTGCCCTTCTGTCTTCCCACTCTTCTGTTCCTCCAGGGCTCTGCTAGCCAGGTCAACACCTCCACCTCCCAGGTCCCAGCCTGCCCTGGGCACATCCTGGGCTTGTTTCCTCCACCACACTGCACCAGGCAGCACCCTTCCAGTTGTTTTCCATTTTTCAGAAGTGTATTGGAGTTTCATGGCTGATAATAACCCAGCCCTCTCTGTTCTCCTCATATCCTTACCTCCACCTTAAAGAGATTTGGGATGGGTAGTGGTGGATGTGGGTGTTCAGTCCATCATCCTGAGTCAGATCCATCAAAGAGACATCATAAAGGCATTTTGGACTGACAGGAAACACCACCTAAAAATATTCACCTCTGAATGTTGGCTCAATACCTGTGGTCCATGGTGATTTGAGTGGCTAATCTAAGACCCTGCCTTATCTCTGTGCATGGACTCTGTTCATGGACTGCCTGATCTGCTTTCCCTGGCACTCAGGAGGTGATCATTCAACACATATGCCAGAGAGAAAGAAGCAAATCATTCACTGGCCCTTAAAAATGGAAGTGACCCACATTGTTTCTGCTACCTTTTAATGGGCAAAGCAATTCATGCAGCAACATCCAACCTCAAATGGTTTGGGAGAAGTGCCACCTCCCTGGCACCTGGAAGGAGGAAAGCTGGTAAATGCCCATTCTCTTCAGCCAGGTCACTGTCAAGTGATGCAACCTGATATGGTTTGGATGTTTTTCCCTCCAACTTTCATGTTGAAATGTGATCCCCAATGTTGAACGTGGGGCCTGGTGGGAAGCATTTTGGTCATGGGGGCGGATCCCTCATTAATGGCTTGGTGCCCTCCCCATGGTAATAAGTGAGTTCTTGCTCTGTGAGTTCACATAAGAGCTGATGGTTTAAAAGAGCCTGGTGGCCGGGCGCCATGGCTCACGCCTGTAATCCCAGCACTTTGGGAGGCTGAGGGGGGGCTGATCATGAGGTCAGGAGTTCAAGACCAGCCTTACCAATATGGTGAAACCCCATCTCTACTAAAAATACAAAAATTAGCCAGGCGTGGTGGCATGCGTGTAGTCCCAGCTACTCCAGAGGCTGAGGCAGGAGAATCGCTTGAACCCGGGAGGCAGAGGTTGTAAAGAGCCAAGATCACACCTCTCCACTCCAGCCTGGGTGACAGAGCTAGACTCCATCTCAAAAAAAAAATAAAAGAGGCTGGCATCCTTCTTGCTCCCTGTGTCACCATGTAATGCACTGGCTCCCCTCACTTTCCACCATGACTTTGAGCTTCCTGAGGCCCTCCCCAAAAGCAGATGCCAGCACCATGCTTCCTGTACAGTCTGCAGAATGATAAGCCAAAATAAACCTCTTTTCTTTATGAATTACTCGGTCTCAGGTATTCCTTTATAGCAAGGCAAATGGACTAACACATAGCCTGACTCCATAGCTGACCAGAGAAACTCACGTCTTCACCCCTCCATCAGTGGGAATGTGGCATCTTCCTGCTGTGACCCACTCTTCAGGGCACCAGCCAGCTTCTCACCTTTAGATGTTTTCCAGTGGAAATCAGGTATGAGAACTTGATGGCTCTGAATGCCTGGGTGACATGTGCAGCTCTCCCAGTGACTCTCCAAAACCCCTGCTTACTCAACTGGCAGCTTGAGACTGTGAAGAAGTACCTGATCACTTCCCTACAGAGGGACCCAGAATGCACAGTACACCAACATTCTCCCCAAAAAAGGTCTCCACCAATATCTTCTGCATTCCTTATATATCCTGGAGGAGGATAAAGAGTTAAGAGTCTCCAAACAGGTTTCACAATACATAGTCTTTTACCTACCGCTTTGAGCCTTTGGGTATTTCTGGATGTCAAGGCAACAGAAAAGGTTTTATTTAATGTCCTGTTATACTTAGAATCTCAGGGAGAAGGGATCGGAATCTCCAACTCCTCTCTTCCAGGAGGTTTCTATTAGGTTGGTGCAAAAGTAATTGTGGTTTTGCATAACTTTTAACGGCAAAAATGCAATTACTTTTGTGCCAACATAATAGAATTTTAATACTTTTAAATCTTTGAATACTATCATCTCCTTCACCAAGCAAATTCCAGACTTAACATAGTAGTTCTCTTGCCTAAGTAACATACATACATATACATACAGACATAAATTTTAAAATCTCATCTCGTCAGATAGCTGACCCACCTCATGAATATTAAGAACATTGCTCTCGTGGTCATTTTTTTTTTTTTTGAGACAAGAGTTTCGCTCTGTTGCCCAGGCTAGAGTGCAGTGGCAGTGATCTCGGCTTACTGCAAGCTCCACCTCCTGGGTTCACGCCATTCTCCTGCCTCAGCCTCCCGAGTAGCTGGGACTACAGGTGCCCGTCACCACGCCCGGCTAATTTTTTGTATTTTTAGTAGAGACAGGGTTTCACCTTGTTAGCCAGGATGATCTCGATCTCCTGACCTCATGATCCACCCGCCTCGGCCTCCCAAAGTGCTGGGATTACAGGCGTGAGCCACTGCGCCCGGCCTCTGGTGGTCATTTTTGAAGCTGCATTGGCAGAAGACAATCTGGATGCAAACGGTCCGAAAAGGAAGATTGAAATGATTCTGGTCAGGGCCGAGCCTGCGCAGTGGCTCATACCTGTAATCCCAGCACTTTGGGAGGCTAAGGCAGGCGGATCACCTGAGGTCAGGAGTTGGAGACCAGCCTGGCCAACATGGTGAAACCACGTCTCTACTAAAAATACAAAAAAAAAAAATAGCTAGACTTGGTGGCGGGCACCTGTAATCCCAGCTACTCAGGACTCTGAGGCAGGAGAATTGCTTGAACCTGGGAGGAGGGGGCTGCAGTGAGCCGAGGTCGTTACACTGTACTCCAGCCTGGATGACAGAGCGAGACTCTCCATCTCAAAACAAACAAACAAACACAAACAAAAATATATATATATATATACACACACACATATATACATATATATGTGTATATATATATGTGTATATATATATCCCGGTCAGAGAATATGAGGGTCTGAGCTGTGTAAGAGAAGTGAAAGCAATAGAGAAGCTCTGGAGAAAAGGCAGGATGGCCAAGATTTATTGGTCCTTCTCATGTTATGTGAAAATTGCAACTTTGTAAAAATGCATGGGTAAAAGCTAGAAGTTAATAATCAAACTGAGAAAACCCATTATGTTGAACATTGACATCATTCTTTTTTTTTTTTTTTTTTTTTTGAGATGGAGTCTCGCTCTGTCGCCCAGGCTGGAGTGCAGTGGCGGGATCTCGGCTCACTGCAAGCTCCGCCTCCCGGGTTCACGCCATTCTCCTGCCTCAGCCTCCCAAGTAGCTGGGACTACAGGCGCCCGCCACTACGCCCGGCTAATTTTTTGTATTTTTAGTAGAGACGAGGTTTCACCGTTTTAGCCGGGATGGTCTCGATCTCCTGACCTCGTGATCCGCCCGCCTCGGCCTCCCAAAGTGCTGGGATTACAGGCGTGAGCCACCGCGCCCGGCCACATTGACATCATTCTAAGTACCCCACATACATCCAAAAGTCTTACAGGTTGTTGGAGAACAAGCAGGGAAAAGTGTTTTTTAGGGGTTAAAGAAAAGAATCTATTTAAAGTAAGCAAAAGGGGTTCCTAGTCTCAGACAGCAGAGCCAAGCAGTTTACGATTCTTGACTAATGTATCTGGTTCTGAGTTTTCTGGCATTTAACGGTAAAGGAGACCTCAGATTACACTAATTTAAATTTTTGACAACAGAAAACAGATGCCTCCAATTGCAGAGACTAAATATTTCCTGAAGTGGAACATACACAGGAATTTATTGCATGGCTCCTTATGGTAGACAATAAATTCCATCATGACTTTTATGAAATATTATTAAACTTCTTAGCACAAAACTCCATATGTGCAGAGGATGTGCCAGTGAATTCAACTCAGTGGTTGTCCTTAGAGAGACTCGCTATCTGACGTCTGACATGTGGGATAAATCTTAGAGAGCCCATGGAGGGAGAGGCAACATTCTCACTAACCGGGGGCGCTCAGATTCAGCACCAGAGTCCAGCTCAGACTCAGACAGGAAAGGTTGAAGTCTGTGGAAAGGGCTTTCTTTATTCATCACATTAAGAAGTTTGGACCTTTCCTAGATGAGTTAGAGAGCCATTGAACCGTTTTATTTATTTATTTATTTATTTATTTATTTATTTATTTATTTATTGAGACAGAGTCTCACTCTGTTGCACAGGCTGGAGTGCAGTGGCACGATCTCAGCTCACTGCAACCTCCGTCTCCCGGGTTCAAGTGATTCTTCTGCCTTAACCTCCCAAGTAGGTAATTTTTGTATTTTTAGTAGAAACGGGGTTTTGCCATGTTGGCTAGGCTGGTCTCGAACTCCTGACCTCAGGTGATCTGGGTGATCTGCCCGCCTCAGCCTCCTAAAGTGCTGGAATTACAGGTGTGAGCCATCACCCCCAACCCATCGAAACATTTTAATTAAAGAAAAGATAAGATCAGAAATGTTAGGCCAGGCGCGATGGCTCACGCCTGTAATCCCAGCACTTTGGGAGGCCAAGGTGGTCAGATCACCTGAGGCCAGGAGTTCGAGACCAGCCTGGCCAACATGGCTAAATCTCATCTCTACTAAAAATACACCATGCCAGGCATGGTGGCAGGCGCCTGTAATCCCAGCTCCTTGGGAGGCTGAGGCAGGAAAATTGCTTGAACCCGGGAGGTGGAGGTTGCGGTGAGCTGAGATTTTGCCACTGTACTCCGGCCTGGGTGACAGAGCGAGACTCTATGTCAGAAAATAAATAAATAAATAAATAAATAAAGTAGTGTTGTAGAAGGATCTCTGGTTGTATTGCAGCTATTAACTGGGGAGAGAAGGAGAACTCTAGAGGGAGAAAAACCAGTTAAGCAGCTAGTTTTAAAGATGAAATAAGCGATAGTGGGAATAGTCTGAACTAAAGCCCAGGGCTGATAAAGAAAACTGGAAGGATTTGAATGGAATTCAAGAAATTAAGTCAACAGAAGAGAAAGTAGTGACTAATTGAATGAGTCGACAATGGAGTCCAAATAGACAAAGATAACTAAGTATTCTAGTCTAGGTGACTGGGTGAAGTGTGCATCCTACAATTGACACAGAGTGAATGCATGGATATGGAGTTACCCAGCAAGGGTTACTTCATCCAGTGAAGTAATGGCGAAACATGGAGATGCTCAGCATAGGAGCCTAAGGTTACGGAAAGAGACTGGGCTGGAAATAAACTGCAGTGCATTCATCGTTCGTAGGGGATGGTTGCCACCTTGAGAGCTGAGGCCATCCTGGGCCTGTGTGAAGAATGAGAATAGCTGGGAGGCAGGAGGGGGAATCAGCCCAGGACTAAGGGTGCTGGAGTAAAAGCCCAGAGAGGAGCTACCAGACAAGCAGGCAACGTCCCAGGTGAGGCTGAGGTCCCCAACATCACGAAGACTACAGTGTCAGGAAGAGGTAAAGACATTCCCAACGCCTTAAATGAGGACTGAAAAGTTGGTAGTGTGTCCTTCTAAGGACAGATACCCAGTGGGTTTCCAGATCTAGACAGTGGAAGAGATTTGGTACTGTGCCTCAGAGAATCGGGCTTTTGGGCCTTCCACTGGACTGTCTCTTCCCCATTCACATCTTCCAGAACTTTATCACCTTACACATAGCTCTCCCCAACTTCTATCTTTCCCTCCTGCCAAGATTTAATCTTTCCACTTTCTTTTTTCTTTTTTTTTTTTTTGAGACGGAGTCTTGCTCTGTCACCCAGGCTGGAGTGCAGTGGCACAATCTCGGCTCACTGCAAGCTCCACCTCCCGGGTTCACGCCATTCTCCTGCCTCAGCCTCCCGAGTAGCTGGGACTACAGGCGCCTGCCACCACGCCCGGCTAATTTTTTGTATTTTTTAGTAGAGACAGGGTTTCACCGTGTTAACCAGGATGGTCTCGATCTCCTGACCCCATGATCCACCCACCTCAGCCTCCCAAAGTGCTGGGATTACAGGCGTGAGCCAATGCACCCGGCCAGTCTTTCCACTTTCCAAATAATAATTCTACAGTCAGGGAAAGAACAGTTAAGATGAGAAACAGAAAGTTATTTTAATTCATTAGTTCTTTGAAATGGCTCATTAAAAATATTCCAGTGACTTTATGTTTAAATGATTTCATTAAAAAAGAAACTATGAGATGTTAAAGTCTTCAAAATTTGAAAGAAAGGGGAAAATCATATTTTTAGACTCAAGGACAAAATGTTCCTTGTCTACTTCTACTTAGCTTTCTGTAATGAAAGATGTTAAAAATATCCAAAGACAAATAACTGCAAAAGAGCACTCCTTCCAGTAACCTTCACCCTGATGCTTTTTTTAATAAGGACCAGCATTGTGGATTTTCTAAAAGTCATAAATTACTTTGATATTTTTTAGTAATACAGTAACCATATGTTTAATATGAGCAAACCATGACTAAAAATTATGTGTTGCTCTTGGAAAAGTTAAATTTTCTACTTGTGTCTAATATAAGCCAGCGCATCTTTTTAAATATAAGATCAAAAAAGGTCATATTTAATGGTCAAAAACTACACATCAAAGATACAGGTTAAAAAAATCATATCCTTTGTCTTAAAAATATTCCACACTTGGTGGGGCGCCGTGGCTGACGCCTGTAATTCCAGCACTTTGGGAGGCTGAGGCGGGCGGATCATGAGGTCAGGAGATCGATACCATCCTGGCTAACACAGTGAAACCCCATCTCTACTGAAAATACAAAAAATTAGCTGGGCATGGTGGCAGGTGCCTGTAGTCCCAGCTACTCGGGAGGCTGAGGCAGGAAAATGGCAGGAACCCGGGAAGCGGAGCTTGCAGTGAGCCGAGATCGCACCACTTCTGCACTCCAGCCTGGGTGACAGAATGAGACTCTGTCAAAAAAAAAAAAAAGTCCACACTTAACAGCTCTGTATAATCTACATTTGATTCAAAGAAAGCCAGTGAATCATCAAGCATTTTCTGGTGGTGCATAGAAAGCAAAGGCCTGCTGTGTCCATCTGGCCTGCAGGCCCAAGTCTGCTTCGGAAACCTCACAAAAGGGGGCTGCAGTCCTGGCCATCCTGAATTCCAGGGTGTCGTGATCCTGGAACATTCACACATTTTAAAAGTCACTCTCTCCAGATGGGTCACTGTAAGAAACGATGGATGACTCATGAGTTATTTGGTAGCACACATTTTAAAAATATTTTTCAAGGCAAAGTAACAGAGAGAGAAGTTAACAGTTTTCTTAAATGAAAATAAGATTTTAAATAGATTACACAATCCTCTAGATTAGAGTAGTTTGAAGCACATGAATGGCAAGGTGAATGCCCTTAGCTAACATTAAATCAGGCAACTCTGATAAGCAGCCCTTTCAGCAGTGTTCTACAGTTATTATTTAAGACAAGGAAATAAACATTTGTTAAAATGTTTATGATGTACCAGAAATCTGTCTGATTGCTTATTTAATTCTTATGACAACTCTATGAGGCAGGAATTATTATTATTTATTTTTATTTTTATTTTTATTTTTTTAAGATGGAGTTTCACTCTCTCTCCCAGGCTGGAGCGCAGTAGCATGATCTCGGCTCACTGCAACCTCTGCCACCTGGGTTCAAGCGATTCTCCTGCCTCAGCCTCCCAAGTAGCTGGGTTTACAGGCGTGCACCACCGTGCCTGGCTAATTTTTTGTTTTTTTAGTAGAGATGGGGTTTCACCACGTCGGTCAGGCTGGTTTCGAACTCCCAACCTCAGGTGATCCACCCACTTCGGCCTCCCAAAATGCTGGGATTATGGGCATGTGCCACCACGCCCGGCCCAAGGATTATTATCTTTATTTTACAAATGAAAAACAAGATGCAGAGTCAAAGTAGGCTGTCTATACTCACTAAAATACTTTAGCTACCTAAAATAACTCATCATAGAGCTAACATGTATAACTGACAAATAACTAATATATAATTGATAATAAATAGAACTGTATGAAACTATATGTATAGTATATACTGTTAAGCTACTAATGTATAGCTATACAATATATATTTAATGAGATATAAGTAATTATATAACTAATTACACTCATAATAAATAGAGCTGCAAGACACTTTTTTTTTTCTTTGAGACAGTCTCGATCTGTCGTCCAGGCTAGAGTGCAGTGATGGATCTCGGCTCACTGCAACCTCCACCTCCCTAGTTCAAGCGATTCTCCTGCCTCAGCCTCCCAAGTAGCTGGGATTACAGGCGTGTGCCACCACAGTGGCTAATTTTATTTTATTTTGTAGTTTTAGTAGAGATGGGGTTGTGCCATGTTGGCCAGGCTGGTCTCAAATTCCTGACCTCAAATGATCTGCCCACATTGGCCTCCCAAAGTGCTGGGATTCCAGGCGTGAGCCATCATTCCCTGCCCCTCCACAAACAATACTAAATGTCTACTATGTGTCAGCTATTTCTGCATGCACCATCATGAGAAACTCTCAGAAACCTTCCAGATATCTGACAATGCTGGGGAGGATGGGGAGTATCTGGAACATAAATGGTGCAGCCATTTGAAAAGCAGTTCAGCATTATCTTCTTTGGATACCTGTTGACACAATGCTTCTCATCCAAGGCCTGCACATGAGAAGTCCGGGCACACAGGCCACGGGAACCAACGAAGCACTGTGTGTAGAAGTCCAACGCTGGAAAGAACCCAAATGTTCCCTCAGCAGTAAATGATAAACAGAAAGTAGCTTATTCCTGGAAAGGCACACTCTACACTCATGAGGATGAATGAACTACATTCAATCAACAACATTGATAAATTCATCTTCCAAACAAAACTGAGCAAAACACCCCAGAAACAAAGGTATATAAATGGGAGAGTTCTATTCATACACAGTTCAAAAATAAGCTAAACTAAACTTTTTAGGGACACATATGTAGATGGTAAACCACAAAGAAACGCAACAGGATGTGTCCTCAAAATTAGGATGGCAGTTACTGCTACAGTCAAGGTGGGGGACTCAGAAGAAACTATTTCACGGGGTCTTTGGTGTCACTGACAGCTTCATGGGATTTACATGATAATTATTTGTTAACCTGCACATCTTATGTTGATGCATTCTAAGTACTGTATTTCACAATAAAAAGGTTGACAAAACACTAATCCCGCCCCATTCAAACATATACAGATATTTGACATATATATAAAAATATATACGTAATATGTATGTAAATACACATACATCGTGTTTGTATTCAGTAATTATTTGTGGATACAGATAGTATATATGACTTTTGCTTTCTATTCTTTGATTTCAGTAGTTTCCAAATTTTCCACAATGAACAATTGATGTTACAGTGACTAAAAAGTCTTTTCTACAAATGAAGAAAAATAAGCCTACCTTGGACTTGTGGGACTGGCCATGGCTCTCAGGCTGGTCGTTGAGGCGGCAGGCCAGGCTTCCGGGGAGGGATTTATGACTGTGCCTGGACTAATGAAACCACTGCGCCTCGCTCCCAGCCCAGGACAAGCCTTTGTGTCCTGGGTCAGCTGAGGAATGTTCCCTCTGTTTTGACAACCATGAGAGCCAGGCAGGCAGAGGGGGCACCCTGGGGGCACAGGAACAGAGCCCCTTTGTGCGCCCCTTGCCCAGCACTGTGAGGCCCTTTTCATCTCCCCGCTTTTCTGACTGTTTGGAATCCTCTTAGGACGATGGCTTGATCCAGCCACAGCCTTGTGGCATCCCATAGACCTCTTGCTTCCCTTTCGCAGGCTCCATGGCCTCAAGATCAGGCACATGGGAGCCCCTTCCCAGCTCTAAGACCCTATAGTTCCTTTATTGCTCCGAGGGAAGCCTAAGGTTAGGCCTCCCAGACAATGAGGACAGAAGACAGGACACTAGGACCACAGCTTTTCTCCACCATGAACACGTGTTTTTAAAAGCAATGCCAGGCTGGGCACGGTGGCTCCCACCTGTAATCTCAGCACTTTGGGAGGCTGAGGCGGGTGGATCACCTGAGGTCAGGAGTTCGACAGCAGCCTGGCCAACATGTGAAACACTGTCTCTACTAAAAATACAAAAATTAGCCGGGTGTGGTGACATGTGCCCTGTAATCCCAGCTACTTGGGAGGCTGAGGCACGAGAATCACTTAAACCTTGGAGGCAGAGGTTGCAGTGAGCCAAGATTGTGCCACTGTATTCCAGCCTGGGCAACAGAGTGAAACTCCATCTCAATAAATAAATAAATAATTAAATAATTAAAAGCAATACCAAAGGCTAAGCAGTTGCCACTAGCCGTTTTAGGTTTAATTTTGTTTTGCATAAAAATTTGAAGCACGTGTGTTTTTTTTTCAGAAATCTTTTCTCAAATCACCCTCATAATAAGCTTAATAAAAGGGTCAGTAGTTAACCACAGATTTTATAGTGGAAGCCACACGTTAAAATGTACTGCGTGATGTTCTCTTCAACACTCACCCTTGCGCACTGACTGCCAAAAAGAAACAAAACCATACTCATGTGCCACAAAAATGCACTCATGCAGCGCATATTGACGCTTCAGTCAGTGGCAGGCCACGTATGTGACAGTGGTTCCATAAGATTATAATGGAGCTAAAGAACTCCTATCCCCTAGTATTTACTATGCTATTTTTTTTTTCAGACACACAGTCTTGCTGTGTCGCCCAGGCTGGAGTGAAATGGCGCGATCTCGGCTCACTGCAACCTCCACCTCCCAGGTTCACGCTATTCTCCTGCCTCAACCTCCTGAGTAGTTGGGACTACAGGCGCACACCACCACACCCGGTTAATTTTTTGTATTTTTAGTAAAGATGGGATTTCACCATGTTGGCCAGACTGGTCTCGAACTCCTGACCTCGTGATCTGCCCACCTTGGCCTCCCAAAGTGCTGGGATTACAGGTGTGAGCCACCACACCTGGCCCTATGCTATACTTTTATAATAACTTTAGAGTGTAGTCTTACTTATGCAAAAAAGAAGTTAACTGCAAAGCAGGCTCAGGTAGGCCCTTCAGGAGGTATCGAAGGAGACACTGCTATTGCAGGAAACGACAGCTCCATGTGTGTTAGTCCCTGAAGACCTTCCTGTGGGACAAGACGTGGAGGTAAAGGACCGTGACATTGATGCTCCTTACCCTGTGTAGGCCCAGGCTAATATGTGTGTTTTTGTCTTCATTTTTAACATAAAACTTTAGAAAGTAAAAAATAAATAAGTAAATAACTAGAAACAGAAATAGAAAAAAAAACTTACAGAATAAGGATATAAAGAAAAAAATATTTTTGTACAGCTATGCAATGTGTTTGTGTCTTGGGCTAAGTGTTATTACAAAAGCATCAAAACGTTTAAAAAACCAGGCCAGGTGTGGTGGCTCACACCTGCAATCCCAGCACTTTAGAAGGCCGAGGCGGGTGGATCACTTGAGGTCAGGAGTTCAAGACCAGCCTGGCCATGGTGAAACCCTGTCTCTACTAAAAATACAAAAATTGGCCGGGTGCAGTCACTCATGCCTGTGATCCCAGCACTTTGGGAGGCAGAGGCAGGTGGATCACAAAGTCAGGAGTTCAAGACCAGCCTGGCTGAGATGGTGAAACACTGTCTCTACTAAAAATACAAAAAAATTAGCCAGGCGAGGTGGCAGGCGCCTGTAATCCCAGCAACTCAGGAGGCTGAGGCAGGAGAATCGCTTGAACTCGGAGGGTAGAGGTTGCAGTGAGCCGAGATCGTGCCACTGCACTCCAGCCTGGGCGACAGAGGGAGACTCCGTCTCAGAAAAAAAAAAAAAAAAAAAAAAAGCCAGGCATGGTGGCGAGTGCCTATAATCCCAGCAGGAGAATCCCTTGAGCCCACGAGGCACAGGCTGCAGTGAGTTGAGATTGCCCCACTGCACTCCAGCCTGGGAGACAGAATGAGACTTCATCTCAAAAAAAAAAAAGTTTAAAAAATCAAAAAGTTTATGAAGTAAAAAGGTTACAGTAAACTGAGCTTAATTTATTATTAAAGAAAGAAAAGTATTTTTTAATGAGTTTAGTGTAGCCTAAGTGTTTATAAAGTGTGTAGTAGTGCATAGTAATGGCCTAGGCCTTCACATTCACTCACCACCTACTCATTGACTCACCAAGAGCAACTTCCAGTCCTGCAAGCTCCATTCCTGGGAAGTGCCCTACACAGATGTACCATTTTTTATCTTGTATGCTATATTTTTACTGCAGCTTTTCTATGTTCAGATATATTTAGATGCACAAATACTTCCCATTGTGTTACAGTTGCCTTCAGTATTCAGTATAGTACAGGCTGCACAGGTGTGTAGCCTAGGAGCAATAGGCCATACCATACAGCATGAGTGTGTTGTAGGCTAGTCCATCTAGTTTTGTATAAGTCCACTCTGACATATACGCAATGATGAAATCATCTAACAATGCACTTCTCGGAACATATCCTTATCATTAAGGGACACACGACTATGTCTCCTGGCATTGACAGTCTTATCCAAGCTCTTATCCAAGCCCCCCTCCCCCCATCCTGAAACTACAGATGATACCAAACGGAATTGCTGTTAATTGTAACATGTTAGCTGGGTGAGGTGGCTCACCCCTGTAATCCCAGCACTTTGGGAGGCCAAGGCAGGCAGATGACTTGAGGTCAGGAGTTCAAGACCAGCCTGGTCAACGTAGCAAAACCCTGTCTCCACTAAAAATACAAAAATTAGCCAGATGTGGTGGCATGTGCCTGTAATCTCTGCTACTGGGGAGGCTGAGGCAGGAGAATCACTTGAACCGGAGAGGCAGAGATTGCAGTGAGCTGAGATTGCACCACTGTACTCCAGCCTGGGTAACAGAGTGAGACTCTGTCCCCCACCAAAAAAAAAAAAAAAAAAAATTGTAACAAGTTTCTGTTTAAGTCTTCCACGGGCAAATGTGATGCCTTTCCAATCTTAATATATCACACACTGTGGCTGCAACTGTTGCAGTCTGAAGCACAACAGCAAAGCTAGCACAAACTTCTTTTACCTTCTTTGCAATTTCATGGATAGGCAGTTTCTAAGGTGATTTCTTACAAAACTAAGCATATTCTTGTCATGCGATCTAGCAATTGAGCTTCTTGGCATTTACCCAAAAGAGCTGAAAACCTAAAAACCTGTACACAGATGTTTACAGCAGTTTTATCTATAATTGCCAAAATTTGGAAGCAGCCAAGATGTCCTTCAGTAAGTGAATGGATACATAAACTATAGTCCATCTAGACAATAAAATATTATTCAGCGCTAAAAGGAAAGAAACTATCAAGCCAAGAAGAGACACAGAGGAACCCCAGATGCATACTGCAGAGTGAAAGAAGTCCATCTGAACAGGCTACATACTGTATGATTCCAGCTCTGTGACGTTTTGGAAAAGGCAAAACTATGAAGACAATAAAAAGATTAGGGGTTTGGGGGAGGGATAAATAGGTGGCGCAGAGGGGACTTTTAGGGCAGTGAAACTACCGTATGATATACTCTAATGGTGAGTGCATGACATTACACATTTGTTAAAACCAATAGAATATACAACACCAAGAACAGACCCTAAAGTAAACCATGGACCTTGAGTGTTAAGGATGGGTCAGTGCAGATCCGTCAGTTATAACGAAAGCCTCACTCTGGTGGAGGGTGTTGATAAAAAGGCAGCTGTTGGGCAGGAGCAATATGGGAACTTTCTGTACCATCTGCTCAATTTTTCTGTAAAACTAAAACTGTTATAGAAAATAAAGTGTATTAATTTTTTTTTTTTTAAAGACAAGGTCTCACTCTCTTGCCCAGGCTGGAGTGCAGTGGTGCGATCTCGGCTCACTGCAACCTCTGCCTCCCGGGTTCAAGTGATTCTCCTGTCTCAGTCTCCTGAGTAGCTGGGATTACAGGCACCCGCCACATGCCCAGCTAATTTTTGTAATTTTAGTAGAGACGTGGCTTCACCATGTTGGCCAGGCTGGTCTCGAACTCCTGACCTCAAGTGGTCCGCCCACCTCCACCTCCCAAGGTGCTGGAATTACAAGTGTGAGCCACCACGCCTGGCCTATTAATTTTTTTAAGAAGCAAAGTCCTTGGACTTTATATCCATTCTCCCAACCCTTTTATTCACACCTTTTACTGCAGTGATGAGTACTGATATGGACTATCCCTTCCTACTGGCAGGGGCTGGGGCCACCACACTGCAGTTTCTGTGCTGGCACTTGAGCACCATGTGCGTTTCTCTCCATTATACGCTTTTCTTTTAGGCATTTTGTGTGCACTTTCACCAGGCCACTGTTATGGAAGAGGTTGCCTAGCTGAAGAAATGTCCTTTGAGGTACCTGGCCCTAACAACATATTAGCAGCTTCTGTAATCACAGCAGTTTCTAAATCTTGATTCTCACTGTGAGAAGTGGAGCTGGGGAGTTGGGCTGCTGTGCTGACCACCCAAGGTAGGCGTGTTTGGCCAGCATGAGGATTGCTTCCAGGAGCTACACGCAGTGCCACCCTGGCTTGGGAGGTCTTTTCAAACAAGCCTCCAGTGAGGGAAATCCAGCCAGCGTGAATCTCCCTAAGCTTGGCTAGAAGGTCCAAATTCCTGGCCACTGGGCTCAACTTCCTACCCTTTAATGCTCTATTCTGAGAGTTTCCCGCAAAGCTAATGGCAATTCACCGGGCACCGTAGACAAACATTGTTTGGTGTTGTCACTGGTAAATGGATAGAGACAACGTGATGAGAGCCTCTAACCTTAGGAGACCCAAAGTCAACATGCCCCATTGTTGCTGAAGGAATGGGAGGGGTTGGAGTTACCCCTGTGTCCATGTCCTTGGAAAAGCACAGGGGACAAGTAATGGCCTGTTAGCCTCATTAGCCTGAGAGATTGTCAGCACCTTGGAGAGGAGAGGGCAAGAGCTTCAGACCCGCACCAGCCTGCCCACACTGAATGTGTCTGTGACTCAGTTACTTAACTTCTCAGAACCTCATTTCGTGATCTGTAAACTGGGGTAACAATTTCTCCAGGACACTGTGGGATTCATATGTGCAGGTTAATAGGTGTGGAAGCCATCAGAACACTTTGAAGCACTAGTGGAAATTATCTTCACTCAACTTTTAAATAAAAATCACATACTCCGCATCCTACAGTTTCATTTTATTTGCTTTCTAGGAATTTTTTCAATCTGTAAATACCACTTCTAGGACATATATAAGTAATTTTTACACAACTATGTCAGTGCATATTGAATATAGAGTGGCACAGGTTTGTAAACTTTCAACTCATTGTCTGAAGCACTGTAGAGAACAGAGAGAATGCAGCCAGACAGCCCTGGGATGGGTGTGAATGCTGTGGTGCAGCAGTGTGAAGCAGAGCGAGCCACTCCACCTCCCGGGCCTTGGTTTCCGACAGTGTGGGTGTAACAGGGTTGAGGAGGACCAAGGTCCACAGCAATCCCAGGAGGTCCCCTGCACGAGGCTGTCTTCGTCTCCAGAGCCGTGTCTCTCACAGGTACCTGTTAGATGAGCAACTTTTTTTTTTTTTTTTTTTGAGATGGAGTCTTGCTCTGTCACCCAGGCTGGAGTGCAGTGGCGTGATCTGGGTGACAGAGCGAGACTCCATCTCAAAGAAAAAAAAAATTATTAAGAGGCCAAAAGAGCTGATGTTTATGTGTTTCATACTATCAATATTTATCATAGTAGAAATTGTTTAAACTAAACATTTATTTATTTAAAATGTAATAAATCAATCACATATTAACATAAATAATAGTAATTTAAGGAAATCAACTACTGTATGTGCCCAAACCAGATAACTTAGTGGAAAGAATGGTGTCGTTTTCATTTTATGCAAATCTATTTAATATCTGGCTTAGTGGAGATTCTGGATTCTCAATCTGCTTTTGCATTCAGTCTGTGCAGAGTATTGTTTTGGTGAAATATGAAAAGAAAATCTAGGTTCACGTAGATAGGTAGTTAAGAAATGATAGGCCGGGCACGGTGGCTCACGCCTGTAATCCCAGCACTTTGGGAGGCTGAGGCAGGCGGATCACGAGGTCAGGAGATCGAGACCATCCTGGCTAACACGGTGAAACCCAGTCTCTACTAAAAATACAAAAAATTAGCCGGGCGCGGTGGTGGGCGCCTGTAGACCCAGCTACTCGGGAGGCTGTGGAAGGAGAATGGCGTGAACCCAGGAGGAGGAGCTTGCAGTGAGCTGAGATAGCGCCACTGCACTCTGGCCTGGGCGAAAGAGCGAGACTCCATCTCAAAACAAAAAAAAAGAAATGATGGAGCACTTTTTTTTTTTTTGAGATGGAGCCTTGCACTGTCGCCCAGGCTGTCGTGGCGTGGTCTCGGCTCACTGCAAGCTCCGCTTCCCGGGTTAATGCCATTCTCCTGCCTCAGCCTCCTGAGTAGCTGGGACTACAGGCGCCTGCCACCACACTCAGCTAATTTTTTGTATTTTTTTAGTAGAGACGGAGTTTCACTGTGTTAGCCAGGATGGTCTCGATCTCCTGACCTCGTGATCCGCCCACCTTGGCCTCCCAAAATGCTGGGATTACAGGTGTGAGCCATCACGTCAGGCCGATGGAGCACTTTTAATGGCATTTTTAGATTATTGTCAATATTTTTATTTGATAATCCACCAAAACTTGACATGCGATAGTTCCTTAAAGTTTAATTACACTGTGGAATCAATGAACTTTTCCTACTCTATGTATAAAATCTGTTGGTCTCTCTAGCACACTGAATGAATCTCTTACCTATGCGTGAATCAGTAACATCATCCGTTGGTCATTTGAAAAATGTTGATTCACTGAATTAAGCAGATCTTCCAAATGTTGACTCATTTTATTATTTAATAGGAAAAAAGAAACCCCATTTGTCAATAGCGTCCCCATTCTCTTCACAAGAGTCTCTATGAGCCGACCAATACACAAGTGTGAAAGACCACAGCCTGTCAGTTGCTCCTTCCCTGGCAAAGGCTGTCTGTTCAGCTCCAAGGCAAGGATCACACAAGCGCTTCTGTTCAGACAGCATGTGCCATTCAGCAAGCGCCATTCAGCAAGCAGCAAAGGGGCTTTCTGTGCCCTTCCAATTGCAACCCACAGGATATATTTAAGAGATCTGTACTCAGGGGCTCGACCTTTGATCAATAGTGTTCACTGTTTAATCAGAAACTGAGTTTTCTTACTCTAAGTTTGTGGCAGTAACGAACTCTGTGTTGAAGAAAACAGTCAAACTCTGTAAAATATTTGAAAAGATTTATTCTGAGCCAAATATGAGTGACCATGGCCCATGACACAGCCCTCAGGAGATCTTGAGAACGTGTGTCCAAGGTGGTCCGGGTGCAGCTTGGTTTTATACATTTTAGGGAGACATGAGACTTCAATCAAATACATTGAAGAAATACATTGGTTCGGTACAGAAAGGTGGGACAACTTGAAGCAGGAAGCGGGGGTGCTTACAGGTTATAAGTACATTTACAATTTTTCTAATTGGCAATTGGTTGAAAGAGTTATCAGTAGAAAGGAATGTCTGGGTTGCGATAAGAGATTGTGGAGACTAAAGTTTTTTTCATGCAGATGAAGCCTCCAGGTAGCAGGCTTCATCTGCAGGAGAATACATTACAGTAGATTGTAAATGTTTCTTCTTTCTTGTCTTTCTTTCTTTCTTTCTTTCTTTCTTTCTTTCTTTCTTTCTTTCTTTCTTTCTTTCTTTCTCTCTCTTTCTTTTTCTCTCTCTCTCTCCCTCCCTCCCTCCCTCCCTCCCTCTCTCTCTCTCTTTCTTTTTTTTTTTGAGACAGAGTCTTGCTCTGTCACCCGGGCTAGAGTGCAGTGGCACACTCTCGGCTCATTGTAAGCTCCGCCTCCCGGGTTCATGTCATTCTCCTGCCTCAGCCTTGCGAGTAGCTGGGACTACAGGCGCCTGCCACCACGCCCAGCTAATTTTTGTATTTTTTAGTAGAGACGGGGTTTCAACGTGTTAGCCAGGATGGTCTCGATTTCCTGACCTCGTGATCTGCCTGCCTCGGCCTCCCAAAGCGCTGGGATTACAGACGTGAGCCACCGCGCCCGGCCTCTTTTTTTTGACACTAAGTCTCACTCTGTCTCCCAGGCTGGAGTGCAGTGGCGTGATCTCGGCTCCCTGCAACATCTGCCTCCCACGTTCAAGCAATTCTCCTGTCTCAGTCTCCCAAGTAGCTGGGATTACAGGGACGCACCACCACACCTGGCTAATTTTTGTGTTTTTAGTAGAGACGGGGTTTCTCCATGTTGGCCAGGCTAGTCTTGAACTCCTGGCCTCAGGTGATCCACTTGCCTTGGCCTCCCAAAGTGTTGGGATTACAGGCGTGAGCCACCAAACCGGCCTGTAAATGTTTCTTGTCAGACTTAAAGTCTGCGTTGATGTTGGTGCCTGAGAGGGAAAATGAGGCGTGCCCAACCCCCTCTCCCCGTCATGGCCTGAACCAGTCTTTCAGGTTAAATATAAGAGTTCCCTGGCCTAGGAGGAAGTCCATTCTGAGGGTTGGGGGGCTTAGACTTTTATTTTAGGTTTACAGTGTCAGTGACCACATTCACACTGAGACACCAGCAGTATCAGACACCATTGCTTTTGCACCATCAGTGAAAATCTAAACACAGTGAAAAGGGCAAAGAACATTGTCCTGGTATGGGAAGGACAGTAATCCCCTGAGGAGCTCTCAAGGACCCTCAGGTATCCACAGCCCACATTTTGAGAACAACTGATATATGCACAACCATTAATGTTCTCTAGACAGCTAAAGCGTTTTGTTTTTGTTTTTGTTTTTTGTTTTCTTGGGTTTTTTTTTTTTTTTTATTTTTAGACAGAGTCTCTCTGTGTCTCCAAGTCTGGAGTGCAATGGCGCAATCTCGGCTCACTGCAACCTCCGCCTCCCGGGTTCAAGCAATTCTCCTGCCTCAGCCTCCCAAGTAGCTGGGATTACAGGCATGTGCCACTACAACTGGCTAATTTTTGTATTTTTAGTAAAGAGGGGGTTTCACCATATTGGCCCGGCTGGTCTCGAACTCTTGACCTCAGGTGATCTGCCCGCCTCAGCCTCCCAAAGTGCTAGGATTACAGGCATGAGTCACAGTGCCCAGCTAAAGGGGGTGTTTATGCATTAGAATTCTAATTAGCCTGCCTCGTCAGAATTAGACAAGGAATATATTTCAGTTGCTGCAGAAGTCAACACCTAGTAAGGAAACACTCAGTGAGTGTCTTAGCCAGCCCTGCTCCCATGGCTTTGCGGGGCACAGCCCATGCAGCTGCTCTCATGGGTTGGAGTTTGGTGCTGGCAGCTTTTCCAGGCTGAGGTTTCATATTGTTGGTGGCTTTCCCATTCCAGGTTTTCAGTGGTGACCCTGGCCCCATAGTTCCACCAGGCATTGCCCCAGGAGGGACTCTATGGTGGCTGTGCCCCACAGCAGTTTTCTGCCTTGGACCCTAGATTTTCAGAAACATCCTCTGAAATCAAAAAGGAAGCTGCCAAGCCTCTACAGCTCTCGCCTTCTAGGTGCCTGCAGACTTGACATCACATGGACATCTCCAAGGCTTACAACTTGAGTTCTCAGGAGCTGTGTCCTCAGCCATTTGCGTGCTATGCAAATGGCACACCTGGTCCAGCCAATCTTTCATGTGCTTTGTAAATCAGACACTGCCTCCTCAAGCTCATCTATAAAACCTCCTACATTTCACCACAGCAACCCATTTTTCTCTGAGACCCCTCTTTGCACAGAGATCTCTTCTTTTTCTTTCGCCTATTAAACTTCTGAGTTTAACCTCACTCTGGTGTGTAAGCATCCTAGTTTTCCATGGCCATGGGACAAGGAACCTCAGGTTTTATCCCAGACAATGACACCACTTTAATATCTCAGCCAATTGTGCCACCGCTGCTCCAGGCTGGATCCAGGGAACAGCTTCCTGAGGCTACACAGGGCATCAGGGTCCCAGGCCCATCCCCCCAAATTATTCTGCCTTTTCAGGCATCTGGGCAGATGGGAGGGGCAGGCCTCAGGGATCTCCGAAATGCCTCTCCAGCCTTTTCCCATTGTCCTTTTTTTTTTTTTTTTTTGAGACGGAGTCTCACTCTGTCATCTAGGCTGGAGTG
Organism: Homo sapiens; assembly: GCF_000001405.40. NCBI lineage: Eukaryota > Metazoa > Chordata > Mammalia > Primates > Hominidae > Homo > Homo sapiens. The sequence goes on along the minus strand of NC_000007.14, from coordinate 47,678,317 downwards.
CAGTGGCTCCAGCTCTGCTCACTGCAACCTTCACCTCCCTGGCCAAGCGATTACCCGCCTTAGCCTCCTGAGTAGCTGGCATTACAGGCGCCCGCCACCAAACCCAGGTAATTTTTGTGTTTTTAGTAGAGACAAGGCCTCACTATGTTGGCCAGGCTGGTCTCCAACTCCTGACCTCAGATGATCAGCCCACCTCGGTCTCCTAAAGTGCTAGGATTACAGGCGTGAGCCACCATGCCCAGCCCCCATTTTTCTTACTGTTACCACTTGGCTCCCTTTTCACCCCCAGTCATCTCCTCAGCAAGTGATTACTCTGCTGAACTCTTAAATTCCTCTCCTGAAAATGCCCTTTCATTCTCTGCCACATGGCCAGGCTGGAAATTTTCCAAATTTCTATGCTTCCCTTTTAATTGTAAATTCTGCCTTCAGGTCATTCTTTTGCTGCCATAACTGAGCATAAGCTGTTGAAAGTAACCACACCACTTCTTGAGTGATTTGCTGCTTAGAAATTTCATCCGCCAGATTATCTTAGGTCATCCCTCTTAAGTTCAACCTTCCATAAAGCCTTAGGGCATAAATACAAATATTTGTAACAAGTGTGACCTTTGTTCCAGTTTCCAAATAGATACTTCCCATTTCCATCTGTGACCTTATCAGAATGGCCTTTACTGTCCATAATTCTATAAACATTTTGGTCACAATAACTTAACTAGTCTCCAAGAAATTCCAAACTTACCCTAATCTCTTTGTCTTCTTTGGGCCCTCACCAGAATTATCCTTAATGCCCACTTCAGGGCAATGCAGTGCTTTTCTAGCCAGCTCCTCCAAACTCTTTCAACCTGTGGCCATTTCCCAGTTCCACACTGGCTTCCACATTTTCAAGTACCTTTATAAAAAGACCCCACTGCTCAATACCAATCTTCCATCATAGTCTATTTTGTGTCGCTAAAACAGAATACTTGAGTCTGGGTAATGTATAAAGAAAAGAGGTTTATTTAGCTCACAGTTCTGCAGGCTGAGAAGTTCAAGAGCATGGCCCTGGTTTCTGGTGAGAGCTTTTGTGCTGCATCATAACATACATGATGAAGAAGGTCAAAGGGCAAGAAGACACACCTGAAGAAACAAAATGCAAGAAGCATTCTGTCTGTTTAACAGTCAACTTTTGCGGGAACTAATTCATTCTGTGGGAAATTATCCAGGCTCATCAGAGTGAGAACTCATCACCACAAGAACAGTACCAAGACATTCACGAGGGATCCATCCCCATGACCCAAACACCTCCCGCTAGGCCCCATCTCCCAAAGCCACTGCACCGATGGTAGAGATGAATAAGCCCATTTCCAAACCATAGCAGGTAACTGCAGAGCTATGACATCCACAGATAACGAACATGACAAAACCTCACGGCACAGAGGAGTGCCATGTGGTTTGGAGGAGAGCGTAGAGAAGTTTGCAGTGGATCTGCTTCACTCCATCTATAAATTCAAATGCTAATCTTTTCTGCAAACACCCTCACAGACACACCAGAACTAATGTTTTACCAATTACCTAGGTATCCCTTAGCCCAGTCAAGTTGACACATGAAACTGTCACAAGCACAAACCACATCTGTCTCTCTAGTGCTTTTTCCCTAAGCACCAAGCACTATACCCAGCACAGAAAAGACATCCAATACATATGTGTTCTATAGAATGGAAAGGAATGTTTTTCCACCATCTTGAATCAGGCACTTGACCCAGGGGTTACATAGCCATTGCACAATTCCTTCAGTGCTATAAGAATGGGCTATAACTGGCCAGGCGCGGTGGCTCACTCCTGTAATCCCAGCACTTTGGGAGGCCGAGGTGGGTGGATTACGAGGTCAGGAGATCGAGACCATCCTGGCTAACACGGTGAAACCCCATCTCTACTAAAAATACAAAAAATTAGCCAGGCGAGGTGGCGGGTGCCTGTAGTCCCAGCTGCTGAGGCAGGAGAATGGCATGAACCCTAGAGGGTGGAGCCTGCAGTGAGCCGAGATCGCACCACTGCACTCCAGCCTGGGTGACATCAAGACTCCGTCTCAAAAAAAAAAAAAAAAAAAAGAATAGGCTATAACTGGGCCAGGTGCAGTGGCTCATTGGCTCATGCCTGTAATCCCAGTACTTTAGGAGCCTGAGGTGGGCAGATCACGAGGTCAGGAGATTGAAACCATCCTGGCTAACACAGTGAAACCCCGTCTCTACTAAAAGCACAAAAAATTAGCTGGGCGTGGTGGCGGGCGCCTGTAGTCCCAGCTACTCGCAAGGCTGAGGCAGAAGAATGGCATGAACCCGGGAGGCAGAGCTTGCAGTGAGCCGAGATTGCGCCACTGCACTCCAGCCTAGGCAACAGAGTGAGACTCTGTCTCAAAAAAAAAAAAAAAAAAAAAAAAAAAAGAATGGGCGATAACTGTTATTGCACCCATTCAATACACAGGCAGACTGAGACAGCAAAGTCAAGATTTGAACGCAAGAGCAAGATTTGAGAAACTGAGGCATTTTTACTCTTCTGTGCTGCCTTACTTGTTGGCAGTACACATGAAAGACATCAAGATTTAGATCTGTGTCAGCTTTCCCTCAAATGGTAAAGAAGGACAGGGTTTGAATTTCTTGGTGAACTTGGAAATACCCGATGACTTGAACCATTAGGGTTTAGGATACTTTTTCTTCAGGCAGCATGTTGCCTCCTATGCATAAATTAAGTCAATTCAGTATTCCCAGTATGGCTGGAAAAACATCATACTAAGCTAACAATTTTCAGTGTCATTTAAGAATTGCACTGAGGTGGCCAGGCACGGTGGCTCACGCCTATAATCCCAGCACTTTGGGAGGCTGAGGTGGGCGGATTGCAAGGTCAGGAGTTCAAGACCAGCCTGGCCAATATGGTGAAAACCCGTCTCTACTAAAAATACAAAAATTAGCCAGGTGTGGTGGTGGGTGCCTGTAATCCCAGCTACTCAGGAGGCTGAGGCAGGAGAACCACTTGAACCAGGGAGGTGGAGGTTGCAGTGAGCCAAGATCACGCCACTGCACCCCGGCCTGGGTGACAGAAAGAGACTCTGTCTCAAAAAACAAAAAAAATTTTGCATTGAGGCCAAGTGTGGTGGCTCATGCTTGTAATCCCAGCTTTTAGGGAGGCCAAGGCAGGAGGATTGCTTTGGCTCACAATCCCTTAAAGCTGCCGTTTCTCTCCTGTGTTACAATGTGCACAGTGACTGCACTGATCAGTCACCACTGGGATGTGCTTGAGTGTGTATGTTTGTCTGAGTGTGTATGCTAATATGTATAAAAGTTTGTGTGTGTGAGGGAGTGTGAGTACATGAGAGTGCATGTGAATGTGTGAGTCTGTAAGAGAGTGTGTGTCTGTGGGGCATGTGAGAGCATTGTGAGAGTATGTGTGCATGTGTGTATGTGTGCACAATTGTGTGAGAGCATTGTGAGGGTATGTGTGCATGTGTGTGAGAGTATGTGTGCATGTGTGTATGTGTGTGTGCATGAGCGTGTGAATGCAGGTGTGTTTTCTGCTCTGCTCTGATCACTTTTCTACCTGGCCTCTCTTCCTTCACATTTGCCCCCCAGAATCCCTTCTCCACACAACACCTGAATTCTCTGTTTGTAGAGCTGATAATACCCTATGATTCCCCTGCCTAAAATCCTCCAGCAGCTTCCACCTGACTTCTAACTAAAACCCAGCTCCTCACCGTGCCCCATAGGCCCTAGCTCAGTGAGGTGGGGCGCCTGCCTGCTGCTCAGAGCCTGGCTCTGCCTCTCTCCCCTCCTGCTTGCCCCAACCACCATGAGCTTTTGTCCAGCCTGGGAGGGACCAAGCTTTTTGGCACTGTAAGGACTTCGTGTGTCCTCCCAGCCCAGACCCCCAGAATGCTTTGTCCTCTGGCTGGTGCGAGTGTTAGGAAAGTCCGCATCTTCAGAGAGGCCTTTGACCCCGTCCATATGGACTGATTACCTCCATCTCCCACTTCTAGAATGTAAGCTCATGAGGCAGAGCCTAGTGGGTCGTGTTCCTGGCCATACCTCCAGGGCCTGGCATAAAGCAGGCCCCCGCAGACCCCCAAGAATCTCTATGAAGGCCAGTGGTGGATGCACCAGGCTGGGAATCGGAGTCTGCCCCTGCAGTTGCCGTCGTCCAGCACCTTAGACCCTCTGAGCCTCGGTTGCTCCATTTTTCTTTTTCTTTTCTTTCTTTTTTTTTTTTTTTTTTTTTTTGAGACGGAGTCTCACTCTGTCGCCCAGGCTGGAGTGCAGTGGCGCAGTCTCGGCTTACTGCAACCTCCACCTCCCAGGTTCAAGCGATTCTCCTGCCTCAGCCTCCCAAGTAGCTGGGATTACAGGTGTGTGCCACCATGTCAGGCTAATTTTTTGTATTTTTAGTAGAGACGTGGTTTCACCATGTTAGCCAGGATGGTCTCGATCTCCTGACCTTGTGATCCACCTGCCTTGGCCTCCCAAAGTACTGGGATTACAGGTGTAAGCCACTGCACCTGGCCCGGGTTGCTCCATTTTTCATCCTTCCACACTCTCCGGGCCCCTCCTCAGACCAGGCCCTAAGACTGCAGGAGCCAGCGTGTGCAGGCCCCCATAAAATCAGAGGCTACTTCTGCAGCAATCCACTGAAAACGGAGTGAACAGACTGCATAAACCAGTGTTCATTCACAGGCTCTTAAGGCACTAAATGTAAATTAGATAAATGGTGCAATGCCTAATTTCATTCCTACCGTGCTTTTTCTTAGGTTAATTTGGTGGGGTAGAAACGCACCTGTATCTACAGCCTTTGTCCATCACCCACCTGTTCCTGTTGGAGGGGAGTGATGGATGGCCGATGAGATGAGGTTCCTTTTATTCCATATGGCCACACATTATCCCCTTCAAGCCTACCCTTTGCAATGACCATTCAATCTGTCTTTCTAGCTGGGGACTCAGGCCACCAGGTCCCTTTGGTTTCTCCTGGGCCTTTGTAAGATGCCCCTTTGATGTGTTCTTTCTCGTTTGTTTAAACACCACCATGGGATTCTTGCAGGCTGCAATCCAGAGACCAACTGGGTGGCCTTGCTTTTTTATGCAGAAGTGTTGAGAAAGACCTGTCAAACCCTGGGGATAATTAGCCTTTATTGCTTCTCATTAAGACACAGATTGTCACTCAGCACAGATGTGACCCATGGGGCTGAGGCGGCTGCTTCTATGGCCTCCTGCCTTTCTCAGTTACCTGATTGGGAGAAAACTTTGATTTCCATCTTCACATTCCTTAGGTGAAACGTCACCATTGTTTCCCCACATGATGAGTGTATATTTTCTTCAAGGAACATAGTCAGAACCTAAATGTTATATGATGTGGTCTGGCTGTGTGAGAACAAACAACTAATCAATTGGGAGGAAAAAGTAAAATAGCAATTATAGGTTAATGAAACTTCTACTCTCAGACTGATCGATACTGACTTTTCTTTTTAATTTTTGTATCTGGAGATAATTGTAGATCCCCAGGAACTTGCAAAGATAGCAGAGAGAACGCCCATACACGCCTCACCCAGTTCCCCCAATCTTTCATAACTATAGCACAATGTCAAAGCCAGAAAATGGGCGCTGCTTCAGTGTGTGGGTGTAGTTCTATGTCATCTTATCACACGTGAAGATTTGTGTTACCATTGCAATCCAGGCACAGAAGTGTCCCACTGCCACATAGCTCTCCCTCCTGCTACCTCTTTAGAGGTATAACCCTCTCCTCCCTCACAGCCCTAACCCCTAGCAACCACCACTCATTTGTTTTCCAAATATCACTGTGAGAGGCAAGGAAAAGGAACTCTCAGTGTGGCCAAAAGGCATGAAGAGGCATCTCACCAAAGAGGACATACAGGTGCCAAATAAGCAAATGAAAAGGCATCAGTGGGGCCTTTAAGGAAGTGGAAGATCAGATCACATGAGATATTGCTGCTCACCTATCTTCATGGCTAACATGAAAAACAGGACCCACACCACACGCGGGTGAGGCTGCGGAGACACTGGCTCCCTCAAACATTGCTAGAACGTGGTGCAGCCCCTCTGGGATTTTCTTTTTACCAACATGAATCTTTTTAGCTTTCATTCAATTACACAAAGCTCCCCAAATAGTAGGTCATTCAGCCTTGCCTATAACCAGAGCTTTTGTAGACTTGAGAACACTAACAAAAAAAATTCCCATACCATCCAGGCCAGTCTTGCTCTAACAGTGTGGTTTGATGAATCTGGGTCAGGCCTGGGCACTGAGCTCACCACCGACACTGCGGGGGACTCTAAAGCACAGCCAGGCCGGGCGCGGTGGCTCACGCCTGTAATCCCAGCACTTTGGGAGGCCGAGATGGGTGGATCACTTGAGGTCAGGAGTTCAAAACCAGCCTGGCCAACAAGGTGAAACCCCGACTCTACTAAAAATAGAAAAAAAATTAGCCAGGCATGGTGATGGGGGCCTGTAATCCCAGCTACTTGGGAGGCTGAGGCAGGAGAATTGCTTGAACCTGGGAAGCGGAGGTTGCAGTGAGCAGAGACGGCACCACTGCACTCCAGCTTGGGAGACTCCGTCTCAAAAAAATAAATAAATAAATAAATAAATAAATAAATAAAAATAAAGCGCAGCCAGAACTGGGATCCATAGATCTCAGCAGCTGAGCTTGATGCACACCCCGAGGGACCAAGTGCTGTCCCTTCGTTCTCTCCCCGACCCCCAGGCTGTGTGCTCCCTGGACTCTGTGCCCAGCCCCGGGGGGTTAGGCGGGTTCCCAAATGCCATGGCTCAACCTTCCACGTATGCCTATGTGTTCTGATGCTTAGAAGGCCCTGGCCTCCAATCTGGCAGACTCCGGCCTATCTACCCCTTCGGAGCCCCCCCAGAGCCCTCCCCTCACTCCACCGCCGTGCATGCCGTTTTGAATTCTAGTTGCCTATGGAAACCTCTCTTCTGCACTAGACCCTAAAGGGCAGGGTCCACATCTGACTCCTCCCGTGCCCCCAACCTCTGGTACACAGAAGATGCTCAATAATGTCTGTAAGCTAAGCCCTTAGTAAGCCTGGTGAGGAGAGTGTTCATGTAAGCCCCATTTTGTAGAAGAGAGGACACGTAGATGGGTGAAGCCTGGGTTCCTGAGGAAGACGTTGGATTTTCCTCATTCCTAGGCAATGCATGCCTGTTGTGGAAAACTCAAAAAATATACTCAAGGAAGTTAAAAAATGTAAGCCCTACACAATCCCACCATCACCGCCAATGGGCTGCTGTTGTAACTTTCCAGATGCTGTGCTGTGACAGCCTTGAATTTGCATATTGCTAAAAGGAAGTGTCAAGTTTAGGCTAAGAAACAAATGAATGTCAAAAGTGGAAGCACAGAGCTTGAAGTTCAAGGTCAGCAGAGTCTCGCTGCAGGTGTCATCTGTGGGGAGCGAAGGCGTCTGGACCCAGCTGTGAATCCTGCTCAGTGCCCGCCTGGGCTGTACCTGCTTTGCAAACTGGCGCTCTCATATGCATGTTAACAAGCACACTGGGGCCCTCCCTGTTTTTACATATTTGTTTTTTTGTTTGTTTTGTTTTTTGGTTTTTTTTTTTTTTTTTTTTGAGGTAGAGTCTCACTCTGTCACCCAAGGTGGAGTGCAGTAGCGCGATCTCAGCTCACTGCAACCTCCACCTCCTGGGTTTAAGCATTTTCCCCTGCCTTGTGCCTCCCGAGTAGCTGGGATTACAGGCATGAACCACCACACCTGGCTAATTTTTTTGTATTTTTAGTAGGGACGGGGTTTCACCATGTTGGCCAGGCTGGTCTCAAACTCCTGACCTCAGGCAATCCACCTGCCTCGGCCTCCCAAAGTGCTGGGATTACAGGTGTGAGCCACCACACCCAGTCTTGTTTTTACATATTAAAAATACCCAATCTGGGCCTGGCCTGGTGTAAAAAAAAAAAAAAAAAAAAAAAAAGGATCTTTCCTGAGAACTTGTATTACTTCAGTATCACCCAGTCTCTGCCCACAGCCTCAGGGGAGAAGCTTTGAGCACAGGTTTTACAGAGCGTGAGAGACCCTTGGGCCTGGGAGAGCCTTGGGAAAGGAACATAAACTTGAAGGGAAAAAAGCAAGGCTCAGAAGTCAACACAAAGTGTGATAGCATTTCTAGAAAGTCCCACATAAGCCTGACTAAGCAATTTATTGTTTGGGGATACACGCATGTTACAACTTTTTTTTTTTTTTGAGAAAAGATCTCACTTTGTTGCCCAGGCTGGAGTACAGTGGCGAGATCATGGCTCACTGTAATCGCAACCTCCCGGACTTGAGCCGTCCTCCCACCTCAGCTTCCCCAGTAGCTGAGACCACAGGCATGCACCACCGTGGCCGGCTAATTGTTTTATTTTTATCTTTTAGTAGAGACAGGGTCTCTCTATGTTGCCCAGGCTGGTCTCAAACTCCTGGGCTCAAGCAGTCCTCCCTCGTTGGCCTTTCAAAGTGCTGAGATGACAGGTGTGAGCCACCGAGCCCGGCCAACAAGTTTTTTTAAGTGAAGGAAAACGAAAAACAAATTTCAGATTGGGGAACAGCTAGAGGCAGCCACAGGAACAACTTGCAGTGGGTGTTGGGCAGCAGGCTGAGTCACTCCCTGGCTCCACTGGGCTGTGTCATGTGCACACGCTTCATGTATGCCTTAAGTGACGTTCAAAAGAACACAATGCCACATGAAGCCTAACTCAGCAAGCCCTTTCTGTAAGAGGAGAAATAACTACCCCTGCTCTTGCCCACTTTCTTTCAACAGGGGCCAGCATCACCTGCTCCCCTCCCCCATCTCTATGTTCCATCTCTGGCAGCCTCTGCACAAAGGTGTCCTCCAGGAGGCCAGGTGGGCACCAAGGTTCTTGAAAAGAAAGGAAAGGGAAGCGCAGTGTTCCACAGCTGGTTCCCAAGAAAACAGCAAAACAACTGCGCACTCATTCTGAAGGACGGCAGACAAGACGGTTCCTCAACACATGAACTGGTTTTTCTTGATGAGTGATGGGTTTTTGACCCATTCCTGCTGCCCCTTCTGGGAAAACTGGGCAGCCCCAGGCTGTGTCAATGTCACCAGCTGAATTGTGTTACCCAAAATTCCAAGACTGAAGTCCTAACCAGAATCTCAGGATGTGACCTTCTTTGGAGATAGGGCCTTTACCAGGAAATTAAGGTAAAATGAGGCATTACGGTGGGCCTTAATCCAATGACTGGTGTCCTTATAACAAGAGGAGATTGGGACACAGGCTTACACACACATCCTTAGGGAAGAGGGAGGAGACAGCTATCTACCATCCGAGGAGAGATGCCTCAGGAGAAACCAAACCTGCCAACACCTTAGTCTCTGCCTTGCTGCCTCCAGGACTGCGAGGAAATTCATTTCTGAGGGTTCAGCCACCCAGCCTGCAGCACCTGCTATGACATCCTCGGAAAATGAAGACTGTGTGCCCTTTTTTCTACCTCCTGTGGTTCGAGGGCAGACCCAAGCCCGGGATAAAGCACGCTAGGTTTGGAATTCACTCCCACACTCCTTAAGATAGTTCCTACATAACCTTTGCTGAATTCCTCTAGCTTTCCATGCCTCTGTTTTCTCACTGGTAAAGTTGGGATCCTACGGCCTTCATCATGAAAGCTGTTAAGAAGATTGAGTTCATGTGAAGTTTAGAACAATGCCTGATACAGAGAAGCACTCAATAATGATGTTGGCTCCTACTACTATTTTTATTAGGAGACTTTTATTCATTAAGCAAGTATTTATTGAGCATCTGCTATGCCCTAGGGACAAACAGACCTAGATGACACTCATCTGGTTTAGTTGAATGGACCTAGCTGCAGGTACTACTTGGCCTGGAGGGGATCCGTCGGTATCCTCTTGGCTCCAGGAGCATCTCCTATTGCTGCACCCCAAGGGCCTGAATTGTTGCTGGTGTACATTAGGCACTCAACAACTGCACAGTGAAACAAAGCCAGAAGGCTGACCCCCATTGGCTCAGTCCAGCCCTTTCCTTGCTACTGCTCAGATAGAGCTTGGAGCCTCCCTCTTGCGCAGCTGGGCAAGGCCAGGGCAGCTCTCACTTTTCGGCAAACCCTGCCCCTTCCTCGGTCCCCAGGTTCAGTGGTCCCTGGAGCCCACTCCCTGATGTCCTCTTCCTCACACAAAGATCCTGAAAGGCAACCTTAATTCCCACAGCCTACTCCTGGCCTTTGCTACATTCATTCATCCATTTGACTCACTCTTTTTTTTTTTTTTTTTTTTTTTTTTGAGCTGGAGTCTCGCACTGTCGCCCAGGCTGGAGTGCAGTGGTGCAATCTCAGCTCACTGCAACCTCTGCCTCCCGGGTTCAAGTGATTCTCCTGCCTCAGCCTCCCGAGTAGCTGGGATTATAGGCGCCTGCCACCACACCCAGCTAACATTTTGTATTTTTGGTAGGGATGGGGTTTCACCATGCTGGCCAGGCTGGTCTCGAACTCCTGACCTCGTGATTCGCCCACCTCGGCCTCCCAAAGTGCTGAGATTACAGGCATGAGCCACTGCGCCTGGCCAACTCACCTTTTCTTTATGGAGAAAATGGGCTCTGTGTTTCGGCTGAGGGTCGGCTACATGCCTGCATGAACCAAGAGAGCGAGGCTACACGCACAGCAGCTCTGCAGACTCCAGGGCTGAATGCTCCTGAGGGCAGCACAAAGCCCTGTGGGAGCAGCAAAGGGGAGGGTCTGCCTCACACTCAGGTATTAGGAAGATCTGTGCCCCTTCTCCCTAAGGTAAAGTTTGACTTGGGCCTTAAAGAGGGTATCTGAGTTTGACAATGGAGAAGGACTCAAGACCAGGGGTCCTACAGGGCCTGTGTACCTCCAACAGGGAAGGCTGATCCCAGCTTTAACTCGGTTACCTCATCCTGCCACCATAATGCTGCAACCTCCTTGAGTGAGACTTCTTTTTTTTTTTGGACAGAGTCTCACTCTGTCACCCAGGCTGGAGTAGCTGGGACTAGAGGTATGCACCACTATGCCCAGCTAATTTTTTTGTATTTTTCGTAGAGACAGGGTTTCGCCATGTTGAACAGGCTGGTCTCGAACTTCTGACCTCAAGTGACCCACCCTCCTTGGCCTCCCAAAGTGCTGGGATTACAGGCATGAGCCACCATACCCGGCCGAGTGAGACTTCTTGCGTGGTACATGTTAGGGCCCCTGCAGGACAGAGCCAGCAGGTCGGCTTTATAGGACCAGTACATGCTGCTGAGGTCCTACTCACTAGGAAGTGTCACGGCCCTCAGCCTTAGGCCCCAGTACTCATCAAAAAGGGACTCATGGGTGAGAATGACCAACATGGCTTGTGTCCTTGTAGGCCAGTCAGGGAAAGCCTGTGCTGTAAGGCTGAGATCAATGTCCCACCTTCAGCCAAGGGCCAAGGCCCCCGGGTCTCCACATAGGGAAACCAGAAGAACTGGTCCCTTGGGCTCCTTGGAGTTACCAATCCAGAGGACTGCAGCAGGACTAGGTCCGCCTTTGCAGTTAACCATGTTTGATTACAGCACTTTAGAGTCCATAACTGCACTGTCTGAATAATCATCACAGCCGCTGCCATGAACTGAACTCTTACTATTCCAGGAATGGCTCATATTTTTCACAGACTTTTAACAGTATGATTCTTGAAGGTTTAGGTCATTCTGAAAGTTGATATGCCAATGACAAAAAAAAAATAGCAAGAAAAGAAAAACAACATTTTTTTTTATCATGAACCTACCTTCATTGTATCTGAATATACGTACCGTGCAAGAAGGCTCACTCGGCCTGGCGCGGTGGCTTATGCCTGCAATCCCAGCACTTTGGGAGGCTAAGGCAGGTGGATGTCATGTAGGAGCTGGTTGAAAACTGAATTCCCTTAAAGTACATGTGATGTTTGAGACATTCTGCTGGAATGTAGAATTGACATTCGGGCTGAGGCAGCATTTCCATAGTTCCTCCTGGCCCCGGTCAGTTATGCACAGATGGTACAAAGGGTTCATTCAGCAGGAGAACCTGAGGCCTAGCAGCCTGTCCAAACCCTGCAGCAGGTAAGGGGGGTTCTGTTCTCGTTTTCTTCTGCTGCCAATCCAGCACTTTATATTCTAAAGAAGAATGCAAATTTCCAAGAAAAGCCAGAGAATCAATTAACTAAAGTATCGTATTTTCCTTTGTAAGTGATTTTGAATCCTGTCTGGAACAAAGTGGGCACACATATATACATGCATGCATAACATGCATTAGCTAATGAATTATGGTAGAAGACCCTGCTTACTTATTTTCCATCAGTCAAGCTATAATCATGCTCATTAAATTTGTGATGTAAGAAATTGATTTTGTGGGAAAATTTGTTTTTGTTTTTGTTGTTTTCACCTTTTAGTGGGCAGATCGTTGGAGAAGGCCTGGAGAGGAGCAGCTGGCAGAGGCGGCTCCTTGAAAACAGAGCAGCACTCGTGGCCGGGCGCGGTGGCTCACACCTGTAATCCCAGCACTTTGGGAGGCCAAGGTGGGCAGATCACGAGGTCAGGAGATCAAGACCATCCTGGCTAACACGGTGAAACCCCGTCTCTACTAAAAATACAAAACGTTAGCCGGGCATGGTGGCGGGTGCCTGTAGTACCAGCTACTCGGGACGCTGAGGCAGGAGAATGGCGTGGACGTGGGAGGCAGAACTTGCAGTGAGCCGAGATGGCGCCACTGCACTCCAGCCTGGGTGACAGAGCAAGACTCTGTCTCAAAAAAAAAAAAAAGAACAAAAAAAAACAGAGCAGCACTCAACCACAATTGCCCCTCAGCCCTTCCACTGGTCCCATGAGAGTAAGCATTTCTCCCGGGCACAGTCTGTTTTCGTCTGTATCTGTATCCCCAGGCATCCGTCCATGCCTGACCCTTGCGAACTGCTCATAGTGCTGATGAATGAATGCACCGACGAAAGAATGAATTGGAAAACCCAGTTTCCTCAGTACTGTCAAATTCTAATTTCCAGTCCTCTTTAGCACCTGCTCAGACCAGCAAAGAACAGAACTTGAGCCACAGATGGTGATTGGATTTGGGCAACATGGCCCCATATATGGGTCTATCTCCCACTAGGAGCTGGTGCAAGTGACAGGGAAAAGTCCCAGAAAAGTCTTTCTTGGTGAATTAGCCTGTTTGTTGCAACACTTTTGTAGGTGTAATTCCATCTCTTTTTTCTCTAAAGGAACATGCAGAGAGAAATGAGGCGGGGACAATTGGCTCACATGTTGTCAGATGATGTCCCTTGAGAAGTCCCTGGACTGCTGAGACCTCTCCCATTGCCCAGTCCATAGTCAGAGAGGCCCCAGTATCCCCATGCTGCCCACCACGAGCTCCCTCTGTTGCAACAGTAACTTGTGCCCCAGCGCTTGCTCCCCCTAAGCTTCTTGTAAGTCTCTGTCTGACAGCCCTGTGTCTTCGCACAATGTCTGGTATGCCATGAGGATTTAATAAGTAACCAATAAGTGATAGGATGAATGTCTATTTGTTGGATTGAGCTGTGAGGGTGGTAAAGGTCTACATTCTCCGTGGATCTAAGGACTGCCTTTTTTTTTTTTTTGAGACGGCGTCTTGCTCTGTCACCCAGGCTGGAGTGCAGTGGTGCAATCTCAGCTCACTGCAAGCTCTGCCTCTCGGGTTCACGCCATTCTCCTGCCTCAGCCTCCTGAGTAGCTGGGACTACAGGCGCCCGCCACCATGCCCGGCTAATTTTTTTGTATTTTTAGTAGAGACAGGGTTTCACCATGTTAGCCAGGATGGTCTCGAACCCCTGACCTTGTGATCTGCACACCTCGGCCTCCCAAAGTGTTGGGATTACAGGCATGAGCCACTGCGCCTGGCCCAGAACTATCTCTTAGTCATCTTGATACTGTTAGCATCTAGAGTTGTTCTTCAGTAAACAGCAAATAAATGCATTCCTCAGATAAATATCTTTCAATGCCTTAAAAATGAATCTAATTTTATTGTTGAGGTTATTCAGTTATAGCAATCCTTTAAAGACAATGAAAAGGGAATAAACCCTAAAACCAAAAGACCTGGGTTAAAATCTCACTTCTATGTAGGGAATTTGGTCCCATTCTTAGACTTAGCCTCCAGCTCAGAATTGGACAGAGAGAGGTTGGAAGAGACCCAGAGAGGCTGTCCTGTGGAAAATGAACATCTTGAGTGTCTTGAGAAAATTAGCAAACCTTGCTGAGCTTCAGTTTCTTCCCATGTAAAATAATTCCTGCTATTGTCCATGCAGGAAGCATTGTATTCTGCACAGCCAGCAACAGGAACAGCAGAAATGTCATTCTTTCCCCTGTGTTTCAGTGTCTTCCAATTTCAGATAATGAGTTTGGACCAGATGGTCGCTAATGGTTATTCCAGCTCAATATTTGCTAATTTTCTAAAAACTGAAGAAAGGAGCTTGGGGGTGTGTTTTGGGGCAATGTCTTGCAAGACTGAGACATGAGGGGGACATCAGATCGGGGGCCTTGGGGAGTCAAGGTCAGGCCTAAGTTATATTCTTGCCCGTCTCTGCCCTCTTCCTCCCCCGACCTCGCTGTCCTCATAGCCACCCTATTTTAATATGCTTGGCCTGATCCCCAGCTAGATCAATTTCATTTCAGGAACTTTGATACCTGAGCTGTGGCTCTGGAAACTATATCTCCAGAGGCAACACAATTCACCAAAAACTAATCGCTGGTGTCAATTGGTATTTAAAAAGTTAGACACAATTTCAACCAAAAGCAGATGCTTGACATTTTAATGGGATGTTACCACATTTATGAATTCCGATACGCCTGAAAAAGTATTTCTTAAGGAATTTAAGAGACCCTTCTTTGTTACTTTTATGAACCCTGAGGCATACGGGTTAGCTACTCATCTTCTAGTAGTTCACAGACTCTGCAAAGCATGTGGCATGATGGAAAGAATGAGACCTGAAATGGGAAGGAAAGCCCCATGTTCAAAAGTTCATTCCTTCTCCTACTAATTTGTTACTTAAATGTCGGTTTCTTCACAGTGGAAATAGATCTTTTTTGCTCACCTTGTAGGATGCCATATGGCTTGGAAGTAAGACAATCCAAACACCGAGCCTCACACCTGGCTCTGGAACAGAACTGTTAGCTCTGCTGCTTATCACTCTGCTGTTCTCTGATCATAAAATGATTCATTGTTGGCTGGGCACAGTGGCTCACGCCCGTAATCCCAGCATTTTGGGAGGCCGAGGCAGGTGGATCACGAGATCAGAAGTTCAAGACTAGCCTAGTCAAAATATTGAAACCCCGTCTCTACTAAAAATACAAAAATTAGCCATGTGTGGTGGCAGGCACCTGTAATCCCAGCTACTCGGGAGGCTGAGGCAGAGAACTGCTTGATCCCGGGAGGCAGAGATTGCAGTGAGCCAAGATCATGCCACCGCACTCCAGCCTGGGCAACAGAGTGAGACTCCATCTGTCTCTCTCTCTCTCTCTCTCTCTCTCTGTGTGTGTGTGTATATATATATATATATATATATATATATATATATATATATATATATATATATATATGGCAAAAATGGATAGCTCCTTATCACTTTTAATTTGCCTCTCTCTGAATCTTCTGCTGTGTTTGACGATGTTATAGGCTGGCATCATGCCCAATTTGGCCAAGAAGAATTGGTCTCCTGGTCAGGAAGGTCTTTTCCCTACAAATTCATGGAATGACCAAGGGACTCTCCAGATGTATCTAGTTAAAAGAATAATCTGTCCGTCCTGCACAGCACACTTCCTATCCACATTTAGAATGTTTATGCTGAGAAAGCACCACTGTTTATATTCAATTGACCAAGCTCAGGAAATGGTTCATCAAATTGGCCAGCCATTTAATTTTCTTGGGATACAGTCTTCATGATTATGCAGTTCCTAAATTTAATAAGTCTGACTATGCACAAATTTTCTTTCTTTCTTTTTTTTTTTTTTATTTTGAGACGGAGTCTTGCTCTGTCGCCCAGGCTGGAATGCAGTGGTGCGATCTTGGCTCACTGCAACCTCCGCCTACCGAGTTCAAGGGATTCTTGTGCCTCAGCCTCATGAGTAGCTAAGATTTCAGGTGCATGCCACCACGCTGGCTAATTTTTGTATTTTTAGTAGAGATGGGGTTTCACCATGGTGGCCAGGCTGTTCTCGAACTCCTCCTGACCTCAGGTGATCTGAGCGCCTCGGCCTCCTGAAGTGCTGGAATTACAGGCGTGAGCCACCACATCCAGCCTATTTGTTTTAACTGATATCTTCGTTTCTGGATGTGAGCTCAGCAGATGAGTTCCTTGCTCATATCTGGGAGGGAGAGGGCCATGTGAAAACATTACTTGATGAGTTTTATGAAGGACGTAGGAGGGGAACGACAGTGGGGCCCTGTCCATCCTGAAGGGGACAGAGCGGTATTCTTGGAGGACAGCACTAAGCAAGTCTTGAGGCATAAGCAGGGCACTGCAATAATGAACACCTTCTTACACGTTTCAAAAAGGAAAAGTCAATGTGTTGCTCTTCCTAAAATGTTTTCGGAATTGTTTGTCATTAGCTATGTGTTGCTATGGATTTGAATTCTTTCCATAATTAAAATAAACTCTAACAAGTAAAAAAATATTTTTTAAAAAACAAGATGATGGGGAAAGGCTCTTTAATGTACCCTTTGTGTTTGTAACAGAAAGGAAACAGAACAGAAAACAAACCATCGAATTGAAACCAGCACTTTCCTGCAGGTTAATGAGACATCCTCGCAAACACTAGAAAAAGCAGGTCACACCTCGGTGAGGATCCCATCTACCCACACACATCCCTCTTTAAAGGCCCTGTAATAATGAATCTGCTTTTGTGAGTGAGCAGACATGCCCCACCCCAGTCTTCCTCTAGGACTTTTCCCCCTGCTGTGAGCTGATCCCTGAAGCTGGAGGGGCTGTACTTTCCCACCTAAACCATTATCTCCCCTCCACTCTCAGCGCAGGGCAAGTGCCAACCTCACTCCACTACCCTCAGATGTCAGGCAGGCCGTCAGCCCAGGAGCTAGGAATGCAGGGGTGAAGGCTGCCTTTTCCAAACAGGCAAATGGAATAACTCTGACAAGAGTTGGTGTCTGGCAAACCTAGTGACATCCAGCAAACCTAGCCTGTGGGCAAGATGAGTGTCCTGTCCTGTTGTCTGGCGACTCTGGTGACTCTCCAGTATCAGACGAAAGAAATATCTCCCTTCTGAGACAATGTACACCTGCCTGAACTGGCCTGAAACAAGAGGTGGTAAAATTTCTCCCTCGGTAACATGTGGGTGATGGGATTCTGGATGAAATTTTTTCTATTATCTTAACTTTCAGTGCACTGATTAGATTGTTATTACATTTAATTGGGGGGAGAAACTGGAAGAAGGCTATAGAACTTTTTTTTTTTTTTGAGACTGAGTCTAGCTCTGTCACCCAGCCTGGGGTGCAGTGGCGCAGTCTCGGCTCACTGCAACCTCTGCCTCCCATGTTCATGCAATTCTCCTGCCTCAGCCTCCTGAGTAGCTGGGATTACAGGTGTATGCCACCACGCCCGGCTAATTTTTGTATTTTTAGTAGAGACGGGATTTCACCATGTTGGTCAGGCTAATCTCGAACCCCTGACCTTGTGATCCGCCCACCTTGGCCTGCCAAAGTGCTGGGATTACAGGGGTGAGCCACTGCGCTCGGCCAGAATTTTTTATTACTATGCACATGTTGCAGGAAAATGAAAAGTTAGCCTGCCTTTCCAGTATATGAAAATGTGAATTGCTTTGTGTATATGTTTGAAAAGATGTACAGGAATATATACTTAAAGTCCTGCCATAACCAGCTGCTCTTGAGCATTTGTTTCAGTGGGCACCCCCCACCCCCATCCTGCACTCTTTAGGCTGCCACTGGCTGCCCCCACTGCACAGTCCTCTGGAGACCACCCCGGAGGCTGTGTGCAGGGTCAACCAGGAACCCCACCTGCCCACCCCAGGACCAGGGCAAAGGTCCAGGAACCCACACCCCCTCCCCAACCCATGACACCTACAGCCACGGGCATTGTGGTCCTTGTCCCCACTGCCCAGTCACTGCCTGGTGCCGCCTGAGGTTGCCTTCCTTTGGCTGGTCTGGGCAGGGCCCTCAGGAGGGAGGCCAAGATGTGCCCATGTGAGTGCCTGCTGAGGCGACAGGTAGGGCAGGCAAAGGGCAGGAGATGAAGGAGCAGGGATGGTGCAGGGAAGGAAGGGCTCTGGAGACGGTCGCAATGAGGGGTGGGGATGCCCCTGGGTGGAGGCATGGAGGGAACCTGCATCCAGCAGGGATGCTGCCGGGTGAGAAGGCTCAAGGGAGGGGCGAGTGTAGGTGGGCTGCCCCACCACAGGCTGCTTCCTGAGTCTGGCCTGTCCGTCCTTGGTGGCTCTGGCTCCCCAGGCCCCAAGAGCAGAGGCCAGCATGGACACGACCCAAGTAAGCAGGCAGCACTTGTGGGGTAGACAGGGACGGGGTAAGGAGTGCTGTCACTGCTCTGAGCAGCTGCACAGAAGCAGGCCCTACAGGCAGCCCTCTGGCTGGAGTTCTAAGGGCCTGGAAGAAGCGGGTGGCTAGGAGGCAGTTCTTGGCATCCTGGCCTCCAGGAAGGCAGGTACACACTGTGGGAGCACCAGCCTTGTCCTCCAGAGCATCACAATTCAGCGCTGAGTCAGGATGTAGATGGTTGTGGGAGGAGACCTTGAGCAGCCAGTGAGCCTCTGTGCACCAGGGCACCCTGTAGCCCCTGCCTTTACCGGGGATCAAGAACGAAGGCCCAGCCAGGATTGCTGGCTATAATCACCCTCACCCAGCACAGCTAGAAAGCTGTCCCCACCCAGAGGACGGGGATGCCCAGAGTGCCTGGAGGATGTAGACCGTGGAGGATCTGAGCCCACTCACCCGGAGTGACACCTGGGCTTCTGCAGAGCCAGTCAGGACATCAGGACACTACGTTGAGTTTCTGGGATCTGGTGGGGAAGCATGGGCATCCCACTCAAGAGATTTCAATGCAGCTCCACACCTCTGGCCATGAGCCCTAGTTCCTGCCTTCCCTCTCAGGGGTCCCCTTTCCTTTTTTGCAGCTCACAATGAGTATCCAGGCCTGAGCATCCTTCCAGGGGTCAGTGAAACCATTTATGTATAGCACCTTGCACCGTGCCCAGCTGAGCCAGTGAGATCCAGTGTCTTCCAAGCCACCAGCCTTCTCTAGGGTGATTCCACATGAATTCTGGGCAGGTCCAGCCTCACTGATTGCCTTGAACAGAAATAGCAGCTCCCTGCTTCCCCAGCAGGCTCTGAACACTTCTCTGCATTTTTTAAATGCTGCAGGCACTCCTCTGAAAGACTCAGCATCAGCTCTGTGTAAAGCAAGAGGGGTTTTAGTAAATCCCGAACCACTCAATACCCTCTCCAGGATATATCCTCCACCCACCATGGAATTTACAAATGAGTAACAAGTAAGAAGGTGTGCTGGCTTAGGGGCACCCAGCCCTGAACTCAAATATTACCTCTTTGGTGAATAGCTGTGTGGCCTGGGCAAGTTGCTTAACTTCTCTGAAGTTGTTTCCTTACCTGCACAATAAGAGCAGGCATTTAGGAGAAGGTTAAACTGAATAGCATCCATGAAAGTACTAGGTATACTTCCTGGTGACTATGAGCTTCCTTTTCCTAAGAGCACGGGAACTTTTCCTGTAATCTAGAAATGGGAATATCTGAGGTAACTCAGGTGGGGATTCTAATTTCCATTCAGCCATGGAGGGTGCATCAATGGCCTGGAACAAAGCCACCCATTCACCAGCCACATTTGGGGGAACCTCCCTTGTACCAACCCATAGATAAGGCACTGGGAATGTAAACATGAATATGGCTTCTGCTCTCGGGTAGCTGTCATTGTGGGGGTCTGGGATTGGGGTACATACAAAAGGGTAAAAACCAACTAGAACACAAGGAGATAAGTGCAGCAACTGCCATACTCATCTAGTGCTTACCCTGTGTCAAGTGTTAAATACTTCCCACATTTCCATTCAATGAATGATCACACATCCCTACAAGGAACTCAGATATTAACCCCATATTTTTTTTTAAGACAGAATCTCACTCTGTCACCCAGGCTGGGGTGCAATGGTGCGATCTTGGCTCACTGCAATCTCCGCCTCCCGGGTTCAAGCAATTCTGCTGCCTCAGCCTCCCGAGTAGCTGGGACTACAGGCATGCACCGCCACGCCCAGCTGATTTTTGTATTTTTAGCAGAGACGGGGTTTCACCATGTTGGCCAGGATGGTCTCCATCTCCTCACCTCGTGATCTGCCTGCCACGGCCTTCCAAAGTGCTGGGATTACAGGCATGAGCCACGCACCCAGCCATTAACCCCATTTTAAGGATAAGAAGAGTGAGGCACAGAGATGTTCCAATTTTGACAGCTACAGAGCGGCAGAGTAAGATATAGACCCAGGCCGTCCCGCACCCAGTTCATGCCCTTGACCACTTGTACCAAAGACACTTGACTAATTCAATCAGCAAGTACACAGGCCTCCAGAGGAGGGAAGTTTAATTCTATGTAGAATCCTGCAGGCTGAGTTCGGGAGTAAATAAGGCCTTGATGCACAGAGAAGGTGGGAGAGGCATTCCAGAGAGAAGGCACAGGTTGAGCGAAGATGCAATGGCAAGAAGCTTGAAGGCCAAAGGTCACATAGAGGGACAGTCCCGGAGGGGATGTGAGGAAGTCAGGACAGGGACAAAATGGGAATGGAGGCCTCCAAAGTCCCACTCACTTCATTACAGGAGAATCTAATTACGCTATTCATAGATGGGAAAAGGCAGCCAGGCAGCAGAGCAGCAGCGCCAAAGGAACAGAGGAGATCAAGGGGAAGGTGTCCGTGTCTGCAAGATGAGGTGCTCAGAGCAGGGGGTGCAGGGCTAGCTGGGAGACGCGTCTGGAAGGGCAGTGGGTGAGGGCCAGAAGTGGCTACATCTTGGAGGTCACGGGGAGCCCTTGACATACCCCCAACACCACCTACCAAGACTGACACTGTCAGGTGTGTGGCAAGCAGCATGCACAGTGGGCTACTGTGAAAAGACGCATGTGCTCAAGTGCATGTGTGTACAGAAAGAGACGTCCAAGGGTATCAACAACACCTTAGTGAGAATATCTTGAGGCTCTTGAGACAGGTTGACCATTTTCTTTCTTTTTTTTGCGGGGGGGGACGGAGTCTTGCTCTGTTGCCCAGGCTGGAGTGCAGTGGCACGATCTCCACTCACTGCCACCTCCGCCTCCTGGGTTCACGACATTCTCCTGCCTCAGCCTCCGGAGTAGCTGGGACTACAGGCGCCCACTACCACGCCCGGCTAATTTTTTATATTTTTAGTAGAGACGGGATTTCACCGTGTTAGCCAGGATGGTCTCGATCTCCTCACCTCGTGATCCACCTGCCTCGGCCTCCCAAGGCCCTGGGATTACAGGCGTGAGCCATCACGCCCGGCCATTTTCTGATACTTTTCTTAAGGCTTGCTAGTACCTTCAGGCTGCTGTAACAAAGTACCATGGACTGGATGGCTCGCACACAACAGAAATTTATTTCTTGCAGTTCTAGTGGCTGAAAGTCCAAGATTAAGGTGCCAGGACATTCGCTGTCTGGGGAGGGCCCACTTTCTCGTTCATTGATGATGCCATCTCCCTGTGTCTTCACATGACAGAAGGGGTGAGTGAGCTCTAAGAGCACTTATCCCATCACGCAAGTCGAGCACTGAGAAGCTATGCAGTCCCTGAAGGCCCACTCCTGGACAGAAATCTCCGTGTTTCTCTTTGTTCTGGTCTTGACTGAATCTAAACAAGTGAAAGGCAGTTCTTGAGCCTGTGTAACCCCCTAACCTGGCCCAAGTTCCAAACACACCTGGATCTTCGCCTTTTTCATCTGTTAATTGTGGCCAATAAAAATACCTTCCTTGGCCGGACGCGGTGGCTCACGCCTGTAATCCCGGCACTTTGGGAGGCCGAGGCGGGCGGATCATGAGGTCAGGAGATCGAGACCATCCTGGCTAACACGATGAAACCCCATCTCTACTAAAAATACAAAAAATTAGCCGGGCGTGGTGGTGGGCACCTGTAGTCCCAGCTACTCGGGAGGCTGAGGCAGGAGAATGGTGTGAACCCGGGAGGCGGAGGTTGCAGTGAGCCGAGATCGCGCCGCTGCACTCCAGCCTGGGCTACAGAGCGAGACTCCGTCTCAAAAGAAAAAAAAAAACTTCCTCCCAGGTTTTAGTCGTTTTTTCCCCGGCACCCCTGCTTGCCACGTGGTAAATGTTCAATACAACTAATATCAATAATGACTCAAGTTTATTGATTACCACCTCTCTCTTTCCTCCATGGAGTGCTTACTGGGAGGATGGAGTCTCTTGGGGTGCGTGGCTTTCCCATACATCAGCATCAGCCATCGCGAGACCCCACGGGCCAGCAGTGTGGACGGGGAGACAAGTGAGGCCTCCCAGCCAGAACAGCTCAGCCTGCCAGGAGAAGCAGAAACCCCCCAAAGTAATCACTTCTCGAGTGCCTTCGAGACCCCAGATGTTGGGAAAACAACTATTTTCCCTTGTGTAAGACATGGCCAGTTTCTTTCCATCTCCTAAACAAATCAAATACAACCCTGAGCCCTCCTCCTTCCAGCCTGGCAGAAAATCCAGCCTTGACATTCTGTGGACTCTCTCTGCCCCACAGGGAGTTACCAAAGCCCTGGGAGCTTTTTCAAATTTTGATGGATAGCAAACATTTTAAAAAAAGACAAAAAATCAAATTATCATGAAGTGGACACGCCCATGTAACCACTTCCCAGGTCCAGAAAGAACAACAGTCATCCAGGACCACCCCCACATCCCTCCCAGCATCCACACCTCCCAGGCCCCACAAAGACCACTGTCCTGACCGCTGCCTCCCTCCCTGGGGCCCGGCCAGAGCCGTCTTCCTTCTGTTGACTCTGTTGGTGCCATCCTCATCCCACTGCCCGGGTGACTCGTCTGCCAAATGCAAGAATCGAATGGGGAGAGGAGTCTAGCGTACCCCCTGAACCCTGAGCCCCAAAGCAGGAGTTTTAGCCACATAGCTTTGGGTTTTCCCAGGATCCCTCGGGTGCCTGGGGCGCAGGATGCCAGGGTATAGGAGCTCTGCTCTCATGACGGGTGAATCCCCTGGTTCTCCTGTAAGTGCAGAGATGCTAGGGTAGTTCCCACACTCAAATATTCCCCGAGCCAGGGCTGGGCGCCTGTGGGAATCCCAGCAATCCTACAGTTTCACTGAAGTCCTATAATTTCCCGTACCCTGCCTCTATTTCAGGGACCTGCTGCTCAGAATGTGGAAATGCAGATGTGGTTTGCTTGTGTTGCCATTGTTCTCGTGAGCTGTAAGGCAGTGATTACAGGCTCCGTGGGCGGCAGGGAGCAGCCAACTGGATTGACGGCACATTCTTAGCTTATTTTAAAATCAGTAACAGCATTAATAAAAATCCTGTGCCTTCCCATTTACTTTTTCTTCCAAAAGAAAAAATACTGTACTTCCTAGCAGTCTGTGGCTGGAGTGGGAAGAAAGGAGAAATCATTTGAAAGTGTGAGGAATATCAGAGGAAATTTTAGAAAGGACCCTAGGCCATCTCTAGCTTTCTCATAGCAGTGACCCTGTTCCTCCCCCCAGATTGGGACACTTTAATTTTTTTTTTTTTTTTCAAGACAAAGGAGTCTCGCTCTGTTGCCCAGGCTGGAGTACAGTGGTGTGATCTCGGCTCATTGCAACCTCCACCTCCCAGGTTCAAGCAATTCTTGTGTCTCAGCCTCCTGAGTAGCTGGGATTACAGGTGTGTGCCAGGACACCCAGCTAAGTTTTTGGTATTTTTAGTAGAGAAAGGGTTTCACTGTGTTGGCCAGCCTGGTCTCGAACCTGTAACTTCAAGTGGTCAGCCCACCTCGGCCTACCAAAGTGCTGGGATTACATGCGTGAGCCACCGGCCCGGATGATTCACTTCTTAATAAATCATCCAACCCAATGATTTGGTTCCAAAAGAAACAGATAACATTCAAACACTGTTTCCTCTAGTTCATACTGTAAGACAATGTATTTTAGATACATTTTGCTTGAAATCCACAAACTTGTCAAATACCCACCTGGGTAGAGGAGGACAGCAGAACTGAAGGGCAAGAGGGCTCAGCCAGACTTCCCTCCCCGAGCTCCCGGGAGAAGGTTAATCACTTCGATCTAAACCAGGCAGGGCAGAGACCTAGGAGGCAGGAAGTCAGTTTAAAGGATGTGACATTGGCATTTGCCCAGCGGGTGATGGGAGAGGGAGGTTGAGGTCGTAACACTTCATTTTCATTCTGCATCTTACAAAGACTCCGACCTCTGAGCTAAACTGACTTGGGCCAGCTCCCACCTAGTGAACCTCAGCTCCTCCTCCTCAAGTGAGGCTGTCACCTTGCAGGTAAGCAGAGAGTTTGTGAGTCTAAAAGGAGAGAAACTCTAGGAGAGGAAAGGCTCTGTAGCCATGGGCCTGGAGGAGCCTGAGGCTCTATTTGTGGAATGAGTGTGTTAGAGGAACTGGGGGTCTGGACCAGATAAGAAAGTCCCCAGCTTTAGGCAGTACATGTGTCCAGTAGAGGCAGCAGACAGACTTGCTGGCCAGAGGGGCTGAAGCCATCATTCGGGCCCCAAGGCCAGAGGGTCCAAGGCACATGATAGAGATGGCCGGCGTGACTGAGAGGCATGAAGTTGGAAATAAAAAATAAATTATGGAATCAGAGAGAAGTATGGGTTGTTTTCCATGGACTATGCCTGATATTCTTGTTCAATTTAACCTGATTTAGAACTGGTTCAGTTTTATCATTTTATTTGTACAAACTTATGGAGTACAAGTGTAACTTTGTTACATAGATATATTGTTGTATTAGTCTGTTTTCACACTGCTATAAAGATACCACACAAGATTGGGTAATTAAAAAAAAGAAAGAGGCTTAATTGACTCACAGTTCTGCATTGTTGGGGAGATCTCATGAACCTTACAATCATGGCAGAAGGGGAAGCAGTCACCTTCTTCAGAAGGCAGCAGGGGAGAGAGTGCAAGTGAAGGAGTGACTGCCCAACACTTATAAACATATCAGATCTTGTGAGAACTCCCTCACTATCACTAGAACAGCATGGGAAAAGCTGCCTCCATGATCCAATCTCCCTCCACCAGGTCCCTCCCTCGACACAACATGTGGGGATTACAGTTCCAGATGAGATTTGGGTGGGGACACAGAGCTGAACCATATCAATTGTGTAGAGGTATTTTAGTGTATCCAACATCCAAATAATGTACATTATACCTATTAAACAATTTCTCATCATCCACCCCTCTTCTTCCCTCCACCCTTCTGAGTCTCCCTTCTGAGTCTTCATGGAACTGGTTCATTTTTGTGTGAAACTGTAAACACAAACCACTCCCAAGGACTTGGAATTTCCAGAGTGGCCCCCTTCTGCCTCTTAGGACTCAATTGCAAACCACATACAAGAAAAGGTGATCGTACTGTCTTATTTTAAGTCTCAATTTCATCATCTCCAAGCTTGGCAACAAAGCAAAGGACAAGAAAGAAAAGTATGAAGCTGTCTTTTTTAGAAAAAGAAAGAAGCATCAGGCCAGACAAGGTGGCTCACGCCTGTAATCCTAACACTTTGGAAGACCAAGCAGGCGAATCACTTGAGGTCAGGAGTTTGATCCCGGCCTGGCCAAAATGGTGAAACTCCGTCTATACTAAAAATGCAAAAATTAGACCAGGCGCTGTGGCTCACGCCTGTAATTCCAGATCGCACCACTGCACTCCAGCCTGGGCAACAGGGCGAGACTCCGTCTCAAAAAAAAAAAAAAAAATTAGAAACTTCAAAAGTACCCTTTGAAAAAAGTCTTGTTACCTCATTTTATTTATTATGTATGTATTTATTTATTTATTTTGAGATGGAGTCTCACTCTATCACCCAGGCCAGAGTGCAGTGGTATGATCTCGCCTCACTGCAACCACCATCTCCTGGGTTCAAGTGTTCTCCCTCCTCAGCCTTCCGGGTATCTGGGATTACAGAAGTGTACCAGCACGCCCAGCTAATTTTTGTATTTTTGTAGAAATGGGCTTTTGCCATGTTGGCCAGGCTAGTCTTGAACTCTTGACCTCGGGTGATCTGCCCACCTCGGCCTCCCAAAATGCTGGGGTTACAGGCATGAGCAACCATGCCCAGCCATTACCTCATTTTATAAATGAGAAAATTGAGCCTCAGGATTCTAAACGGCTTCCTCAAGGCCAGAAAAGTGAGTGACACTCCAGCATCAATCCCACGCTCAGCCTCAACCCTGTTGCTTCTCCCAAGCCTAAGTTTGCTCTCAAACTTTTTCCCTAGAGAATCTCTACTTACCAAGGCTCTGAGGATAGACCTGCGTACACAATTCAGATTTGTCCAACACATACATGAAATATTTTAGATGATTCATCGTTTATTTTACAAAATTCTTGTGAGTTGGGCATTTAGTCCATAATTCATGTGGGTTTATTTTGAGGTTTTGTGTTGAAATGATTAGATAACAACTGGAGTTCCCCTGAGAAAAGCTGCAAACATCTAGACATCACATCCTGGAGCCTGCTGTCCTTAGGGATATTTTAGCAGGGCTGGTAAGAATAGCAGAGGTGTCCTAAGGCCTCGTGTACCCATGGGTTCCAGTAAAATTGGCCAATGGGAGGAGGAGGGGCACCAAGGCTGCGTGATGTGTGGCCCAGCCCCTGGGAGCTGCAAGACACTGGATGAGTGGCTTTCTGAATCTCAGTTTCTGATCCTGTTAAAGAGGGCTAATTACCCTGCCCCTGCCCTGCTTGAGTTTATGAGAGGGTCCAAATGAGATTGATACATGTAAAACTGCCTCACAAAGATGGTAGAAACCTTTGATTTTGGCCCAGTAGGGTGAGAGGAGCCTCCCATTACTCAAGGCCAGTGACAGAGCCATCTGTCTTGCTGTGGAGCTGGCCATGGGCATTCCCACTGAGCCTCAAAATAGGGGCAACAGGCAAGAAGTGATGCTTCCAGGGTTGGCTCCAGGGCCTGGGCCACCCCTTGACACTGTTGCCCTTAATGAAGGTCTCTGCCCAGGAGCAGACAACAAACAGGGTGGGTGAAGGGGCAGCCTGAGATAATAAGCCCAGAGGGGCTGATCCTCGCTTCTAAGGAGCCCAGAGGGAGGAGGAAAGGTCCAGAGTACCCCGCACAGGAGGAATGCAGTGCCAATTAAGTGCCTGCTGCACACCATCCTCTTCCTAATTGACACAGCACTCCCAAGAAAAGCACCTTTCTCGTCTTTTAAAGTTGAGAATACAGAGATTCAGGGCTGCCATTACTTACCCAAGGGCACCAGCTGGCCAGTGGCCAATGTGGGTCTCAGCTCTGTGTACAGCTCGGCTTGGAAATGCATATTACCTCTTGGGAGAGCCGGTTTCTGGCTCAGGTGCCAGGATTCAAAAGGAGGAGATGTCCTCTCTGCTCCTCTGAGGCCTCCACCAACAGGAGGCTGAGGGGCTACCACCCCTCACACTAAGGCCCACTCCTCTGCAGAGTGAGATTGGCACTTGGAAGGTGAACCTGGTTCCCAACCACAATTCCGAGGTCACTCTAGGCTCAGAGGCGGCCCCCTTCTTCAAGGAGCAATGTGTAACTGGAGGCCTCTTGAGGCTAGGCCAATTTGGCAAAACCAGAGAGAGCCGACTCAACTGATCGGGTAGTTGCAGGTCTGAAGATTGCAGCTTGTGGGTGCTGCTCACAATGTTAGAAAACTGGTAACATGCAGTCACCTGGATGAAAAATGAGGGACTCTAGCCTCAGGGTAAGGGTAAAGTCACCCCAGTGATCCCGATAGTTTGTAAGGAGGCAAACTAGCTGGGCCGCTGTAGCGAGAATTTGGAGCAGACACTTCCCTCGATGGGCTGAGGTAATTACAGATACGAGGGATGTCTTTGCTGGTGGAGAAATGCCTCATCCTCCTGATTTAACAGTCACTAAGCACTTGCAAGTCTGAGAGAGGCTGCTGTCGGGACTGCAGGGACAAGTGGGATTCAGTACCTTCCTTGGAGAAACAAAAGGCCAGCTTTTGGTCACAGAAGGGAAGGCAGGATCCATGCATGATTCACAGTCATTACGCATTGATTGGTTCCCCAGCATCCTTCCAGGTGGTCAACGAGTTTCATTCTCTGTTGTCATGATGAACTCATTAATTTTAAAATGGTTGATTTGCCCCAGTCCAGAGCAGTCTTTTTTCTTTGTTGCTGCTCAAATTATTCCCTCTGTGGCGACTGGAAGCGTGTTTGAGTTGGGTTTTCAATCATTTAACATTGCCGCCATGAGCCTCAGAGAGCGTCCTTCTTTAATGATTAAGATGTTCCAGGCCCCACCCAGGCCAGGAATTAGGGGTTGTCCAAGGTGTCGTGGTGCTTTGGTGACTCGAGAGCACAGTCTGGCTGTAGCCCAGCCACCTCACCAAACCCACCAGGAGACAAACTCACCTAGAGACCATTCACACCCAAAGTTCTAAAGGTTTTTAGACTGAGACAGCCACCTTAGGAGAACCACTTAAAAATGCACAATACTGTGCTCCACTCTCAGCAACTGCAATACAGAGGGTCCAGGTTCAATGCCCAGATCTGTTTTGGGGGTTTTTTGTTTGTTTATTTGTTTGTTTGAGACAAGGTCTTGTTCTGTGGCCCAGGCTGGACTGAGTGGTGTTCCACTCCACTCCATTGCAGCGTGATCATGGCTCACTCCAACCTGGACCTCCCAGGTTCAAGGGATCCTCTCACCTCAGCCTCCTGCCTCCCTGTAGCTAGGACTACAGATGTGCCACCATGCTAGGCTAATTTTTGTATTTTTTTTGTAGAGATGTTGCCCAGGCTGGTCTCAAACTCCTGGCTCACGTGATCCTCCCGTCTCAGCCTCCTAAAGTGCTGGAATTACAGGCGTGAGCCACTGTGCCTGGCCCCAGAATCTTTTTTTAACATACTCCTCAATAATTCTCAAGGGCTATTATGGGCTTTCAGCAGGAGAGACCCTTGGGAACCACTGAAGGCTGTTGGTAAGGGAGTGCATGGGAGGCCTTTCTTTTGACTTTTCAGAGGAGCAAAAACCCCGAGAGATTAACAACAATCACTACATAGAATATTTTATGCTGGACCCTCAAGTCAGCATTTCAAAAAGTTTTCTCTGTCCTGCCTGGATAATTTTCTGTTTCTATTTTCCTGGGGTGGTAAAAGAAGTGGATAATTTATCAATTTCTTTCCAAACCCAAATGTCTCACCATCTCAAGCCACCCTAAATCTATTTCTGAATTGGGTGACAATCTTCTGATATGGACACATATATTTTTTAAACTTCCGTATAACTTTCTCAACAAAAATAAAGGAGAAACCTTGGAATGGAAACCCATCTATCTCCTGTGGTTTGGTTTGATGAAATCTTACTGAAACATTAAACCCACACATCCGTCTTGGGTAAAGGGAGGGAAGGGACTGAGAGTCCCTCCCAGCATGTCTGGGAGGCTTTCCCATAACTCTGGTCTCCACGGATCTGCCTGGGAAAGTATGGATTTGTAGTCATTTCTGTTTTCAGTGTTTGTTTGTTTTTTTTGTTTTGTTTTGTGTTTTGCTGTTTCATAATCCAGAAGCACACCAGCTACTCTTTCTTCGTGCGGTATTGTCTAGAGGATGTGCACAGAGCCTACTGGGACTCTCTATTTATGAAACTTTAGTGGAATGAACAACATTTTAGAGACTCAAACAGTCTGGCCAATGGACATTAACCTGAACAGTACATCCCTTCTCCTCCCGTCCCCTCTCCTTCACTCCCTAGAACACGTTCCCTGGGGTCAGGGGAAGGAATGATACCACTTGCCAGGGAGCAGCTTCTCTCTTGATCATGAGAAAAAGGACAATTCTTCAGGGTTTTTTGATCATGAAATACAGAAGGCAGGAATAAAAAAAATCAATCATACATAGGCCCTGAAAGGAAGGCTGTCTCTGGAAATGAAGACAGGTTTATAGTCCAGGCTAGGAGCTCTTCCAGAGCAGGGATGGGGTTTTTATTTTGTTTGTTTCACTTGGGTTTTCTGGGCTCTGAGTGTCTTGCACAGAGCTGACAACATAGCGCATGCTAAGTCAAGGGTGAAGTAATTAATAATTGAATCAATGTCCCTTCGCTTCAACTGTTATTAAGTCAATAGATGAATCTGGCCCTGAGACCCTCTCATAAGCTAATGTTCACTCAAGTTAGGCATGGACACTCACATGACCATGACCTGGAATCTTACACCCCACATGGTGTTTGTCTTTAACAAAAATGTCTTAACACCCTATTTCCAAAGTCCTCTAGATAACGAAGTGTCTACTCAGGCAGAGCACTGCTGATGAGCGCAGTGTCTGATGAGAAAAAGCAGAGCTAGGAGGGTGGAGAATCCTCCCGGAGCCCCTCAGTAGGAAGCAGCAGGGCTCGTTCTGTCATATGGGGCCATGCCCTTCTGTTTGCTGTTGTTCCCTGGTCCTAAACCAGGAAAGAAAGGCAGAAATGACAACTGCTTTCCTGGTATCCCTTGCCCTCGTTACGAACTCCTTTTGCACAGTCCACAAACTTAGCTGATCAACAGGAAGAATGTTTTAACATTTGAGTGAATCGAAACCACATTGGCAGAGCCTGCAGCCCAGGGACCCCTTGCTCTGTGTTTGGTGACTTCCTGCTCTGTGAGCATACAAGGGCCACGCTGCTGCATCAGCAGGCCTGCAGCTACACAGAAGAAAAGCAGCACTGGACTCAGCAGGCAGCTGGCAGCCCTGCCCCAGTCTCACCTGGCCCTTGCTCCAACCTCATTTTCTCACACTCTTGAAACAAACACAGCCCAGATGCACTATCCTGGGCTCACTGACTCAGAGAAGTACAGTGATGGCCCCAGAGGGGAGCAGAAAGCTCCCAGTACTGACTATAGTGGCTTTCACCCCATGGTACTTCTTTAGTCTTGCTTGACTGATTGACCTACATATGGATATATATTCGTTTGGGAGGCCTTGTCTTTCTGATTGACCTACAGATGGATATATATTCCTTTGGGAGGCCTTGTCCTTCTCTGGTGAGCTTATTGCATGGGAGAGACCCTTCTTCAATAGTCACTTTAGCTCAGCTGCCTTCAGGGAGCTGAGCAAGGCAGGTGTGGAGTAGAGGCTCCAGTGTTTGCTTTTCAAAGTACAAGCCACTTAAATCCCTCCTAATGAGGGGGTGCTCTGGGATTCCAAAGCTTTGCCTGGAGTTTTGGAATGACTTGGGAAAGTCCAGGATTTACGTTTGAACTCAGGCCACCTTCATTACTGGAAAAGAAAGCCTAGAAATCCTGTGCCACTATGAGTCTTTTTATCTTCCTTGCTAGATCAAGTTTTCTCTACATCTCAATCCTATAAGACAGGAAAACTAGTATGTAACTACACATCCAGAAGACACTGACAGGAGATCATTTTGAGCTGGTTGCTTCCTTGTCTTAAGGCTGTCATTTTCTCCAGCACTCAAGTTGTGGGCTACAGACCATCAACCTCAGCTTCGCTTTGGTTCTTGTGAGAAATTCAGCACCTCTGGTCCCACCCTAGACCAGAGAATCTGCATTTCATTTTTTTTTATTATTATTTTTGAGACAGAGTCTCACTCTGTCACCCAGGCTGAAGTGGAATGGTGTGATCTCGGCTCACCACAACCTCCGCCTCCTGGTTTCAAGTGATTCTCCTGCCTCAGCCTCCTGAGTAGCTGGGATTACAGGCGCCACTACGCCCAGCTAGTTTTTGTATTTTTTTTTAGTAGAAACAGGGTTTCACCATGTTAGTCAGGCTGGTCTCGAACTCCTGACCTCAGGTGATCCACCTGCTTCAGCCCCCCAAAGTGCTGGGATTACAGGCATGAGCCACCGCGCCCGGCCAGAATCTGCATTTTAATGAGATCTCCAGGCCATTTGTGTGAATGCCAAGTTTGGAAACACTGCTTTAGAGGACGCAGAGAGGAAGACTTAGACGTCTTGGGCTTGAGTCCCTGAGTTATCCACTTTTTAAGCTGTGTACGTTAAACACTATAACCTCTGAGTTTTATCACCTAAATAATGAGAGTATTCATCAAGACTCTTTAAGGTTACAACAATATAAACAAAACTTCAAACAGGCATAAGCAGAGAGTGAGGTCAGCAAGATGGCAGACTAGGTAACTCCAGGCCCTGTTCTCACGTTCAAACATGAAAAGAACATCTAGAGACTGATTAAAATGACTTTATAGGCCGGGTGCAGTGGCTCAAGCCTGTAATCCCAGCACTTTGGGAGGCCAAGGCGGGCAGATTTCCTGAGGTCGGGAGTTCAAGACCAGCCTGACCAACATGGAGAAACCCCTTCTCTACTAAAAATACAAAATTAGCCGGGCATGGTGATGCATGCCTGTAATCCCAGCTACTCGGGAGGCCCAGGCAGGAAAATCGCTTGAACCCGGGAGACGGAGTTTGCGGTGAGCCAAGATCATGCCATTCCACTCCAGCCTGGGCAACAAGAGTGAAACTCCGTCTCAAAAATAAATAAATAAATAAAATAAAATGACTTTATAGGAGCTCTGGGAAACATCCAAAGGTCTTCAGCAACCAAGCAAATGTCCAGTCAAGAAAAAGCCACATTCAAAAGAGTAGAAAATTTTGTGGCATTTTTACATGCCCCCCTTACTCTATCCCCTGCCCTGCATGGCATGGGTGAAGAGAACCACAGACCAGC
Source organism: Homo sapiens (assembly GCF_000001405.40). Lineage (NCBI taxonomy): Eukaryota > Metazoa > Chordata > Mammalia > Primates > Hominidae > Homo > Homo sapiens. The sequence continues at coordinate 47,645,456 of NC_000007.14, read as the reverse complement.
TCCCAGTTTTATCTTTCAACCTGGAGGGAGCAGAGAAAATGTTATTTGCAATGATCTAACATATGTTAGATGTTGCCTGAAGGACTGGTCTGTGTTTCACCTAACTCAGAGCTCAGACAGAGAAAAGTGGAATCACTTAGACAACAGGCTGGGAAGAGCCACAGGAAGCAGCAGGCACTGCTCATGAAAGCTGGAATGGGACTACACACTGGTAGATGCATGGGAATGGGGGAGTTATAGACAGAGGAAAACAATAGGATATCTAAGGCCCTGGAAAGAAGCTGGGGTGAGACTCTTTGGGAAATTAAGACATTCAAAAGCAGCCAGTAAATGGGGGGAATTGGGGGAGAAAAGCACACACAAGCCCAGGGCAGATGCACGCCCATAAAAGGCCTGAGAGGACCTTATGCCTTCACCCTGAGAGGGTTCCAAAGTATAGAACTTGTGTTGTTGGTTAGTGAAGGCTTTCTAAGTCTGGAAAGACTGGGAGAAATGGCACTTTTTAAGAATGCCCAATTTAAAAAATCAAAAAACCTGCAAAGAAACAAGAAAACATCTGTTCAATAGAAGAAAATAAAGTGTCCAAAAGATCATCCCTGAAGAAACACTAGCATTATATTTTCTTTTCTTTTCTTTTTTTTTTTTTTGAGACGGAGTCTCGCTCTGTTTCCCAGGCTGGAGTGCAGTGGCACCATCTCAGCTCACTGCAAGCTCCGCCTCCCAGGTTCACGCCATTCTCCTGCCTCAGCCTCCTGAGTAGCTGGGACTACAGGCGCCCACCACCACACCTGGCTAATTTTTTTGTATTTTTAGTAGATACAGGGTTTCACTGTGTTAGCCAGGATGGTCTCCATCTCCTGACCTTGTGATCCACCCACCTCGGCCTCCCAAAGTGCTGGGATTACAGGTGTGAACCACTGCACCTGGCCTATATTTTCTTCTTTCTTTCCTTTCTTTCCCTCCTTTCCCTCCTTTGTTTCTTTCTTTCTCTCTTTCTTTCTTTCTTTCCTCTTTCTTTCTAATGGAATCTTGCTCTGTCACCCAGGCTGGAGTGCAGTAGTGGAGTCTGCTCACTGCAACCTCCACCTCCCTGATTCAAGCAATTTCCCTGCCTCAGCCCCCCAAGTAGCTGGGATTATAGGCACACGCCACCACACCCAGCTAATTTTTTTGTATTTTTAGTAGAGATGAGATTTCACCATGTTGGCCAGACTGGCCTTGAACTCCTGACCTACCTCGATCCACCCACCTCGGCCTCCCAAAGTGGGATTACAGGCATGAGTCACCACGCCTGGCCTAGCATTATATTTTCTAGGTAAAAAGACTTAAAACAATTGTCTTAAATATGCTGAAAGAGCTAATAGAAAACACAGAAAAATAAGCTAAAGAAATCAGGCAAACAATATAGGAACAAAATGAGAATATCAGCAAAGAGATAGAAATTATAAAAAGAAACCAAATAAAAATTCTGGAGCTGAAAAATATAACACCTGAATAGAGAAATTTACTAGAGGTGTTCAACTGTAGACTCTAACAGGCAGGAGAAAGAATCCATAAATTTGAAAACAGGTCATTTGAAATTATTAAGTCTGAGGAGAAAAAAGAAAAAAGAATGAAGAAAAGTAAACAGAGCCTAAAGAACCTATGAGACATCAAGCAAATCAATACACATGCTATTGGAGTCCCAGTAAGAAAGACAGCAAGAAAGAGGAAGATAAATTATGTGAAGAAATATTGGCCAAAAATGTCTTACATTTGAAAAAGTATGTAGATATACAAAAACAAAAACAAAAACAAAAAAATTCAGAGAACTTGAAGTAGGATACACCCAAATAAACTCACACTGAGACACACTGTAATTAAACTGTAAGGCAAATACAAGAGAATCTTGAAAGCAAGAGAAAAGGACTCATCATATACCAGGGATCCTTAAAAAGATTGCCAAGGGATGGCCAGGCACAGTGGCTCACTCCTGTAATCCCAGCACTTTGGGAGGCCGAGGCTGGTGGATCACGAGGTCAGAAGTGATCGGGGTGAAACCCCGTCTCTACTAAAAATACAAAAAAAGTAGCCAGGCATGGTGGCGGACACCTGTAGTCCCAGCTACTCGGGAGGCTGAGGCGGGAGAATGGTGTGGACCTGGGAGGCGGAGCTTGCAGTGAGCCGAGATAGCGCCCCTGCACTCTAGCCTGGGCGACAGAGCGAGACTCTGTCTCAAAAAATAAAAAATAAAAAAGATTGCCAAGGGATTTCTCAGCAAAAACCTTATAAGCCAGAAGACAGTGTAAGATACATTTAAAATGCTAAAAGAAAAATACAAAACCAAAAAAAAACTGTGAACCGAAAGTTGTATATCCAAACAAACTTGCTTTCAAAAATGACACAGAAATTAAGAAATTTTCACATAAACAAAAGCTGAGGGAGTTTATTATCACTAAACCTGTCCTACAAAAAATGTGAGAGGAAGTCCTTCAAGTTGAAATGAAATGACAGTAACTCAAAACCACAGAAAAAGTAAAGTTCTTTGGGAAAGGTAAATATATGAACAAATATGAAAGCTTGTATGATTGTACTTTTAGTTCATAACTATACTTTTTATTCTTTTATAGGATTTAAGAAACAAAAGCATAAAAATAACTTAAAATCTATATTAATGGATACACAATACATAAAGATGTAATATGCATAATCAATAAGATAAAATGGGGGAGCGCAGAGCTGTAAGGAGTAAAGTTTTTGTATATAATTCAAGTTAAATTGACATCAATTTAAAATCAGTTGTTATAACTTTAGCATGTTATATTTGATCCCCATGGGATTACCATAAAAAATAGAGAGAGAAATAGACACCCAGCTACAGGCGGGTGTAGGTGGGTGGATCACGAGGGCAGGAGTTCAAGACCAGCCTGGCCAACACAGTGAAACCCCATCTCTACTAAAAATACAAAAATTAGCTGGGCGTCGTGGTGGGCGCCTGTAATTCCAGCTACTCGGGAGGCTGAGGCAGGAGAATTGCTTGAACCCGGGAAGCAGAGGTTGCAGTGAGCCGAGATCGAGCCACTACACTCCAGCCTGGGTGACAGAGCTAGTCTCCATCTAAACAAACAAACAATAATAACTAGTTGGGCATGGTGGCACATTCCTGTAATCCCAGCTACTCGGGAGGCTGAGGCAGCAGAATCGCTCGAACCTGGGAGGTGGAGGTTGCAGTGAGCCGAGATCACGCCACTGCACTCCAGCCTGGGCAACAGAGCAAGACTCCACCTCAGAAAAAAAGACTTATATCCAGCGTGACTCATGATCAACCTTTTCCTTTAGGAGTACAGACATGGGGAGCTGTTGATACTTCTCCAGAAGGGGCGTGACTGACAGAGGGTTCAACCCAGGTCCAGTGGGTATGAAATGAAATGATTCTGTTTGCTGTCGTGTTATATATGTCTAAGACTTAACTCTCAGTCTGTGTAGATGAATTTCTAAAGAAGCTGAATGCAAATGAACTGTTTTCACACTGAATCATATAGTAAATGGCTGAGGTGTTTGGGGTCCACGGCAGCTCTCCTGGTAGCCTCTTTTATGATAGCTGTGATGTCCACTGTGAGGGTCTGGCCTCTCCACAGTCATGAATTTTACTCCTGTACCCCTTGAGCTGACAAGGGACGTGACACATAATACAGGCTCAGTAAACAGTTGGCTGATCAACAAAATGATCGTTCCCTGAGCCTGCTCGCCTGGCTTCATGTGCCAGGGAGTTTTCAAACATAAATTGTTGGAAGGCCCTGTTACTTTCTGTCCTAAAGAATCCAACAGGCTGGGCACGGTGGCTCACACCTGTAATCCTAACACTTTGGGAGGCAGAGGCGGGCGGACTGCCTGAGCTCAGGCGTTCGAGACCAGCCTAGGCAACACGGTGAAACCCCATCTCTACTAAAAATACAAAAGAAATTAGCCAGCCGTGGTGGTGGGCGCCCGTAATCCCAGCTACTCGGGAGGCTGAGGCAGGAGAATCACTTGAACCCAGGAGGTGGAGGTTGCAGTGAGCTGAGATAGCCCCACTGCACTCCAGCTTGGGCAACAGAGTGAGACTCCATTCCAATAAAAAAAAAAAAAAAGAATCCAAGAGGAAAATCTCTTTCCCTTAGAGCAGCCCAAGGTTCTGATGGCTTCATACAGAAGCTGCTGAGAGACAGCAGGGGGTGGGGTCTCCTGATTTTCCCCACCCACTCCCACTACTTTTTTCCGATGAGATGCTGCCAACATAAAGAGGATTAGTTCTATTCACATGGCCCTGATGTATTGTCCTGCATTCCAGACAATGCTCAGGTTACAGCTGGAGGCAGGGGCTTGATCCTGGGCCAAACCGAGCCAGTAAGCCCACTGGTCTGGAAGCCTGAACTGTGGAAGAGGAACGCCAAAACCAGGCCATAAGCCAGGGACAGCAGGGCTTGAAATGAACAGGGAATGCACACACACACACGCACACACACACACTCTCTCTCTCTCTCTCTCTCTCTCTCTCTCTCTCTCACACACACACACACGTCAGGGGAAAGGGGGATTTAGCAGGTTTATTAGGCTCTTCCTCTATGCCAGCTCCACTGTGTGTTTTGCAAATGTCATTTCATTTTTCTAGCAGTCCTTCTAGATATGTTATTCACGCCTATTTTGCCGTTGAAAAAGTAGAGGCTCAGGCTCCAGGTCCCAAAATGGTAAATGACAGCTCTGGGGCTTGATCCAGCTCTCACCTAGCTCTCTTGCTTTATCAACAGCTCTGAGGTCCTGTGCTTCATAAAGTGTATGTTTTGCAAAAACACTGAGGTTCTCCCAGTTGTGCAGAGGTAAGCTGCCCGTTTTCATGGAGTAGATCCTTTACTTGAAGTTCACTGGGTTGTTGTTGGTTCCAGCTCATTAGAGAACTAATGTTTATGCAGCTTATATAGAACAATCGTCTCTACTCAGAAACTTGCCCCAGTGGGGGCAAGCTGCCACACATGGGCATACGGCTCGGAAGGCTGGGTTTCCCTCTGCCTGAGTGTTCAGGCCCTCTACAGCCCCACCTCAGCTGGCGCTGTGGGCTGTGGTTCCGCTGACCTCCCAACCTGTCCTTCGGGTCCAGTTGAACAGAAATATTACTTGTTACCCAAGCAATTTTCAGCCTCACCATGACTCTAGCTTCTTTCATCTGCACGAAGTGCTGAGGCAGAAGGACACAGAGAGGCAGAGAGAAAAGGAGACCCTTCATTCAGTATCTATAGCTCTTTCAAGTCATTCCGAGTTAGCCTCCCACACAGGGGTTAGCAGCACTCATGCCCGCGGTGAGAGGGTGCCTCTCCCTCTCCAAAAACACTACTACTTGCCAGAACTGACTCAGAAACAGTGAATCTGGATCTGTACATGGAAAAAGTCCAAATTACTATTTAAAAAATTAAACCACCACCATCTACTTACTGGATAGCTTTGAACTCCTAGATCTTTATGGTAGACCTTCATCCACCATTCCATACTCCCTGACCTCCACCATCACGCACTCTAACCTCTGCCATCACCTCCCTCACTCACTCCCTGACCTCCATTATCATTCACTCTCAGACCTCCACCATCACTCACTCCCTGACCTCCACCATCACACACTCCCTGACCCCCACCAACACACACTCCCTGACCTCCACCATCACACACTCCCTGACCTCCACCATCACACACTCTAACCTCTACCATCACACACTCCCTGACCTCCACCATCACTCACTCCCTGACCTCTACCATCACACACTCCCTGACCTCCACCATCACACACTCCCTGACCTCCACCATCATACACTCCCCGACCTCTGCCTTCACTCTCTCCCTGACCTCCACCAACACACTCATTATACGCCCCTTGAATTTCTATTATCACACACTCCCTGCCCTCCTCTATTGTACACTCAACTGAGCCACAGTTTCTTGACCAGCTGTCATATTGCATCCCTGGTGAGGAACCAGGATTCTAATATAAACCCCACTTTGGCCTCCTTTTGAAGAAGAGAAACTGCCAGAGACAGAAAAGAACAGGGGATTTTTAAAATGGGAAGTCTGAATTGCCAAGAAAATATGAGAAGATGCTCAGCCACCCTTTAATTCAGGAAAATGTGCATGGAAATCACAGTGTGATACCCTTTACATCCACGAGCTTGGCAAACATTAAAAGTGGGCAGTACTAAAAGCTGACCCCTCATGGAGAAATGGGCACCCTCACACAGCGGTGAGATGCACAGCAGATCCCAGAGCCCGGTCCCCCGGCATCACGTTGGAACATGAAGGGAGTGGGCAGGTCTCCAGTTCCTCCACTCCTTTGTGTACTCAGACTCCAACACTGGAGTCCTGGGAGCCAGTCCAGGGAGACTGTGGAAGAATGTTGACTGCAGCACTGCCTATAAGAACATCTGAACAACTGTTCATGGAGCTCCATCCGCAGGGAGATGCACTTGTAAAGAACAAACTCAGTGTAATGCAATGTCTTATAATAGGGAGATAGGCCGCATTGTACGGAGCAAAGAGGCCCAATTGATAACTGAGTTACAAAGCGCGGATGCAGCTCTGGTGAGAAGAACAGGACAGGAAGAGTGCCCCAGAAAAGGGAGCCGCGTGTGTCAACATACAGAGGCATGAAAGAGCTTGTGTCAGGGAAGTTCTGTGTGCCTGAGTTACCTGGAAACGAAGGGGGCATTTAGGGGATGAGATGAGACAGAGAGGCATGGCGGGAGAGGGGTGACAGCTTGGATCCCAGCTGAGGAGGTCAGGCCTTACCCTGCAGCCTTTTCCAGGTTTCAAGGCCAAACTCTCAGACTGCTGTTAAAGGGAAATCATTCTGGGGGTGTTATGGACACAGCAGGGTGAGGTAGCAGGGGTGGGTGAGGGGCCATAGATGGAGCTGCTGGGGCCTGCGGTGGGCAGAGGACTCCAGAGCAGAGATCAGGGACTCCTAGGGTGCTTGGGAGCACAGAGGACTGTGCCTCGGACCTCTTCCTAGGGTAAGCAAATGCCAACAATACCTGGTGTCACTGAAAAAATAGGACAATAGAAAGAAACAAGGGGAAGGGTGCCACATTTGGAGACTCTGAAAAGGCAAAACAACCAATGGAAGCTTTGTTAGATGCTGCTTCAGGGCCAAAAACCAACTGTAATAGACATTTTGGGGGCCATTGGGGACATCTGCATATGGCAGGATAGTAGATAATCCTAGGGAAGTATGGTTGATCGTTTGCGTAGGATGATGTTATTTTGGCTATGTGAAAGAATGTCTTGTCCTGGTGCAGTGGTTCACACCTGGAATCCCAGCAGTTTGGGAGGCTGAGGCAAGAGGATGCCTTGAGCCCAGGAGTTCGAGACCAGCCTGGGCAACATAGTAAGACCTTGTCTTTACAAAAAATGAACAAAAATTAGCTAGGCGTGGTGGCGCACACGTGTAGTTCCAGCTACTCAGGAGACTGAGGTGAGAGGATTGCTTGAGCCCCAGAGGTAGAGGCTGCAGTGAACCGAGCAACAGAGGGCAACAGAGAAAAACCCTGTCTTAAAAAAAAAAAAAAAGAAAGTCTTTACTTTCAGGAGAGGTGTGTTGAAATACTTAGGTCTGTAGCATCATAACTCAGTAGTTTAGTTTCAAGCAGTTCAGAAGAAAAAAGAAAATAGCAAAAAAGAAAAAACGGTAAAATGTTACTGATTACAGAATCTAGGTAGGACATATAATGGTGCATGCTGTGCTATTATTAAATATTTTTTGTTTGTTTGTTTTGTTTTGTTTTTTGAGACGGAGTCTTGCTCTGTCACCCAGGCTGGAGTGCAGTGGCACAATCTCCGCTCACTCCAACCTCCGCCTCCTGGGTTCAAGCAATTCTCCTGCCTCAGCCTCCCACGCAGCTGGGACTACAGGCACCATGCCTGGGCCACCATGCCCAGCTAATTTTTGTATTTTTAGTAGGGACGGGGTTTCACGATATTGGCCAGGCTGGTCTCAAACTCCTGACCTCGTGATCCACCCGCCTCGGCCCCCCAAAGTGCTGGGATTACAGGCATGAGCCACTGCGCCTGGCCTTATTATACATTTTCTATGTGTTGAGAGGTTCTCATCATTTAGAAGATAGAGGGGAGATGATTGAATATAGTATACCATGCATGTTAAGATATAAAATTAAATAAATGTTGGCCGTTTGCTTTCCTGCACCAGGTTTAGGTTTCTGAAATGTGTTTGTTACTATGAGGTTTCCTTTGTGAATAACTGTAAAAGTTCTGTGGCGCACAGTTGGGAATAGAAGAAAATGCAGCGGCTGGAGGAGGGGGGGTGGTGTTGTGGCCCATGGGGAGCAGGCGCGGCCCAGGGAGGCTGGGAGGCCACCACCCACAGCACTCGTAACCATAGACATTTAAATGGCATCTCCATCTCTAAACTTGGCTCCTTCTATTTTTGAAACTTTCGAACATAAAAGAGTTCATTTTTAAACAGGCTCTTCTGAGTCGGCTGAGCCTGCCCAGGCCCCAAATCCTGCACAAATGCAGCCAGCGCCTGGAGGCAGTCAGACAGTCGCAGAGTGTCTCATTTTGCTGTAAGTGACAGCCATAGCTAATGCCAGGGCGGGAAGGAAGACGCCTTCCATACCACTGGGCTGCCAGGACCTGGAAAATGTTTCTGCTTGACATCGCCATGAAAAAATAAAGCAAACGTCCTGCCCTAGAAAGAATCAGGCAGGGATGGGAGCAGAGGGCTGCTCTTTAGCCTCAAAATTATCTGGCGTTGTTTTTCTTGGATGACTGACTTTGTTAAAAGCCCCATTTCCCTTCAGATGCAGCCCGAGGATGACAGTCAAGGGTGACTCCAGCCAACAAACTCACGGGCTCCCTGTCTGTCCCCAGCCCGGGAGCCAAGACACAGAAAAGCGTTCCTGCCTTAGAGCCAAGCACCTGGCCTGGAGGTGTTTGTAAGGGGATCCCCTCCCCCGACCCCCCAGCAATGGGGAAAGTCCCCGAGACCTTGACCACTCTGCGCAGTTAATCCAGAGGCTTCCAGGACGGGGCACTGGCTGACTTCACTTTCACCTGTGGGTGCTGGACCCAGTGCACCCCCAGAGGCCAGGCAGCTTTCACTTTGGGGAATGTGGACTCTGTGGGTCCAGAAGGGCCTGTGTGGAAAAAGAAGCCAACAGTCCCTGGTTTTGTGTAAAGTCTCCTGATGTTTAAAGGCTGGCAACGAACTCAACTGAAAACAAATGCAAAAATACCACAGGCCAAACCACGGGTACAGGCTGGATGCACCCATGGGCCACCCAGTTGCTCTCTGTTTGGCTGTGACCAACTCGGCCCAGGTCCCATTTCTGGCACTCATTCCTGTTTCTTCACTTAAACAAAATGGCATGAATGCTGCCTTCTCAGGGGGCATGCTGTGAGGATGCTGTAACTTTGGAGAGTGTCTGGCCCTTTCTGGGGTGCCCCTGCTTCCTCCCTTCCTCTTTTCCCCTCCGTCTTCCCTTTCCTCCCTTCTCCCCTTCTCCCCTCTTCTCCCTACTCCCTTCTCTCCTTCCCTCACTTCTTCCTCTCCTCCTGTCTCCTTTCTCCCTCCTTCACTCCTCTTCTCCTTTCCTTCCTCCCTCCTCTTCTTTCCTTCTCCCCTCTCTTCTCCCCCATCTCTCCTTTCCCCCCTGCTTCCCTCTCCTCTCTCTCCTGTCTTCCCTCCCTCTTCCCCTCCCTCCTTCCCTGTCCTGGCCCTGAACCTTTCCCTGGGCTCCCACGCTCTGCTCAGTCTCACCTAGGCCCAGCCCATGTCTTCTCAGACAACCCAGCACCACCCCTCGACCACCTTCCACAGAGGGGGCTGCCCTTTTCAGCTCCCTTGCCAAGGGGCCGCCAGCATTTCCAGGTCAGCTCACGAATGGCAGTGTTCTCCAGCTCTTCTGTGTCAAAAACAAACACCCTCCTCCCAGCGCTGCTCCTGGCCGGCTGCCCCGCCCTCTGCCAGGCGTTTCTCAGAGGACAAGACCTAATGAGCTGGCTGCTGCCAGCCTGGTCCTCACAGTTCATCAGTAGGATTCCAGACAGGCATCAGGCTCAGGGACAGCGCAGAGACAGCTGCCTTCTCCTCTTTCCCGGAGGCACCTGAGACCTGAGCGCACCGAGGGGGCCGGTGCATGGGCTGCTCCCAGTGAGCGTGAAGTTCACGCCCAGAAGTACACCCGCCACCAGCTGCAGCAGCACAGGTTCGTCCAGCGCACCACGAGAGGCTGGGGCTCTCTGGGAGTGGAGGAGCAGGTGGGGATGAGCCTGGACTTGCACGCAGAGCTCTGGGCTCCATTAAGCCCCCGCCCCGTCCTAGCTGTGTCGTCTGGGCACGCCAGTTCTCCCTGAGCTGCTCTCCTCCTGGCAGAAGGGGGGTCATAACAGCACCAACATGCGGGATTGCGGTGAGGTCTAAACAGTCAGGCACAGGAAGCTGCACAGAGAAGATGCATGGGCAACAGCGCCCATGGAGAATCCATGCAGCCCCCTAAGAGGGGCAGAGAGCCTCCAAGCAAAAGTCATTCTATCTCAACACTCACTCCCCTGAAGACTATTCGTTCTTGGGAAATAGGATACCCAATATTGAATGTTTGTGGTCCCCTCGTAACTCACATGCTGAAGCCCTAATCCTGAATGAGATGGTGTCTGGAGATGGAGCCTTTGGGGGTGATTGGGGTTAGATGAGGTCAAGAGGGTGGGACTACCCACCACAGGATTACAAGGAGAAAAAGAGGAAAGGGATCTCCCCGCCCTCTCTCTTTCTCCCCCTCTCCCAACCAGGGCAGAAGAAGAAAAGCCATGTGAGGACACAGTAAGAAGGCGGACGTCTGTAGGCCAGGAAGAGAGTCCTCACCAGGACCCAACCATGCTGGCACCCTGGTCCTGGACTTCTGGCCTCCAGAACTGTGAGAAATAAATTTCAGTTGTTGAAGCCATCTGTGGTATTTTGTTATGGCAGCTGGAGCAGACTCAGACAATCTTTAAATACACATACTTTCAGCAGTAGCTGGCATGTCTGACCTGGCAAGATGAACTGATTGCACACTTAGGTAAACTGACTACTCATCCCAGCAAAGCCCCTAACCCTGTAACCACCCACTGAACTGACCAGACTGGTGGCTTAGCCCAGCCTTGGACAGGCAGAACTTCAGCCTTGGACACAGTCCCTGTCATCCTAAAGGAGCCTCCTTAAGGAGCACTTGTAGGACCAGAGAGAGTCAGAGTTAATAGCAATGATAGTAACTTCAATACTTTATGTGGAGCAGCTGTGTACAATGAGCTAGGGCTGGGACCAAGCATTTTATATTCATCATCTTGTTTAATCTGTGTTGTTACCTTGTGAAGAAGGTAGGATTATCTCGATTTCACAGAAGAGGAAACTAGAGATGAGATTCCCTGTCCAAGTTTACACTGCAAGTACCAGATGGACCAAGCTTCCAACCCTCCTCTCTCTGACTTTAAACCTTATGCATTCCATTAAAATTAAAGGAAAAAGAGTCATTGATCAAGGTCTTTTTCTTTCTTGAGATTTATTTGGGGTTGGGGGTGGTGTTGCTTTTTTTAAAAAAGAAGAGGCAAACATGTCTGTTAAAAACAAGCAGACAGGCCGGGTGTGTTGGCTCAAGCCTGTAATCCCAGCCCTTTGGGAGGCCAAGGCGGGTGGATCACTTGAGGTCAGGAGTTCGAGACCAGCTTGGCCAACATGGTGAAACCCTGTCTCTACTGAAAATACAAAATTAGCTGGGCATGGTGGTGCACATTTGTAATCCCAGCTACTTGGGAGGCTGAGGCAGGAAAATCACTTGAATCTGGGAGGTGGAGGTTGCAGTGAGCCAAGATAGTGCCACTGCACTCCAGCCTGGGTGACAAAGTGAGACTCTGTCTCAAAAACAAACAAACAAACAGAAAGCTCTGTTTTACCATCTTGGAGAGAACAAGCCTGAGACGGAAGGTTGGAAGCTCAAGAGGAGGTGAGGGCGCTAAGCAGGGAAAGCAGACCCCAGCAGTGGAAGTCCCTCCTGCCCCCCTCACTGTGAGCTTTGTCTTGTAAGAGTATGTGACATCGGGAGGCTGAAGCAGGAAAATGGCATGAACCTGGGAGGCGGAGCTTGCAGTGAGCCGCGATAGCGCTACTGCACTCCAGCCTGGGCAACAGAGCAAGACTCCATCTCAAAAAAAAAAAAAAAAAAAAAGAAAGAGTATGTGACATTCAGATATTGTCAGCGCAGGATACTCTGCTGTTGCTCAGAGGCTGGGGGCTCCTGCCGCGTTTGTCCACTGTCCCCTCTTCCTCATGCAGTGACTGCTGAGCCTGGAGTTCCCAGTGTTCGAGCATGGCAGAACTGGCTTAAATGGCCCCTCTCCCACTCTGCCCTTGCACCTCTCTTAACCTAACCTTGTGTCCTCATCCGTGGAGTGGGCATACAGGCCACACTGCACAGGTTTGTTGTAAAGTTGAATTAAAGGAACGCTGGAATCTGCCACCACAGTGTCTAGCACATAAGAAGACTTCGAAAGATGCCTGCTTACTTCTCTCCTTCTCTATCTACTAAGATTGTGTTGATGCCTTTTACAGTTTGGTGGGGAAGGTCAGAGGACGTGGGGAAACATGTATGTTTAGGAGAGTGTTTTGACATACACAAGAGTGGTGATTTCTTTTTTTGTTGTTGTTTTTGAGACGGAGTCTCACTCTGTTGCCCAGGCTGGAGTGCAGTGGCATGATCTCGGCTCACTGCAAGCTCTGCCTCCCGGGTTCATGCCATCCTCCTGCCTCAGCCTCCCAAGTAGCTGGGACTACAGGCGCCAAGAGTGGGGATTGCTATACGAGCCCAAAGTTCCTACAGAACCTCATTTCACCATCACTTCCTTCTCTGTTTCCTTCCCTTCCCAGCCCCCGTCAGAGGGCCTCTCAGCCCCAACCTTATGTCCCCTCCCAGGCCCCCATCCTGCCCCAGCCCCACATGGCTGCCTTCAGCCTGTTCTTCCTAAAATATTCATCTGATTGAAGCACTGCCCCCACCTCAAACACTCTGATGGCTGGACATCACCCAGGGTGCCAAATTCTGAGCCTCCACTGCCCCACGCACAGTGTGCAGCCCTGCAGCCTTCCCAGGTTCCTCTCCCACCCACCCCCTGACACCCTGGACTGACTCCCCTTACAGGAAGGCCTCCCCTGCTTCATTTTCTTCCCTACCCAAAGAGACTGCAGACATAAAAGCTCCCCCACCTTCCAGCCCAGGAGGATTCCAGTCACTTCTTCCTCATCAGGTTCCATCCCTGACCAGATGGTTATCACACTGTGTTATTTATCTATCATCTGTGTCCCCACCGAGCTCAAGCTTGCAATCCCTAAAGGTCAGAGGTTGCATCTTCAACCAGCACCCGGCACACAGCAGGTGTGCAAAAGATGCCTGCAGGAAGGCGAGCTAGTTAAGGGCCTGCTCAGCTGCCCCGAGCCAGTGCCTGGTGGCCGAACCAGCTCCAAGCTGGTTCTTGCCCATCGCACATGCCGGTGTCCCTCATTCCACATTTCCCCTTCACTGCGGGACATTTCAGCATGCTGAGTCTCCTCAGACACTAGCACAAGGGGGCAGGTGCTTACTGAAAGTCCAGCCCGGGTGCATATGTGGCCTATGTGTGCAGTGATGCACCACTTCATGGCGGGGATACGTTCTGAGATTTTGTCATTGTGCGGTCATGGAGTGCACTTACACAAACCGAGGTGGTGGAGCCTCCTACTCACCTAGGCTACACCGGACAGCAGATTGCTCCTAGGCTACAAGCCTGTCCAACGTGTTCTGGTACTGTATACTATAGGCAATTGTAACATAGTGTAAGTATTTGTGTATCTGGACCTATCTAAGCATAGAAAAAGTACAGTAAAGTTACAGTATACAAAAGATAAAAAAAAAATGGTCCACCTGGATAGGGCATTGTCAGGAATGAAGCTTGTAGGACTGAAGGCTGCTCTGGGTGAGGCAGTGAGTGAGTGGTGAGTGAATGTGAAGGTCTAAGACATTACTGTACACCTTTGTAAACTCTATAAACACTGCACTTAGTCTACAATACATTTAATTTTATTTATTTATTTTGAGATGGAGTCTCGCTCTGTTACTCAGGCTGGAGTGCAGTGGCGCAATCTCGGCTCACTGCAACCTCCACCTCCCTGGCTCAAGCAATTCTCCCACCTCAGCCTCCCAAGTAGCTGGGATTACAGGTGTGTGCCACCACACTGGGCTACTTTTTGTATTTTTAGTAGAGATGGATTTTTGCCATATTGGCCAGGCTGGTCTTGAACTCCTGACCTCTGACGATCCACCCGCTTCAGCCTCCCAAAGTGCTGGGATTACAGGCGTGAGCCACTGTACCTGGCCTAAATTTATTTTTAAATTTTCTTTCTTCAATTATAAATTAAACTTAGCTTCCTGTAACTTTTTTACTTTATAAACTTTTACATTTTTTAGCTTTTTGACTTTTTAAAATAACATCTGGCTTAAAATGCAAACACAATTTATAGCTGTACAAAAATATTTTCTCTTTTTAATATCCTTATTAAATAAGCTTTTTTCTATTTTTAAAGTCTTATTTTTAAATTTTCACATTTTTTGTTAAAAATTAACACACAGACACACTAGCCTAGGCATACACAAGGTGAGAACCATCAATATCACTGTCTTCCACCTCCACATCTCATCCCATCAGGAGGTCTTTAGGGCCAATAACATGCATGGAGCTCTCACCTGTGATAACAATGCCTTCTTCTGGATGCTTCCTGAAGGGCCTGCCTGGGGCTGTTTTACAGTTAACTTCTTTTTTATAAGCAAAAGTAAACTCTAAAATAACAATAAAAAGTATAATAGGCCGGGGCCTGGTGGCTCACTCCTGTAATCCCAGCACTTTGGGAGGCCGAGGGGGTGGATCTCCTGAGGTGGGGAGTTCGAGACCAGCCTGACCAACATGGATAAACCCCCATCTCCACTAAAAATAAAAAATTAATTGGGTGTGGTGGCGCACGCCTATAATCTCAGCTACTAGAGAGGCTGAGGCAGGAGAATCACTTGAACCCGGGAAGGGGAGGTTGCAGTGAGCCGAGATCATGCCATTGCACTCCATCCTGGGCAACAAGAGCAAAAAAAAAAAAAAAAATCCATCTCAAAAAAAGAAAAAAATATATATATATACACACACACAAACGTATACACACACACACACACACACACATATATATATATATGCCGGCCGCAGTGGCTCACATCTATAATCCCAGCACTTTGGAAGGCTGAGGCAGGTGGATCACTTAAGCTCATGAGTTCAAGACCAGCCTGTGCAACATGGCAAAACCCCGTCGCCACAAAAAATACGAAAGTTAGCCATGGCACCCGCCTGTAATTCCAGCTACTCAGGAGGCTGAGGTGGGAGGATGGCTTAAGCCTGGGAGGCAGAGGTTGCAGTGAGCTGAGATTACACCACTGCACTCCAGCCAGGGTGACAGAGCCAAACCTTGTGTCAAAAAACAAACAAACAAACAAAAAACATATAATACATAAACCAGTAACAGTCATTTATTATCACTATCACGTATTATGGGCTGTACATAATCGTGTGTGCTATACTTTTATGCAACTGGCCATGCAGGTTTGTTCACATCAGCAACCCCACAAACACCTGAGTAATGCAGTGTGCTACAATGTTACAGTAACTACTCTTCATGGGTGATAGTGTGTCCGGAATTGGTGGATTCTTGGTTTCACTGACTTCAAGAATGAAGTCGCGGACCCTCGCAGTGAGTGTTACAGCTCTTAAGGTGGCGCGTCTGGAGTTTGTTCCTTCTGATGTTCGGAGTTTCTTCCTTCTGGTGGGTTAGTGGTCTCGCTGGCTCAGGAGTGAAGCTGCAGACCTTCGCGGTGAGTGTTACAGCTCTTAAGGCGGCACGTCTGGAGTTGTTCGTTCTTCCCGGTGGGCTCGTGGGCTCGCTGGCTTCAGGAATGAAGCTACAGATTTTCGCGGTGAGTGTTACAGCTCATAAGAGCAGTGTGGACCCAAAAAGTGAGCAGCAGCAAGATTTATTGCAAAGAGCGAAAGAACAAACTTTCCACAGTGTGGAAGGAGACCCCAGTGGGTTGCCACTGCTGGCTCCGGCAGCCTGCTTTTATTCTCTTATCTGGCCCCACCCACATCCTGCTGATTGGTAGAGCCAAGTGGTCTGTTTTGACAGGGTGCTGATTGGTGCGTTTACAATCCCTGAGCTAGATATAAAGGTTCTCCACGTCCCTATCAGATTAGTTAGATACAGAGTATCCACGCAAAGGTTCTCTAAGGCCCCACCAGAGCAGCTAGATACAGAGTGTCGATTGGTGCACTCACAAACCTTGAGCTAGACACAGGGTGCTGATTGGTGTGTTTACAAACCTTGAGCTAGATACAGAGTACCGATCGGTGTATTTACAATCCCTGAGCTAGACATAAAAGTTCTCCAAGGCCCCACCAGACTCAGGAGTCCAGCTGGCTTCACCCAGTGGATCCCGCACCGGGGCTGCAGGTGGAGCTGCCTGCCAGTCCCGGTGCCTTGCGCCCGCACTCTTCAGCCCTTAGGCGGTCGATGGGACTGGGCGCCATGGAGCAGGGGGTGGCGCTCGTCGGGGAGGCTCCGGCTGCACAGGAATCCACGGAGGAGGGGGAAGGCTCAGGCATGGTGGGCTGCAGTCCCGAGGCCTGCCCCGCGGGAAGGCAGCTAAGGCCTGGCGAGAAATCGAGTGCAGCTCTGGTGGGCTGGCACTGCTGGGGGACCCAGTACACCCTCCGCAGCCGCTGGCCCGGGTGCTAAGTCCCTCATTGCCCGGGGCCAGCAGGGCCGGCCGGCTGCTCCGGGTGCGGGGCCCGCCAAGCCCACGCCCACCCGGAACTCCAGCTGGCCAGCAAGCGCTGCACGCAGCCCCGGTTCCCGCTCGCGCCTCTCCCTCCACACCTCCCTGCAAGCTGAGGGAGTGGGCTCCAGCCTTGGCCAGCCCAGAAAGGGGCTCCCACAGTGCAGTGGTGGGCTGAAGGGCTCCTCAAATGCTGCCAAAGTGGGAGCCCAGGCAGAGGAGGTGCCAAGAGTAAGCGAGGGCTCTGAGGACTACCAGCACACTGTCACCTCTCAATAGGAGTTTTTCAGCTCCATTATATTATGGGACCACCATTATTGATGCAGTCCATCATTGACTGAAAAGTCATTATGCAGCACGTGACTCTGTATTTATGGGATTTTTTCATGTAGAGTAGGGTATCAGTTATACATTGCCTCATGACGGTTAAGTGTCCCTGTCACTTAGGAGCTGAAAGCAACCAAATGTATTATTTGGTTTCAGTGGGGCAGAAACTCAGACCAGGCTTAGCTGGGTGGTTCCAGCTCAGATTCTCTCCAGGGGTTGCAGTCAGGCTGTGGGCTGGCACTGACTTCTCTAAAGCCTCAACTGGGGCTGGAGAATTGCTTCCAAGTTTGAAACTGACCCAATAGTCCCATAGACAGTTTTTCGGATAAACATAGAAATTCACCCTTCTGGCTTGAAATTTACATTTGTTTTACTTGAGTTCCTTCCTCAGGAAACTAACTTCAGGCCTCTCAAGAAAAGTACCAAAGAACTGAAACTCACCAGATCACCGCATTCAGACAATGAGATGCTGCCCCCTCATTCATCATGATTGCTTCCGTGCCCCTCCCTAGTTGCTGTTTTCTTACACATTGTTTCATTTCTTCCCTGCTATACAAATCCCTCGTTTTAGTAGGTCAGCAAGATGGATTTGAGACTGAGCTCCCATCTCCTCGGTTGCAGCACCTGATTAAATCCTTCCTTGGCAATACTTGTCATCTCAGTGATGAGCTTTCCATGCGGTGAGCAGAAGGACCTGGACCAAACCCCTGGTGTTTTGGTAACAAGTTCATTCAGTCATGCAGCTCTTGACTGGAAGCCTCATTTCCTTGCTGCATGGGTCTCTCCGCAGAGCTGCTCATGGTGTGGCATGTGGCTTCCCTAAGAGTCAGCTATCCAAGGGAAAGAGCAGTCAAGATGGAAACCACAATGCCTTCTTTGGACCTAGTCCTCAAAGTCACACACCTCCACCTCAGCCAGATTCCATTCTTTACAAGTATCGCCAAACACAGCCCGGACTCAGGCAAGGGGAATCAGCTTCCAACCTTTAATGAGGGAATAACAAAGAAGTCATGGGCCTGGCCGGGCACGGTGGCTCACGCCTGTAATCCCAGCACTTTGGGAGGCCAAGGCGGGAGGATCACGAGGTCAGGAGATGGAGACCATCCTGGTTAACATGGTGAAACCCCGTCCCTACTAAAAATACAAAAAAATTAGCCAGGCGTGGTGGCAGGCGCCTGTAGTGCCAGCTACTCAGGAGGCTGAGGCAGGAGAATGGCATGAACCTGGGAGGCGGAGCTTGCAGTGAGCCGAGATCGAGCCACTGTACCCCAGCCTGGGCTACAGAGCGAGACTCCATCTCAAAAAAAAAAAAAAAAAAAAGTCATGGACCTACATTTAAGTCCACCACAACTAATTTTTCAGAAAAAAAAGAGACTGTATATGGAGTGAAATAATGACCTCATACCTTAAACTTACCAAGCTCTTGCTATATTTCATGGATTTCAAAGACACACTATTTTTTCACATTTGAACACCTCTAAAATTAGGAGGCGTTTTTCCAATAGCACAGTCTAGTTTCAGTGAAATGCAGTATTGTGTGTGGGCCTCGTGCCCTGCATTATTGCATTTAATTATTACAGCACTCATAAAATGTGGATATTAATGTGGCCATATTGAATGTGGGGCCCTGGGTGTTTGCTGAAGAGAGTAGGCAACTTGCCCATGTCCCTTACCTGGAGCAGAATAGAGCAAGGATTCAAATCCATGGGGCCCTCGGTCTTAACACTGTGCTGTCATGACTCAGTGGAGCGTAAAGAGGAATTGTATTTTGAAGGCTTCCTTTCAATCACTGCTTCCTATCTTGCTTTTCCACCCTCCCTTTTGCACCTCTGGCAATGTTTAGGTGTATTCCATTAGCTTTCTAGCCACTTTCAGCTATTCAAATGTTGATCTCAAATTCAGTGAAATCTTTCCTCTGTCTCTATGCAGATGACTGGTGGCTTGAAGAATGGTGAGGGGTCAGGGTAAAGGGCAAGGACTGCGGCTCCATGCTTGCCTAGGGACCTTGGACTTGGGGGCACAGGGGCAGGCTGCGCTTTTGAAACCCCTCCTCCCCACCTATGTTCTAGATCCAGCTCTTCCAAGAAGGACGGATGAGGGCAAACATCACTTCTTCAAATACCTGGGTGTGTGGAAATCCTTTCTCTCTCTGCTCTCACTGCATCTCTGGGCAATATGCCTGGCAGTTGATTGTCTGTGCACAGCAGGAGTCCCAGCGCTATGTGTTTCTGCATCCTCCTGGCCCAATCCTGTTGCCTAGTGCAGCGCCCTTGGTCAGCAGGGCCTCAGTGAACCGAGATGGGAGGGGGCAAGTGTCTTTCAGCCCATGCCTCCCATTCCCACCCCGGTCCTCTCTCATTCTTCACCCCCTGAGGCCCAGAAGGGGTGGCCTCCCCTCCTTCCTTTGGGTTAGATCCTTCTCTGACCAGAGCAGAAACCCTGAGAGATTTGGAAAAGGAGAAAGGACCATTACCTCCAGCTGAAAGGAGTCAGGAAGCCCTCTTTCTGCACCAAGCCTCTTTCTCCTGACCGGGGTATCCAGCTCAGCCTGGAGACAAAGGCTGCCAGGCTGCAGGGGTCATGGGAAATTAAATGCCACAATTCAGTATTTGCAATTTGTGGACCCCTTTCAAATGTAGTCTGTGAAGATCTATGTATAATTGTCAATGAAACCCCTCAAGCTAATAAGACTTAGCACAAACTTTCCTGTTTGAACTTTAAGATGATGATTGCAAATACCAGTGAAGGTGAACAGTGAGAATTGTATCATCTTGCATGAGTTCCTATAAGTGCATATTCAAGTGGACCTTAAAAATACATAAGGGCCAGGGGTCGGGTGCGGTGGTTCATGCCTATAATCCCAGCACTTTGGGAAGCCAAGACGGGCAGATCATGAGGTCAAGAGATTGAGACCATCCTGGTGAAATCCCGTCTCCACTAAAAAAAAAAAAAAAAAATACAAAAATTAGCTGGATCTGGTGGTGCGCACCTGTAGTCCCAGCTACTCGGGAGGCTGAGGCAGGAGAATCACTTGAACCCAGGAGGAAGAGGTTGCAGTGAGCCGAGATCGCGCCACTGCACTCCAGCCTGGGCAACATGAGCAAAACTCTATCTCAAAAAAAAAAAAGTAAGGGCCATGATCTAAAACCTGAGCAAAGAAAATCTCCCCAAATCTACATACTTGTCTCTGGGTGGTGAGACAAGGGAGAACTCTTTTCTTTCTTCCTTCTCTTTGGGTATCCCAAATGGTCTATCATAAGCATGTTTATTTTTAAATGGGGAAAAACAGCAACTTATTGAAAATGAGTGCAAGAAAAAGCCCCCTGAAGCATTTATAGGGAGTTTCATTTTATCACCACAATGTGGGTTCCAGAGAAAAGCATCACTTCCTTATTTGGGAACTCTAGCTCAGTGCCTGGAAAATGGTGAGTGCTGGGAGGTGTGCTGCCTTTCCTCCCCTCCAGCCCCAGCCCCACTTTCTCACTCTGCACCACCTCATGCACCTGGCTGGCTTCTGGGTGCAGCAACTGCAAATTCAAAAGGTAGAGAGAAGTTCATTTCCTAGAGAATTTTGGACAATTGTGTCTGCATCCCTAGAAGGAACCAGCTGACAGTGGCCAAGGACTAAGCCATTGGGATAGTCCTAGCTTTAGGCTTCCCCAACTCCATTGCCCATTTGGCCTCACAGAGTCTCACTCTAGGGTCAAATCACCATGCCTCCAAAGTCTGGAGGCACTCAGTGGGGGAGGCATGAGACCATCAGCCAGGGGCCAGCCTATGTCACAGACCTGACTTTGGGGTCACCCTTTTCATCCTATGCTTCAGAGGAGCATTATATCTTCTCTAGATACCGGAGGAGGCTCTAATTAGTCTAAATGCTGAGGAACATAGAGTGTCAGAAACAGTGCCAAGGCCTCCCCTTCAGAAGAGCCTCAGGGCTCAGCTTGCTCAAAGCTGTACCATATATATATAATAAGTATGTATATTTCTGAATGCATATCTGTATGTATGGATGTACATATGTACACGCTCACATTTACATACATGCACACACATATATTAAATATATACATCATGGCCAGGCGCGGTGGCTCATGCCTGTAATCCCAGCACTTTGGGAGGCCGAGGCGGGAGGATCATGAGGTCAGGACATCGAGACCATCCTGGCTAACGCGGTGAAACCCTGTCTCTACTAAAAATACAAAAATTAGCTGGGCATGGTGGCGGGCGCCTGTAGTCCCAGCTACTTGGGAGGCTGAGGCAGGAGAATGGTGGGTGAACCCGGGAGGTGGAGCTTGCAGTGAGCCGAGATCACACCACCGCACTCCAGCTTGGGCGACAGAGCAAGACTCTGTTTCTAAAATATATATATATATAATGTACATCATGCACACTCATTTGCATATGCTCAGACATTCTAGAATGATGCCTGGCACAATCAGAGGTTATAACCTCAGAGAGGATGGACTGGGAATATGAGTACCAGAGAGGGGAAATTTTGTCTCTTACCTGATATCGATTTGGTAACATTTGAATTTTTGTGTGCATTCTCTTTTCACAACAAAAGAAAAATGAGTTAAACTTAGTCTCAGCGCTGAATGGAAAAGTGAATGAGAGGGGTGGCCGTGGCAGTCCTATGGAGCACATGTGCTTCACTCTCTTTCAGCGTCACTCAGGGGACAAGGCCGTACTCACATTCACAGAGGCTTGGGCAGCAATACGTTCATAGAAAGCTCTGATTAATGACTCAGTCTTTGCCCCAAAGGACTCATGAGCATTCCAAACACAAATGTAAACACTCGCTGATCTACTGCATGCTGGAAAACGCGGCTACTCTTAGCAGGGCCTTGTAGGCTCTAAGATCCTGCAGCGAGCCTGTGGAGCTCAGCCTAATGGCTAAATGAGATGAAGCAGCTGCTTTTGATTGTGAGAAATTCCCCAAGCCCAACTGCAACCATAGTGAATGGAGTTATTTTTGAAGTTCAAGCTGCGCTGGATCTTTTCAAACAGCCAAGAGCATGTTCGTGGCAGCCCTGTTTTCTTCCACGGCCTTTCACTCCCTGTTTCCTTCAGAAATTGAGCACTGAATGTTAATCTTCATGGATCTCTTCTTAGCCACTTCCTGACCTCATCTGTGGGGGAGCAAAAAAAGATGTTTTTAAAAACTCAAAGTTTGAGAGAAAGATCTAAGAGGGCCTGAGTCTAATGAATTCCCAATGCTGAAAAGAGTTAGCATAACATTCCTTCCATGTTAATATTTGGCAGCCTGCACAGTGTTTGGACTGGAAGATAAAGTAGGAGATAGAGAGAGAGGGAGAGAAGAAGAGAGAGAGGAAGGTTGGGGGGGAAGGGAGGGAAAGAAGGGGTGGTAGAGGAAGGGGGAGGAGGGAGAAAGAGAAAAATGGAAAGAGAGAAAGCTGGAGAGACAGAGGAAGGGAGAGAGGGAGGGAGGTGGGAGGGAATGGAGACAGGAAGGGAGGGAGAGAGAGAAGTGGAAGAGAGGAAGTGGGATGGGGAGAGATGGAAGGAGATACATGTAGAGAGGAAGGAAGGAAGTTAGAGAGGGACAACAGAACAACTAAAAGAAGACAGCATCTCTCCAGTTCAACTCAAGATGAACTCTTCAGACATCAGCACTGTTTGAGGGAAGGCCTTGCCTATGGAGCCCTCTGCCCCAATTGATACGGAAGTGCTGGGAAGGGAAGAGTGTGGTCCCTTTAAATGATACGGAAGGGGAAAGGGAAGTGCTGGGTATAGGAGGGCATGATCCCTGGTTAGGGCTCCACCCCCACAGACCTAGGTGAGGACAACCGCTCCTGCCTTTGCATGCAAATGTTGCATTTCCTGAGACCACCCTGGCCTGCCACGCCCCCATCCTGTGCCTATAAAAAACCCCAAGACCCTACCAGGCAGACACACAAGCCGCTGGATGTGGAGAGGAGCAGATCAGCAGAAGAAGACACAGGCGGCCGGATATTGAGAGAACGTCGAGGGAGCATGCCAGCAGAAGAGCACATCAACAGATGCCGACATGCTGGCCATCGACTGGCAGAATGAGGCGGAGTTTGGCTGGAGCAGTCAGAGGAGAGCTGGGGCGGCCAAGTGGCCTGACTGCAGGCAAAAACCATCTCCCTTCTGGCTCCCCCATCTGCTGAGGGCTACTTCTACTCAATAGAACCTTGCACTCATTCTCCAAGCCCACCCATGATCCAATTCTTCCGGTACACCAAGACAAGAAACCCCAGGATACAGAAAGCCCTCTGTCCGTGTGATAAGGAAGGGAGTCTAATTGAGCTGATTAACACAAGCCGCCTACGGACGGCTGAACTAAAAGAGCTCCCTGTAACACATGCCCACTGGGGCTTCAGGAGCTGTAAACATTGATCCCTAGAGGCTGCTGTGGGGTCGGAGCCCCGCAACCTGCCCATCTGTACACTCCCCTAGAGGTTTGAGCAGTGGGACACTGAAGCAGTGAACCACAACCCCATCACACACCCTGCGAGGGGGACAGGGAACCTTTTCTTCAATCTTCTTGATCCCACAACTTGCTGCGCCAGTAGGAAATAAATGTGTCCTTCCCTAGGGGGATTTACGGAGCTCTGGCCCCACCCTGTATGACCCTCTTTCAAGTCCTGCTTCTTGCCAGCCCTGGGCCTTGTTGGGTAACTGGCTGGGCTGCACCGAGGCCTGAGACAAGTTCTCCTACCATTACTGTTTGGCCCCACACCCTGGCTGGCTCCACTGTCCCCAAGGCTCTGTGACGCGGCCACCGGTGGCCTGTCTCACAGCCATCACTTCGTTCCTTGCTAAGATAACCCAGTTTTGTTCAGGAACTTGTGGTTCTGTGGCTCGGGGTGTGGGGCTCACTCAGCCCCTCGCGCGCTATGAACAAATAGAGGTAAGTCTGCTGTAGTGGCCTCTGGGGATATTTTCCTCACCTTGACTGTGTGATCAGGGACAGGACACATCTTCTATGGCCCCTGGCCATTGTTGTGAGGGTGGGAAGGCCAGAGCTGCTACAAGCTTCTCCATCACCATGAGAAGCCAGCCCAAGATGTTCAACAAGAACCACAGGAAGGACACCAGGTCCTGGAGCTGCTGCCCTCCTGGGCTCCTGTGTGATTCTCCCCATGCAGCAAGCAAGGTGCCTGATGTCCTCCTGCGTGCAGGCGAGTCTGTAGACCACCATGCGGGTGAATCTGCGGCTCAGTGCAAGTCAGTGGGAGCCCAGGAGGTGGACATGGACGTCAGCCTGGGGCAGGAGAAGGGAAGCTGCAGTCAAATGTCAACAGGAGGGGCCGGGCACCGTGGCTCACATCTGTAATCCCAGCACTTTGGGAGGCCAAGGTGGGTGGATCACTTGAGGTCAGGAGTTCCAGACCAGCCTGGTCAACATGGTGAAGCTGTCTCTACTAAAAATACAAAAACTGGCTGGGTGTGGTGGTGTATGCCTGTAGTCCCAGCTACTCGAGAAGCAGAGGTTGCAGTGAACAGGAGATTGTGCCACTGCACTCCAGCCTGGGCAGCAACAGAGTGAGACTCTGTCTCAAAAAAAAAAAGAAAATGTCAGTGGGAGACTAGAAGTTAGCTCAACACAGTGGAGTGGGAGGAAGCACATCCCAAGCTGGGGAAGGACGTGCCAGCAGGTAAAGATATGGGGGAGAGACAGGACTGTGCAGTGTTGTCAGGGCTGAAGCCAAGGGTGGGAGCATGGAGAGAGGAGGGCCTGGAAGTAGATGGGGTCCATGAGGAGGGTTCTTAGCATCCTTATCCCCCAACTTGGCCATGGGAGACCAGAAAAGTTGGTCAATTATCCAAAAGCAGTCATATTTAAGTCTTTAAAAGATGTTTACTTTAGGCTTTATTATTTGCTTTTGTTTATAAAGACAGACACATGCTCAGGAACTGGCTGAGATGATGCCTTCACACGGATGGATGGAATACCCACAAGGTAATCCTGGAGACATCTGCAGCTGGAATTATTGTAGCTTGGTGTACCCCAATATCTCCAGCTTTTTAAAAAACCTGAGACCTTTATCAGCTGCTTCAGATGAGCTTTGAGATATACAGAAAATTTCTCATTCAACAGAAATTTATTGTACTTAGCTTGTATGCTAGGCTTTGGGGATGCAAATGAATAACTAAGACTCAGACTTTTTCTTCCAGTGGTTTACTGTCTTTGTTCCTTCAGGCTGTTGTAACAAAATACCATAGCCTGGGTGGCTTATAGACAACAGAAATGTATTGCTCACAGTTCTGGAAGCTGGAAGTCCAAGATCAAGGTGCCAGCAGATTTGGTATCTGGTGAGGGCCTGCTTTCTGGTTCATAGATGGTACTTTCTTGCTCCATCCTCAGTGGTGGAAGGGCCAAGGGAGCTCTTTGGGGTCTCTTTTCTAAGGGCACTAATCCCATTCATGAGGCTCCATCCTCAAGACCTAATCACCTCCCAGAGGCCCCACCTCTTAATATCACTACTTTAGGAGTTAGGGTTTCAAAATGAATTTGGGGGCTGGGAAGGCACAAACATTCAGATGATTGTGAAATGGAAACAGTTCCCTTGTCCCCCTCGCAGGGCATGTGATGGAGGAGTGGCTTGCTTCTTCAGTGCCCCACTGCTCAGACCTCTATGGGAGCATACAGATGGGCAGGCTGTGGGGCTCCAACCCCACAGCAGCGCTTAGGGGTGAATGTTTACAGCTGAAGCCTCAGTGGGCATATGTCACAGAGAGCTCTTGTAGTTTAGCCATCCATAGGCGACTTGTGTTAGCTCAATTAGACCCTTGCCTTATTGCAAGGACAGAGAGCTTTCTGTATCTTGGGTTCTTGCCTTGGTGTACTGGAAGAATCGTGTCACATGTGGGCTTGGAGAATGAATGCAAGGTTTTCTTGAGTGAAAGTAGCTTTCAGCGGATGGGAGAGCCAGAAGGTGGATTGGTTTTCCCCTGGAGCCGGGTCACACGGCAGCCTGGGCTCTCCTCTGACCACCCCAGCCAAACTCCCTGTTGTTCTGCTGATCGGTGGCCTGCCAGTATGGCAGTGCCCGTCAGTGAGTTCCTCTGGAAGTCCAGCTGCCTATGTGTTCCTCTTGACGTCCAGCTGCTTGTGTGTCTGCCTGCTAGGGTCTCCGGATTTTTACAGGCACAGGATGGGGGCATGGCAGGCCAGGGTGGTCTTGGGAAATGCAACATTTGGGCAGGAAAACAAAAAATGCCTGTCCTCACCTAGGTCCATAGGCGCAGGCCTGGGAGTAGAGCCTTAGCCAGGAACCATGCCCTCCTCTACCCAGCACTTACCTTCCGTATCATTTAAAGGGACCACGCCCTTCCCTTCCCCACTTCCATCTCAATAGCAAGTACCATTTTGTGGTGCCAACAGGCTCATGGAACCCCATATCCCAGAGTTTTCCTGCCATACAAGTAAAGATACATAGGCATTTTTTAGTTTGTTCAGGCTGCTGTAACAAAATACGTTAGACTGGGTAATTTATGAACAACAGAAATGTTATTTCTTATAATTCTGGAGGCTGGAAAGTCCAAGATCAAGCCACCAGCAGATTCAGCATCTGATGAGGGCCCATTCTCTGCTTCAAAGATGGAGCCGCCTTGTTGTGACCTTGGATGACAGAACGGGCAGGTGGCTCTCTGGAGCCTCTTTTTTAAGGGCACTAATCCCATTCACGAGAGCACAGGAACAGAGCCCTTCTTTTTCTTTTCTTTTTTTTTTTTTTTGAGACGGAGTCTCGCTCTGTCGCCCAGGCTGGAGTGCAGTGGCGCGATCTCAGCTCACCGCAAGCTCCGCCTCCCGGGTTCATGCCATTCTCCTACCTCAGCCTCTCCAGTAGCTGGGACTACAGGTGCCTGCCACCACGCCCAGCCAATTTATTTGTATTTTTAGTAGAGACGGGGTTTCACTGTGTTACCCAGGATGGTCTCAATCTCCTGACGTCGTGATCTGCCCGCCTCGGACTCCCAAAGTGCTGGGATTACAGGCATGAGCCACCGCGCCCGGTCGAACAGAGCCCTTCTAACCTTATACCTTCCAAAGGCCCTGCTTCCTTTTACTATGACTTTACAATTAGGTTTCAGCATATGAACTGGGGAGGGGACAAATATTAGGCCCAGCAGATATGTAATAATAACTAGCTGCCATTTATTGAAGAATTCATATCCTCCATACTAGGTAAAACACTTTCCATAAATTACATCAATTCTTCCACTATCCCCGTGGCAGGTTGTGACTCCCCAAAGAGGGCTGCCGTGATGTATGTATCCCATTCACGTGCTCTCACACAGCGCTGTCCTCCCACAGAGGACCTCCCTTGCATCTAGAAAGCAGTCATGACCACTCTGACTAGTAGGAAATGGCCAACAGGCACCAGTAGATATTGTTCCATCAAGTTTAGCCTAAAGCTGCTACTTACATATTTTAAGTTTGGCCTAAAGGTTTATCTGTACATTATGTGAACTGGAGCCTAAATGGAGTTATATACAGACTGTAGCCTACTCTTGTGCTGTCACTGAGTTTTGGCCAATTGAAGGTTGCCTATTGGCCAGGCGCAGTGGCTCACACCTGTAATCCCAGCACTTTGGGAGGCCGAGGCGGGTGCATCACTTGAGGTCAGGAGTTCAAGACCAGCCTGACCAACATGGCAAAACCCCGTCTCTACTGAAAACACAAAAAATTAGCTGGGTGGGTGGCGGGCGCCTGTAATCCTAGCTACTGGGGAGGCCGAGGCAGGAGAATTGCTTGAAGCTGAGAGGCAGAGGTTGCAGTGAGCCAAGATTGCTCCATTGCACTCCAGCCTGGGTGATGGAGTGAGACTCCATTTCTAAAAAAAAGGTTGTCAACTATGCAAACCATGTTCAAATAAGGCAAACACCGAGCTGTCACCAATCCAGCTGTTTCTGTGCCTCACTTCTGTTTTCTGTATGTCACTTTCCTTTATATGTCCATAAATCTTCTACCATGTAGCTACACTGGAGTCTCTGACTCTGGAGGCTGCCTGATTTGCGAATCATTCTTTGCTCAATTAAACTCTTTTAAAGTTAATTTGGCTAAATATTCTTTTTTCTTTTTTTTTTTTTGAGATGGAGTCTCGTTCTGCCATCCAGGCTGGAGTGCAGTGGTGCGATCTCGGCTCACTGCAACCTCTGCCTCAAGGGTTCTAGCGATTCTCCTGCCTCAGCCTCCCGAGTAGCTGGGACTACAGGCACTTGCCACCACGCCTGGCTAATTATCTTCATTTTTAGTAGAGATGGGGTTTCACCATGTTAACCAGGATGGTCTCCATCTCCTGACCTCGTGATCCACCCTCCTCAGCCTCCCATGATGCTGGAATTACAGGCGTGAGCCACTGCGCTGGGCCAAGATTTCTTTAAACAAAATTTTACAACTGGAAAAAAATATTAAGGCTTTGATTTGTACAACTGCCACTTGCTGGGGTGTAAATATGCCCATGGTGGGTTTCAGGCTACTAAGATGATGTCACTGAACATGAAGCTGGAAAGACATGTGCATTAACACACCATTAATGGTATTTCCACTCTATAGATAAGATCGATGTAAATAACTCCAAAAGCATAAATAACAGTAATATATGGTAAAAAATCATTTGGAAGTGACAAAGAATATATTGCCTTTGATTTTAATACAATGTAACTGTAAGTTTTTGTTAAATCTTAATGGTGCCTGTGATTAACAGGCACCCCAACATTTTTGAACATTTAATGATCAGTTCCTGGAGGCTGGTACTATCTGGCTCAGGCACGCTCCTTCCAAGGCCTAGAATATGGCTTCCACTCAGCTTAGTCCCTCTCAGGGTTGTGCCTGTAGAACTCTGGGCCTGTCGTGCTACCCTCAAGCCCAGTCACCCTGAAGCCACCATGCTGGAGGGGCCACATGGAGAGAAGGGAGAGAGAGAGGGCTAAAGATCCCCAGCTGTTTGAGTCCTGCAACACAGGTACCACACAGGGAGGGAAGAGCCTTCAACACAACCCAGCTCCAGCCCCAGTCTGAGCACACCCATGGGGACCAGAGACCTGAGTCAGCGCTGCTGACCTGAGCCCATTAGCCCCTAGGACTAGGAGACATAATAGTAATAAGTGAGCCGGGCACAGTGGCTCATGCCTGTAATCCCAGCACTTTGGGAGGCTGAGGCAGGTGGATCACCTTAGCCCAGGAGTTCTAGACCATCCCGGGCAACATGAGACCCCATCTCCACAAACAATTTTTTAAAAATTAGTCAGGCATGATACCATGTGCTTTAGTCCCAGCTACTAGGAAGGCTGAGGTGAAAAGATCACTTGAGCCCAGGAGTTTGAGATTGCAGAAGGCGAGATCACACCACTGCACTCCAGCCTGGGTGACAAAGGGAGACCCTAATTCAAAAAAAAGAATAAATAAAAAGTAATAAACGATTATTGTTTACAGCCATGAAGTTTTGGGTTGGTTTTGTTGTTCAACAATAGTTAACTAGAACAGTCCTAAGCTCACAGACAAGGAAACAGAGTTAGAGTGAGCATGAACTCTTCCCTAAGCAGAGAGTGGCAGGAGCTGGGCTCCCACAGAGTTTGTTGTCACCAGTGTCTTGACTGCTTGTTGTTACTAGGCTTACCCTTTAAGATAGCATAACACATTCAGATATTAAGTGAAGCTATGTTTATTTTATTTTATTTTATTTTATATATATATATATATTTTTAGACAGAGTCTTACTCTGTTGCCCAGGCTAGAATGCAGTGGCGCGATCTCAGCTCACTGCAAGCTCTGCCTCCCGGGTACATGCCATTCTCCTACCTCAGCCTCCCGAGTAGCTGGGACTACAGCCGCCCGCCATCAGGCCCGGCCAATTTTTTGTATTTTTAGTAGAGACGAGGTTTCACCATGTTAGCCAGGATGGTCTCGATCTCCTGACCTCATGATCCACCCACCTCGGCCTCCCAAAGTGCTGGGATTACAGGCATGAGCCACTGTGCCTGGCCTATTGAAATTATTTTAAACATTAAATTGATTTCAGTCACTTATAAGTCATTTAAGGTAAGAGGGTGAATTCATGAGTTCCCGAATAGGAAGTGGGGAGACTCGATTTCTCTCTGGCCAGGCTGGTGCTATCAGGAAGTATGCCTTTCTACTGCACGGGCACTGCACTGGTCAGCCGAAGTGTCCTTTCTCCTGTGTTCCCTCGTTTGATAATCAGACCAGTGTTGGCAAGATGGGAATAGAGATAATGGGCCAGCCTTTCTGGTTGCCCATGGCCTAGGGGTGAGGTTGGGCTGGTGGGGTCAGCATGGACATCTAGGGTCCTTGAGTGCAGTCATAGAGCCACGGGCCAAGTCTGGGGCAGCACAAAGAGGGCCTTCAGCTCCACTGAGGGCCCGGAGCTTCTCAAAGGCAGAGATCTTGGCCAGAGGAGGACTGGCAGGGGTTTGGCAGCACAGGAGAAAGCTGGTTTTATGCTGAGCGGTGGCATACAGCATGGCATTGTGGAAGGAGAGGTTCTACACCTGCCTGTGCCAGGAACAACAGGCATCCTGCTGCACGAGCCATCCAGGTGTGAGGGCTCTGTCCTGCCCACAACGGCCAGCCCACCTGCCTGGAAAGCACTGCTGCTGCTTGGGGCCAGCCATTCGATTACTCAGCATATCCTCTGTCCTCTGCTTTGTCTGCTGAAAAGGCCAGGGCTCTTTCCTAGGCCCTTCAGTTCCACAAGCTCGGGGCCCAGCTCTTTGGTGCAACTGTGTGTACTCCTGAAGATGGACATTTTACAGATGGCTCCAAATTGCTCTGTTTTCCCGCTGTCCCAAGCATCTGCAACAGCTAACACCAGGCTCAGGTACATTTTTGTGTTAGGGGTTGCACACAAGCAGATATCCACCAAGATTTTCCCCAACTAGTCACTACTAGGAGCAGTTACTCCTACTAGTCTTTACTGAGCCAGATCTTCGGAAAAGCTACCAGTTAAAATTCTGTCCTGGCCAGGTGCGGTGGCTCATGCCTGTAATCCCAGCACTTTGGGAGGCCGAGGCAGGTGGATCATGAGGTCAAGAGATCAAGACCATCCTGCCAACATGGTGAAACCCCATCTCTACTAAAAATACAAAAATTAGCTGGGAGTGGTAGTGTGCACCTGTAATCCCAGCTACTTGGGAGGCTGAGGCAGGAGAATTGCTTGAACCCAGGAGGCAGAGGATGCAGTGAGCCGAGATTTTGCCACTGTACTCCAGCCTGGCGACAGACACAGTGAGACTCCATCTCAAAAAAAAAAAAAAAAATTCTGTCCTTCTGTGGAAGGTTAGTGCCAGTACTCACTCCCTCTGCTGCCTCTATCGCCTTGCCTAGCACTGCCGGGGACTGAGTGGGGCATGTATCCTTCACTGCAGAAACAGTTCAGCCTGGTTCCATTTTGTCAGTAACAAAATGAAACGAAAAGATGAGCTGTTTTTCATTTGCAGTGGACACGAGGGTTGTAAGTCACATAACTTGAGCATGCCCAGATAAACCAAGCATGCCTGATTGGTGATGCCAGAGCCAACCAGAATGAAAAAGACAATCACGTGCAGAACCACATGCAGTCCATCGAGGAACGAGGTCCAAGTTAAGAAGCGAGGATGCCCTGTTTTGTTGCAGTACAAACTTAAAAGCCAAGAACCTAGCACCACCTCTTTGCATGACCCAGTCCAGTCACGCCTGTTGCAGTTTCCTATCTCCCTCATAGTTGTTCTCTGCCTATAAAACCTGCCCCCAGATCCCAGCCTGGGGAGACAGATTTCAGCACTGCCTCCTGTCTCCTTGCCAGTCAACCTTGCAATAAAGCTTTTTCTTTTCACAAAAGCTGATGCTATAATATTGGCTTCTATGCGTAACTAGTGTGAGCCCATTGCTCAGTGATACTTGCTTTCTAGAAAACCCAGAGAGAATCCTAATCTTTGCAAAAAGAAAGAAAGAGGGAAGGAGGGAGAGGGAGAAAGGGAGGAAGGAAAAGAAGGAAGGAAGGAAGGAAGGAAGGTAGGTCTAATCTTCACAATTTCTGCTTTTTTCCATTTTATACAACAAGATATCCATCTTTGCCAGTGGGCAAAGCTGTGAAAGAACACTGGGGAGAGGGAGGGAGGACACGGGTGTTAAAATCCAACAATAAATGCACATGGAGCTGGTGTTGGTGCGGGGAAGAGGAAAGGTCCGACCTCTGCTGTCCTAAGGAAAAAAAAAAAAAAATCCACCTCTTTAAAGTGTTTTTCCAGAGTTTTCATAATGTTTGTCCTAGTACTCTTCCATGTGAGAAAAAAAGTATATTAAAATATAATCCAAAAAATGGGAGTGTGTGAGAAATGCATTTGATAGCAAGTTATTCACCACAGTATTATCCACAATAATTAGAAATAAAAAATCTGCAATGTGGCCGGGCGCAGTGGCTCATGCCTGTAATCCCAGCACTTTCGGAGGCTGAAGCGGGCAGGTCACGAGGTCAGGAGATCGAGACCATCCTGGCTAACACAGTGAAACCCTGTCTCTTCTAAAAATACAAAAAAATTAGCTGGGCATGGTGGTGGGCGCCTGTAGTCCCAGCTACTCGGGAGGTTGAGGCAGGAGAATGGCGTGAACCCAGGAGGCGGAGCTTGCAGTGAGCCAAGATCGCGCCACTGCACTCCAGCCTGGGCAACAGAGAGAGACTCCGTATCAAAAAAAAAAAAAAAAGAAGAAGGAGCAAGATTCAAGCATCAAATATACATTAAACCCAATGTCACAGGAAGTAAACCTAGATATTCCCTGTTCTTTAATCTCTGTGTGCTAGGAATATGAGCAGTTGCTGTAATTTCTGCATTTGCCCCATTTCCCATTCTTCTCCTTCTTCTTCTTCTTCTTCTTCTTCTTCTTCTTCTTCTTATTATTATTATTATTATTATTATTATTATTATTTTGAGATGGAGTCTCGCTCTTTGCCAGGCTGGAGTGCAGTGGCACAATCTCGGCTCACTGCACCATCTGCCTCCCGGGTTCAAGCGATTCTCCTGCCTCAGCCTCCTGAGTAGCTGGGACTACAGGCGCACACCACTACGCCTGGGTAATTTTTGTATTTTTAGTAGAGATGGGGTTTCGCCATGTTGGCCAGGATGGTCTTGATCTCCTGACCTGGTGATCCACCCGCCTTTTCCTCCCAAAGTGCTGGGGTTACAGGTGTGAGCCACCTCGCCTGGGCTCCATTATTATTAAAAACAATCCTTGCTAGGTGCAGTGGCTCACGCCTGTAATCCCAGCACTTTGGGAGGCTGAGGCGGGCGGATCACGAGGTCAGGAGTTTGAGACCAGCCTGGCCAACATGGTGAAACCCCATCTTTACTAAAAATACAAAAATTAGCCGGGCATGGTGGCGCAGGCCTGTAATCCCCGCTATTCAGGAGGCTGAGGCTGGAGAATTGCTTGAACCCAAGAGGCGGAGGTTGCAGTGAGCCGAGATCATGCCCCTGCACTCCAGCCTGGGCGACAGAGTGAGACTCCATCTTAAAAAAAAAAAAAAAAAAGTCTCTGAGACACGGTGACAGAGAGGCTTCTATGGAGCCCTGAGGATGGGCTGAGGAGCAGACAGTGCTGTCGGCGGCTGACTTGCCGGTTTGGGATCCCCCAGGCCAGTGCCCTGGCTCACAGGAGTGGGGCCCGTCTCCAGGACCCAAGTCTGTGTCTTTCATGGGCTCACCATTCCAATATCTCCCTTGCCCTTTCCATCTAACCACTTAGGCCATTTTTGTCTCAAGGAAAAGCAATTGCCCTTTAACTACCAGCTTGTAATTCTTCAACACACCCACCAGATGCTAACCTGATATCTAGACAATTTGCCTTTTCAAGGACAAACCTTCAGGCCTCCATATAAATGCTCAGCCTCCTCTGCAGACCGACCCTGCCACCTGGGCTTGGCTGTTTGCCTGTGTTGATTTGACTTGTCCTTTTGGCCGATTACCCTCTGCCGGGAATTGTTCCTGATGGTGACATTGTAAACCACCAGTATATTATAGAGCTGGAGAAACACAGCGCCTCGTGCAGGATAGGCAACCTTTCTCTTGCCGAGCAATCACTTTGAACGTTTTGGAACTGGAAGAGGGCTGGTGTGAGGCAAATGGCAATAGCTGTGTGTTCCCGGGGCAGAGGGGCACGGTAGTGGGGGCACCCATAGAGACGATTAGCTGTGAATGCTTCCAGATTCCTCCTTAGAACTGCAGAATGGAAGGTGGTACATACCACTCACTAGAAATGGCTTATGTCCAGGACAGCCAAGACTCCAGAAGACAGTGCAGTCTGTGACCAGGGAAGGACCTGACCTGGCAGGGAGAGGAGCTGCTTAAGGAAATTGAGCCTGCCATGAGATTCATCTCCATAAACAATCCCCAGCTAGGAGATCATAACCCTGCTTTCCAAACAGAGCTGCTGTTTTCTACTGTTGCATAATTACACAGATCGCCCAACTGTTTGGGAGAGACCACACATTACTTTTCCAGTTGTGTAAATAGAAACGAGCCAGCAGCAACTAACTGAGCTCCTGGGGGTAGAAATGAGAAGAGGAGGGATGGTGAGGGATGAGCCTGCTCCCAGCAGGGCAATAGGGAGGCCACTGCCGCTGCCTTTGCCTGGAGAGCCCCTGGCAGCCTGCTCTGCACTCTGAAATCAGTGATAGGGCTGAAGGTTTTCTCCCTCTCTTTCTTTCCAAGCTCGAGGCTTTGTAAGAACTGGATCAGCTGTGGAAATAGTAACACTTTTTCCCTGTCCCCAAAACTTGCAGAGTTAGATGAACAAGGAAGGCAGAGCCCTCAGCCTTCTTGAAGGTTCAGACAGGGCAACTGATGCCTGGCTCCCTCCGCTCCAGCTCCGTGGGCCTTCACATATTCCAAGCCATTCTGTAAAACCCTTCTGCTGAATGAGCGCCTCACTCGTGGTCTTTCCTGGGATGTATTCAAGCTCTCTCTGCACAGACAGGCCTTGGAAGCTCTGCTCATAAACAGAAGCTGATGAAGCCAGCTCTTGGCCTCCGCCAAATCCACATGAGGGCTGAGACATCAAGAAGGGATTTATTCCCATTCTTGCTCTTTGCAATCATCAAAACAACTGTGGTATAGTTACTGATAACTCTTTGACGTGGGGCAAGTTAGGAAATGTGTGGAGGGAAGGTAGGTGGGGGATGTGGTGACTTGTCGCTCAGCGTCAATCTCCAGCATCATACCCCAGTTCTGCCACTGTCCACTCCAGGGCCTTTTTTTTTTTTGAGACAGAGTCTTGCCTTGTTGCCAGGCTGGAGTGCAGTGGCGCAATCTCAGCTAACTGCAACCTACGCCTCCTGGGTTCAAGCGATTCCCCTGCCTCAGCCTCCTGAGTAGTTGGGACTATAGACGCCAGCCAGCACGCCCGGTGAGGTTCTTGGTCTCGGCGTTTGTTTCTCCATTGACAATGTGGGGTCACAGTGAGAGGCCCTTCCTTCTCCATGGGTTGGTTATGAAGACTTGAGCAGCTGATTCACATAAGCACCTGCCATGCTATAATTGTTCAATGTGGCTGAGCACCGCAGCTCATACCTATAATCCTAACACTTTGGGAGGCTGAGGTGGGTGGATCATTTGAGGCCAGGAGTTCGAGACCAGCCTGGCCAACATGGTGAGACCCCATCTCTACTAAAAATAGAAAAATTAGCCAGGCTTGGTGGTGCGTGCCTGTAATCCCAGCTACTGAGGAGGCTGAGGCAGGAGAATCACTTGAATCCGGGAGATGGAGGTTGCAGTTAGCCAAGATTGCACCACTGCACTCCAGTCTGGGTGACAGAGCAAGACTGTGTTCAAAATAATAATAACTATTATAGTTGTTCCATGTGTTAATAATAATTAGCAATCACTTCTCTGGGAACCATGTAGGGTTAGGGTCAGATTTTGGTGAGATAAATCCTATACTGAGCCTCGTAGATAATGGGCACATAAGGGGGTCCTGGTGCGGTGGCTCACGCCTGGAATCCCAGCACTTTGGGAGGCAGAGGTGGGTCATTTGAGGTCAGGAGTTCGAGACCAGCCTGGCCAACACGGTGAAACCCTGTCTCTACTAAGAAACAAAAAACACAAAAGTTAGCCAGGCATGGTGGCGGGCGCCTGTAATCTCAGCTACTCGGGAGGCTGAGGCAGGAGTATCGCTTTAACCAGTGGACAGACAAGAGCCAAGATCGTGCCACTGCACTCCAGCCTGGGTGTTACAGAGTGAGACTCTGTCTCAAAAAAAAAAAAAAGAAAAAAAAGATAATAGGCACATAAGGATGACCAACATCGCAACACTGATTATTTCTCACTACAGAGTGCTTTGTCCCTAATAAAACAAGGGTTGTGAAGTGCCCTGTAAGGATGTGAAAAGTGACTTATAAATATTCATTTACTCTGCCTTCAAGAGAAGGGAGCCGAGGAACCTATTTTACTTCATAGATAAAATTTGTTGGGAAAAAATCTAAAAGCAGATTTTCAATTTCTGAATGTTACTAATCTCAGTAACATTATAAATGGAACTTTTTACTTTCACCTATCGATTTTCTGACTATAATTAAGTTATTTACCATTTGCATATATAGGGGGCCTGGAAAACTCTTATGATTATATGAATGTTTAATGTCTAGATATTAACATTCTACAGATGAAAAATGTCTGGAGCAAAAACCTTACCTGAACTCCAGTAGAAGGTGCTCTTCGGCTTGATGACATTCCTGTCTGAGTACAGCACCCACACTTCCAGATCTGCAGTGGAGGGAGTCAGTGAAGAGCTGACCAGCGCGGGGCTGACCTGCTCACACCGGGCACTTGCACGCACCTCCACCTTTAGACTGCTCACCATCACAGGGCCGCTTTCTGACCACTCAGGGAGAGTGAGGCGGAGACAAATCTTTACCCTGCCTGAGACCAGATTCAGTCTTCGCTCCCTGGATGCAATTGTTCTGAGGGCCACATTCCTCTGCTCACTTGTTTGATGGAGCAAGAACAGATCATCTAAGGATGCTGGAAAGGTTAAGGACCTTCCTGGAGGGCACTCGCTGTGTATCTCTGGTTAGGTTGGCGGTGACATTCACTCTGAGATGGCATGATCAGTAAACACACCACTTGGGGTGGGTGTTTTTGAGAACGTGTGTACAGCAGATTCAAATGACTGTCCTAGGCTCTGGGACCCCAAAAGCAAGTGTCCTTGAAAATGACTCAGGTGCTTAGATCTACATATGTGACACTGTGCTGAGTGTCCCTGTACAGGCCTGTACATGGCTTTAAAGTAGTACATGGCAGATGTGGCATAGAGCATACATAGATAATTAAAGCAAATGTATACTTCATGCTTCATGTCTGTATTTTTGCTTCATATTGTAGCTTGCTAAGTTGCAGTAAGAAAATACTACAGGCAGGATGTGGCGGCTCAGGCTTGTAATCCCAGCACTTTGAGAGGCGAGGTGGGTGGATCACCTGAGGTCAGGAGTTTGAGACCAGTCTGACCCATATGGTGAAACCCTATCTCTACTAAAAATACAAAAATTAGCCAGGTGTGGTGGTGAGCACCTACAGTCCCAGCCACTCAGGAGGCTGAGACAGGAGAATTGCTTGAACCCGGGAGGTGGAGGTTGCAGTGAGTCAAGACTGCACTACTGCACTCCAGCCTGGGCGACACAGTGAGACTCTGTCTCAAAAAAAAAAAAAAAAAAAGGAAATACTGCAGACAGGGAAGCTTGAACAGTATAAGTTTATTCTCAGTTTTGGAAGCTGAAAGTCTGAGATCCAGGTATGGGCCGAGTTGGTTTCTTCTGGGGCCTGTCTCCTGGGCTTGTAGATGCCACCTTCCCCAGGTGTTGTCCCTCTGTGTGTATCTGTGTCCTAATGTCCTCTTGTTTTAAAGACACCAGTCATATTACATTAGGGCCCACCCTAATGACCTCATTAAACTTTAATTACCTCCTTATTTTTATTTATTTATTTATTTTTTGAGACAGAGTCTCACTCTGTCGCCAGGCTGGAGTGCAGTGGAGCAATCTCAGCTCACTGCAACCTCCACCTCCCGGGTTCAAGCAATTCCCCTGCCTCAGCCTCCGGAGTAGCTGGGACTACAGGCACACCCCACCACGCCTGGCTAATTTTTTGTATTTTAGTAGA
The DNA here is from genome assembly GCF_000001405.40 of Homo sapiens. Lineage (NCBI taxonomy): Eukaryota > Metazoa > Chordata > Mammalia > Primates > Hominidae > Homo > Homo sapiens. Next base: position 47,607,105 of record NC_000007.14, on the reverse strand, counting down.
CACGGGGTTTCACCATGTTGGTCAGGCTGGTCTCAATCTCCTGACCTCATGATCTGCCTGCCTCAGCCTCCCAAAATGCTGGGATTACAGGCGTGAGCCACCAAGCCTGGCCTTAATTACCTCTTTAAAGATCCTATCTCACATTCAGTCACACACTAAGGCACTGTGGTTGGGACATCAACCTTGGGATTTTAGGAGGCGCAACTCAGCCCATAGCAATGTTCCAGGTTTCTTTTTCTTTTTAAAACACCATTTATAAATGTAGAAATTTTTTTTGTTTGTTTGTTTTTGAGATAGAGTTTGGTCTGTCACCAAGGCTGGAGTGCAGTGGCGCAATCTCTGCTCACTGCAACCTCCACCTCCCAGGCTCAAGCAGTTCTCCTGCCTCAGCCTCTGGAGTAGCCGGGATTACGGGCGCCTGCCACCACAGCTGGCTAATTTTTGTATTTTTAGCAGAGACGAGGTTTCGCCATGTTGGCCAGGCTGGTCTCGAACTCCTGACTTCATGATCCACCCGCCTTGGCCTCCCAAAGTGCTGGGATTACAGGCGTGAGCCACTGTGCCGGGCCAAATTTAGAAAGTTCATAAGCAGATGACAGACAAGAGGAGCCTGGGGAGGAATCCTAGCCTAGCAGTCTCCATCTTAATCAGAGACAGGCTTTACCCGCAGGTATTGACTGTCTGACCATCGCAACTGTGACCAGTCAGCACCAGTGTCCCAGGCTTGTTCATATTCAGCCAGAGTACCAACAGCCAGCAGAGAATAAAGCTGACTGGCCCAGTCACGGCGCTGCTGCCAATGCTTCTGCTCCAGCCTTCGGAGTCTTCCCTTACCCCACCCCTGCCACAGAACCCTCTTAATGTTCGTACTTTTGACAAGCCCTGTCCTACTGACCCCAGACCCCAGATTGCATTGGCTCCTCAGTGCCTTCTGTACCCTGAACTCACTGCACCAGCCAGTCCACCCAGGCAAAGATGCCATACGAGGCCCTCAGCCCTAATGCCATTTGACTTTATACCCAATACTGGAGAAAGCAGACTCTTTGCTCAATGTTTAATTTCTTAGTTGGAATTTCCAAACTTTCACTCCATTGCAGCACACAGGATGGAGGGCCCAGGGTTGTGAGTGAGTTTACTCTTTTTAACCAGAGTAGTACAGGCATCAGTAGGAAAGGGAATGAGAACCCCATTGCTGGAGACATCACTTTGCCTCTGCTATTTCATTACTTTCTCTTTCTTTCTCTTTCTTTTCTTTCATTTCTTTCTTTCTCCCTCCCTCCCTCCCTGCCTCCCTCTCTCTCTCTCTCTCTTTCTTTGTCTCAAAAAAAAGTCATGTTGGCCAGGATGGTCTCAATCTCCTGACCTCGTGATCCACCTGCCTCGGTCTCCCAAACTGCCGGGATTATAGGCCTGAGCCACTGCACCTGGCCTGTTTCATTACTTTTGTTTTTATTTTTTATTTTTTTTGAGACAGAGTCTTGCTGTGTTGCCCAGGCTGGAGTGCAATGGCGCAATCAACCTTCGCCTCCCAGGTTCAAGCTATTCTCATGTCTCACCCTCCCGAGTAGCTGGGATTACAGGTGCCTGCCACCATGCCTGGCTAATTTTTGTATTTTTAGTAAAGACGGGGTTTCACCATGTTGGTCAGGTTGGCCTCGAACTCCTGAACTCAGGAGATCCACCTGCCTTGGCCTCCCAAAGTGCTGGGATTACAGGCGTGAGCCACTGCGCCTGTCCTGTTTCATTACTTTCTAAGTAAGTCACCATCAGCTTCAGCAGTCTACCATAGGTAACAAATGGCTCTTCCTGAACGCATGTTGAGGACACTTTGAGGTCTGGACCCCAGCTCCTTAATCACGTATATGGAGTGGAGGTGCGCTGTTTACTGTAGGGCCTCACCAGGCTGGCTGTGCAGAGTTTACAGACTGACTTGCATGAAAAAAATTGGAAGGCTCACCCCAGAAAGGAATGTTGGCAAGAGAAGTTATTTACTTAGAGGTTGAACTCTAGTTTGGTCTTTGGGACTTTCCATGCTATTTGAAAGAATTCTGGCATCCCAACTATGTGGCAAGGGCTGACCAGGGTGAAAAACCTGCTTCATGTCACTTTAATTTGGAGAAATGAAATTTGCTTTACTTGGAAACAGTATCCGCAATTAAGCCAAGGAGGGAGGGCGGGGGTTGGAGAAGGTTTCACAGGGATAGCAACATCCAGAACAGCACTTCTATAATCTTTGAGGTGAGATATTTAGATGCCAACAGGTCCAATACTGCAAGAACATATCATTCACTCATTTATTGGAGACAGAGTCTTGCTCTATCACTCAGGCTGGAGAGCAGTGGTGCGATCTTGGCTCACAGTAACCTCTGCCTCCCAGGCTCAAGTGAACCTCTTGTCCCAGCTTCCTGAGTAGCTTGGGCTACCGGCATGAGGATGTCTCTACATATTTTGTGGATGATGTTTCTACATTTTTTGTAGAGATGGGGTCTCACTGTATTGCCCAGGTTGGTCTTGAACTCCTGGGCTCAAACTATCTGCCCACCACAGCCTCCCAAAGTGTTGGGATTAGAGGTGTGAGCCACTGTGCCCAGTCGAATATATAATTTAAGTCATTGGCAAGTAGCATGGGTTTTTCACATCATGAAAGTAATGTAACCCCACAGTGGGAAACTAGAAAATGAAGGAAAAGTCTAAGGTGCCTTAACAATTGCCAGTAATCCTACCCCCAAGGGACAATCCTGGTTGTCACCATTAACATGTTTACTTCTTGCAAGGTTCCTTTTTTTTTTTTTCGAGACAGAGTCTCCCTCTGCCTCCAGGCTGGAGTGCAATGGCACGATCTCCATGTGTCCAGAATTTATTCTTTCTGGTGGGTTCTTGGTCTCTATGACTTCAAGAATGAAGCTGCAGACCCTTGCAGTGAGTGTTACAGCTCTTAAAGATGTGTCCGAAGTTTGTTCCTTCAGATGTTCAGATGTGTCCGGAGTTTCTTCCTTCTGGTGGGTTCGTGGTCTCACTGACCTCAGAAGTGAAGCCACGGACCTTCGCAGTGAGTGTTACAACTCTTAACGGTGGCGTGTCCAGAGTTGTTTGTTCCTCTTGGTGGGTTCGTGGTCTCACTGACTTCAGGAATGAAGCCACAGACCCTCATGGTGAGTGTTACAGCTCATAAAGGTAGTGTGGACCCAAAGAATGAACAGCAGCAAGATTTATTGTGAAGAGCAAAAGAACAAAGCTTCTACAGCCTGGAAGGGGACCTGAGCAGGTTGCTGCTGCTGGCTCTGGTGGCCAGCTTTTATTCCCTTATTTGGCCCCACCCACGTCCTGCTGATTGGTCCATTTTACGGAGCACTGATGGGTCCATTTTACAGAGCACTGGTTAGTCCATTTTACAGAGCTGTGATTGGTGCGTGTACAATCCTTTAGCTAGACACAGAGCGCTGATTGGTGCATTTTTACAGAGTGCCGATTGGTGTGTTTACAATCCTTTAGCTAGACACTGAGGGCTGATTGGTGTGTTTACAATACTTTAGCTGGACAGAAAAGTTGTCCAAGTCCCCACTCAACCCAGGAAATCCAGCTGGCTTCACCTCTCACTGGCTCACTGCAACCTCTGCCTCCTGGGTTCAAGTGATTCTCCTGCCTCAGCCTCCCGCAGGTGCACACCACCACGCCTGGCTAATTTTTGTATTTTTAGTAGAGATGGGGTTTCACCATGTTGGCCAGGATGGTCTCAATCTCCTGACCTTGTGATCTGCCTGCCTCGGCCTCCCAAAATGCTGGGATTACAGGTGTGAGCCACCATGCCCACTGCCCAAGGTTCCTTCTAAGCATGTTTTTATCTATGTAAGCATGTCTTTTCTGCATAACTTTAGATTGTTTGAGCAAAATCTTCTAAGAAAATTTTTTGAAGCCATCATTTTATTTTATTTATTTTTTCCTGAGACAGATTATCGCTCTGTCGCCCAAGCTGGAGTGCAGTGGCACGATCTCTGCTCACTGCAACCTCCCCCTCCAGGGTTCAAGAGATTCTCCTGTCTCAGCCTCCTGAGTAGCTGGGACTACAGGTGTGCACTACCATGCCCGGCTAATCTTTGTATTTTTTTTTTTTTTTTTTTTTAGTAGAGAAGGGGTTTCACCATGTTGGCCAGGCTAGTCTCGAATTCCTAACCTCAGGTGATCCGCCCACCTTGGCCTCCCAAATTGTTGTGATTACAGGCGTGAGCCACTGCTCCCGGCCTGAAGCCATCATTTTCACCTTGCCAATCCCATGCAGGTTGAGTTCAAACCTGCCCTCTTAGAGTTCCTGTTTTGCTGCCTGGGAAATGGGAACAATTATAATTCCTGTCTCAATAGGCTATGTCTTTGACTGTTTGTGCTGCTATAACAAGAAACCAGAGACTGAATAATTTATAAAGAGCAGAAATGTATTTTATCAACAGTTCTAGAGGCTGAAAAGTCCAAGATTAAGGTCGCAGCAGGTTCAGTGCCTGGGGACAGCCTGGTCTGCTCTTCCAAAATGGTGTCTTATTGCTGCATACGACCAAGGGGAGGAACATGGTGTCCTTACAAGGTGGGAGGAACCAAAGGGGCCAACCAGGGAACTTACTCCCTCCACCAGGGCTTTTCCTAAGGGCATCTAATCCCATCAGGTTGTCAGAGCCTTCATGACTCAATCACCTCCTAATTAGGCCACACCTCTTAACACTGTTGCATTGGGGATTACGTTTCAACATGAGTTTTAGAGGGGACACAACTATTCAAAACCACAGCAGGCTATTCCTTTAAAACACAGAAACTGCTCCCTGACCATAGTGTCCTCAGGAAATGTTTTCTGATTGTTATATTTCTCATAATTATAAACAATGCTGCCCTGAACATCTTTGCACCTAAACCTTGGATTGTCTCTCTGATAACCTTCTTGGAATTGAATCCTGGCTGTAGTTTTACCAGTGTCCCATAGAGAATTTAAAGTAGAAGCTGACCTCCAGCCTGACTCCTCCCAGGCAGCTTCTTTTGCAGCTTACAGAGTCCATGCCCCACTCTGACACCTCTTCTGGCCAGGGTGTAAGAATGCAGGACCTCTGCACAGGAGCAGGTGGGGGGTGTCAACTTCTAACAAGGTGAACTTTGCTTTGTCAAATGTGTGCTGAGCAGGATCTGCCATCAGTTGGGCCTGAGTTTGTCGTCAGAGGGTCTCTCCATAGTGGGAAGCTTCACGGTGTTTTTCACCAGCTGCTTCTGAATCACACAGGTGGCTCTGAATCACACAGTGTGACATGACTGATTTCGGCAGAGGTCTCAAAATGCAGCTCAGATGTCACCATCTCCATGAGGACATCCCTAAACCCCTCTCAGTGTCAGTCATTTCCTCCTCCAGGCCACCCTGCACCTCTGTTTTACCTTCCATATCACAATATGCTTCTTTCCTTATGTGGCCGTCTCCTCCCCTGGTTGATGTCTTCCCCAATGCATTGGTGTGAATCACCTTCCCCCATGAATTGGTGTGAATCACCTTCCCCCCGTGCATTGTGTTAATGTACACACTGAACAGATTTCTTAGGCAAAGCTGTGAACCCCACCATCCCAGGGACAGGCAGCATCCACATTCTATTCAATGTGAATCACTCTTCCTGGGGTTGGGCAACATAGGGTAGCACTGATTTTAGTGCTCATTAAACCATTTGTTAAACTAATGTGAAATTGCAGAGAAACCTTCTGCCCTTCACCTTGAGGGTGGAAATTAAAGTCAAGACCCACTTAAGAGGAAAGGCCCTGGTGAATTACAACCACTTCCCCTTTTTAATTTCAGTCAACACTTTTACACTGGGACCAAGGGGGCACAAAAGTAATATCCCTTTGCTGAAGGTCTGCAGGAGTTATCATTGCATCCCTCTGAAGGGGACATTCGGAAGTGTGGTTTTGAGATGTCAAAATTTAATCATTGCTAAGAGTTAATGTGGCCTCAGCAGTAAATACACAGGCCCTGCTCCAAGCTGAACCCAGGGTGAATGGTCAGAAAACAAGTCAGGAGAAAAGACACTGGTGGAGGAGGAAGGAGCTTGCTCTGACCCGGAGAAAGAACTCAGTGCCCGTCTTGGCTCAGCACCCTGTCCTGCAGCCCCAGTTTTCTCAGCTGTGAATCACGCCAATAGAACCGTAGATTAGTGGTTTTCAGACTTTTTTAAAGAGACAGTATCTCATTATGTTGCTGTAATGCAGTTGAAACGGGAAAAGTTCCCTTGTCCTCTTCACAGGGCATGTGATGGGGATGTGGCTCACTTCTTTGGTGCCCCCCTGCTCACACCTCTAGGGGAGCATACAGACAGGCAGGTTGTGGGGCTCTGATGCCATGGCAGTGTCTAGGGGTGAATGTTTACAACTTCTGAAGCCCCAGTGGGCGTGTGTTACAGGGTGATCTTTTAGTTTGCCATCCATAGGCAGCTTGTGTTAGTCAGCTCAATTAGACCGTCTACCTTGTCTCAAGGACAGAGGGCTTTCTGTATCCCTGGGTTTCTTGCCTTGGTGTACTAGAAGAATCAGATCACACATGGGCTTGCAGAATGAGTGCAAGGTTTTATTGAGTGGAAGTAGCTCTCAGCAGACAGGGGAGCCAGAGGGAAATTGTTTTCCCCTGGAGTTGGGCAGCTCGGCAGCCCAGGCTCTCCTCAGACTGCCCCAGCCAAACTCCATGTCATTACACCAGTTGATGGCCTGCGGGCATGCCGGTGCCTGTCAATGTGCTCTTCTGCCTGCGTGCTCTCGACGATCAGCCGCTTGTGTCTTCTTCCACCTATGTGTTCCTCACAATGTCCAGTCGCTTGTGTGTCTCTGCCTTGTTAAGGTCTCAGTTTTTATAGGCCCAGGATGGGGCCAGGTGGTGGTGGGCCAGGGTGGTCTTGGAAATTGCAACATTTGGACGTGAAAGCAGAAGTGCCTGTCCTCACCTAGGTCCTTGGGGGTGAAGCCCTAGCCAGGAACCCGCCTTCTTCTACCCAGCTCTTCCCCTCTCTGCTTCTGTATCATTTAAAGGGACCACGCTCTTCCCTTCCCAGCACTCCCTTATCATATCCCCCCTTTAAAGAGGTACATCTAACTGCCACTAGAATATGGACGATGACCGGTCTTAGCTGTTTCCTGTTGACAGGGGCGTTGTTTTGGGGAAAACGGCAGTCAGACTCCTCCCAGAGGTCTATCTAAGGGTTCCTAGCAAAGGGGAGCCATCGTTTGAGGCTCCGGTTGCCTGACGGTTTGGAGTTTGAGGGTTTCTAGGCATGAGAGAAAAAAACAAGTTTTATAAGGTTAAGAATGCATGAGTTAAACATGTGTATTATAACAAGGAAAGAATTGAGTGCCAAAGATTACAGAGACAAGAAGTAAAATATACTAACAACAACATTGTACCCCAAGCTGTTTCATCCTGGTGAAAGAAATTAAACCTTGTATGGGAGCGGATAAACTTTAGAAGAGAGATAGCTGTTCTTGCCATATCCTTAGCAATTCACAGATGCACCCTGGGAATACCTGTATCTTGTCTCTCTTTCCTAGGCTTCCCTTTCTCTATTATAAAAGACTGAGGTAGCCACTTTCAAGAGGTCCTCTAATATACTGTCTGGTCCTAGGACCGGTTTTTGCAACTTCCTACTGATGTCAGGGGCAGCCTGAGTGATAAATTTATCCTTTAGGATTAGCCGTCCCTTGACTGAATCAGGAGATAGAGAGGTGTGCTTTACCAAGGCCTCTCTTAGCCTTTCCAGGAAGGCAGTGGGATTTTCATCAAATCCCTGGTCAATCATGGACAACTTAGTATAATTGAGAGTCCTATGTAAGCCCTCCATTATGCACACCTGAAAGTGTTTCCTCTTCTCATCTTCCATCTTGTCACTGGGATCCCATGTAGGGTCATTCACTGGTACTGCTTCTCTTCAGGTTGGATAATGTTCACCCCCTTCCCTGATGCTATATGTGACACAAAGCTCATCCCCAAATCTCTCTGCTGCTTGAAGAGCGACCTGTTTCTCAGTGTCCATCAGGGTCTGATTCAAAAGTAACATAACATCTCTCCAGGAGAGTTCAAATATTTGGGTGAAATTCTGGAAAGCCTCTATTTATCTATCAGGGTCATCTGAAAACTTGCAAAGATCTTCCTTAATTTACTTTAAGTCCCGTAGGGAGAAGGGGACCTGGACCTTACTGGGCCCAAATTCACTGGGCATTTGTTGGAGGGGCAAAAGTGAGACTGGGGCTTGTTTAGGGGGAGGATTTTTAGGAGTGGGCAAGTGAGACGCTGAAGCTGTAGAAGGAGGCAGGGGTGAACTTGGAGGAACAGGGTTTGAGGGAGCTGGCTCCTCTGCTGGGGGTGCCTCTGGCACTCGTGTCTTTACTTCCCTGGGCTTGCCCCTTGCAGCCTTCCTTGAGATGGCAAACAGGAAGGCTAGATCAATCCTACACTGTCGGCAAAGGTCCTTGCAAGGTACAGAAAGCCTACACATATGGAGCCTCAGACTACCTGCCCTCACATCTACAGAAAAGTTCCAATTGCCAGATTGTATTGAAATGAATGGTTCCTCCCTGAGGCCAAGCCAGTCTTTCCTGTGAATCATAATTTGGCCAAACCTTTGTGCAGAGGGATATGAGGCACTTTTCCTCCAGACTCTGAGAGTCCAAGCAGTTCCAGTGGTTCAGGATACACTCCAGAGGAGTATAAGCTGGGGGTGGTGAAGAGAACGGGTTGCCCATTCTGAAAGACAGGGAATAGAGGCATCCCTCATTCCCTTCCTTCTCTCAGCAAAAACTCAGGGTGTGATGAATAGAGAAAGCGAGCATCCTCCCTTCACTCTCCACCCTTTATCCCTGAGCCCCGGCAAACTTGGCAGGTGCCAGCCATGGGTACTGATGTGGTACGTATCCATGAAGCAGGGAAAACCTGGAGAATAGGAATTAACCGCCCTCACCTATGCTTCCCTTTCTCCCTGCTGTCGGTAAACTGAGTTCCCTGGGCCTGTTTATGCCATGAAGCATGGCCTTCTTCCATGACGTGTGGGGGTTTAGTCAGCAGGAATTGGTCCTGCCCGTTTACATCGTTCCTGTTGCCTCGCTTTGGATCCCTCAGACGTGGATTTCTTTCTAGGGCCTCTGCCTGAAGCTTGGAATCCAGTTTGGGACTGAAAAGATATTTTAGAGGCTATTTGTATGTGTTTAGAGTGTCTCAAATGTGCCCTGCCAAATTTGCAGTTCTCAGACAGCAGGGGTTGTTCCTCTGTTAACTTTCCTATCAGAAAGAGTGGGGGTTGTGGGGGGACTCTCACTTAGAAAAAGAAAAAAGAGAAAAACAATTTAAGGGGGAAAAGGGGAAGATTCTGGGGAAGAACACTTTGCTTAGTGCAACTGGGCCTTTCTAATCCTTATATTTTTTCCCTGGTTCAGACCATCTCTAATTCGTTGGCCAGGGAAAGAAAGAAAGCGCCCATCTGTTGGCCCTGTGGGAGTGCAGCTACTGTGGGTTCATGGCTACTGTCACAGCTTTCTCCCACACCCACTCATGGCCTTCTGTGGGCACACCTAGGTGCCTGAGCGAGGAGGGAAAAGGATAAGGAGAGGTGCCCTTAGCACTGCGTGCCTGTGCCTGTTGAGGTGGAGGTATACATGGCACCTCCAGGAACAATTGGTCTGATTTGCACCTTTGGCGTCTGAGCCTAATGGTCATTTTACTTAGTAACATTGCTGCAGCATGTAGCAAAACTCTTAACATTATAAAGGAAGAGATAAGAATCATTTTGAGCTGTGTGAGAGAAAAAAAAAAAAGTCTGGGGGTTTTCACTGGCCAGTTAGGGCAGAGTTTCTGAAGGGAATCAGCCTCTTACCTGCAGGAAAGAGAAAGATGGCAAGCTTTTGGAAGAGACGCAGACCCGACAGTTTCACATTTGTTTACACTCACCTTCCAGGATCCCGGGCGAGCCCCCAGTTGAAATGGGAAAGGTTCCCTTGCTCCCCTTGCAGGGAGTGTGATGGGGGTGTGACTCACTTCTTCAGTGCCCAGCTGCTCAAACCTCTAGGGGAGCATACAGACGGGCAGGCTGTGGGCTCTGACCCCATGCCAATGTCTAGGAATGAATGTTTATGGCCCCTGAAGCCCCAGTGGGCGTGTGTTACAGGGTGCTCTTTTAGCCTGCCATCTATAGGTGGCTTGTGTTGGTCAGCTCAATTAGACCCTCTACCTTGTCACAAGGGCAGAGGGCTTTCTGTACCCCAAGGTTTCTTGCCTTGGTGTACTGGAAGAATCAGATCACATGTGGGCTTGGAGAATGAGTGCAAGGTTTTATTGACTGGAAGTAGCTCTCAGCAGACGAGGGAGCCAGAGGGAGACTGTTTTCCCCTGGAGTCGGGCCACTCGGCAGCCTGGGCTCTCTTCCAGCTGCCTCGGCCAAACTCCATGTCGTTCTGCCAGTTGTTGGCCTACTGGTGTGCTGGCCTGCTGGTGCCTGTCAGTGTGCTCTTCCTTCGGCATGCTCTTGACAACCAGCCACTTATGTCTTCTTCCACCGATGTATTCCTTACAACATCCAGCTGCTTGTGTGTCTCTGCCTTGCTAGGGTCTTGGGTTTTATTTTTATTTTGTTTTGTTTTGTTTTGTTTTGTTTTTTGAGACAGAGTCTCACCCTGTCACCCAGGCTGGAGTGCAGTGGTGTGATCTTGGCTCACTGCAAGCTCTGCCTCCCAGGTTCATGCCATTCTCCTGCCTCAGCCTCCCAAGTAGCTGGGACTACAGGTGCCCACCACCATGCCCAGCTAATTTTTTGTATTTTTAGTAGAGACAGGGTTTCACCGTATTAGCCAGGATGGTCTCAATCTCTTAACCTTGTGAGCTGCCCGCCCCGGCTTCCCAAAGTGCTGGGATTACAGGCATGAGCCACTGTGCCCGGCCGGTCTTAGGTTTTTATAGACTCAAGATGGGGGCATAGTGGGCCAGGGTGGTCTTGGAAAATGCAACATTTGGGCATGAAGACAGAAGTGCCTGTCTTCACCTAGGTCTGTGGGGGTGGAGCCCTAGCCAGGGACCACGCCCTCTCAAGCAGCTAATACCACAGATGCTTGCCACCATGCTCTGATAGTTTTTAATTAATTAATTAATTTTGTATTTTGTAAAGATGAGGTCTCACTATGTTGCCCAGGCTGGTCTTGAACTCTTGGCCTCAAGCAATCCTTCAGCCTCAGCATCCTCAAGTGGCTGGATCTCTTATTTAAAAAAAATTTTGACTTTTAAGAGTCCCATAGCAGTAGCCAAATGGTCCACAGAAAGCTGAGGTGTAGCAGAGGCCATGACCTGCTGTGTTCAGATTCCTCCCAGCACTTCTCTTCCCCGCTTCCACATCATTTAAAGGGACCACACTCTTCCCTTCCCAGCACTCCTGTATCACAGTGACACAATCAAGGCTCACTGCAACCTCAAACTCTTGAGCTCAAATGATCCTCCTGCCTCAGCCACCCCAGTAGCCAGGACTATAGGTGTGTGCCATCATGCCAAACTCATTTTTTTTTTTTAATTTTTTTGTAGAGACAGGGTCTTGCTATGTTGCCAGGGCTATTCTCTAACTCCTAGCCTCAATCAATTCCTCCCACCTTGAGATCACAGGCATGAGCCACTGCACCTGGATGTGGCTTTTAAATAAGTAGAACCTTTTAGGCCATACGTGGTGGCTCATGTCTATAATTCCAGCACTTTGGGAGGCCAAGACAGGTGGATAGCTTGAGCCCAGGGGTTCAAGACCAGCCTGGGCAAAAATGGCAAAAGTTCATCCCTCCTAAAAACACAAAAAATTAGCTGGGCATGGTAGTGGGCACCTGTAGTCCAAGCTACTCAGGAGGCTGAGGCAGGAGAATTGCTTGAACTCGGAGGTGGAGATTGCAGTGAGCCAAGACTGTGCCACTGCACTCTAGCCTGGGTGACAGAGCAAGAGTCTGTCTCAAAATAAAAAAAAAGAATCTTTTAATCAACCAAACTGGCCAGGCACGGTGGCTCACACCTGTAATCCCAGCACTTTGGGAGGCCGAGGTGGGCGGATCACCTGAAGTCAGTAGTTTGAGACCAGCCTGGCCAACATGGTGAAACCCTGTCTCTACTAAAAATAAAAAAATTAGCCCGGCAAGGTGGCGGGTGCCTGTAATCCCAGCTACTTGGGAGGCTGAGACAGGAGAATCGCTTGATCCCAGGAGGTGGAATTTGCAGTGAGCCGAGATCATGCCCCTGCACTCCAGCCTGGGCAACTAAGAGTGAAACTGTGTCTCAAAAAAAAAAAATTAACAAAACTAAAACATACAGGAACCCCAATATTGGAAAGACGAATCTGTCTTTCCCATATATAAACATGTATGTTCAATTCAAAGTGTTTCTTCTTACACCAAGAAGGGTGAGGGTGCTGGGTCAGACACACACTCTGGTGGCCTGGGGAGGCAGAGAGCTGCAGGCAGCTGCTGTGGTTAATGTACCCCTCGTTTTGTTCCTGGTAGATAAGATGAAGAAAGCCTTGACTCAGGCAACCTGTAAGTTTGTGATTCGTTGTTATCACTTTCTGTGGCTTTCCTTTGCAGAATGAGGATTCTCTGCCTAAAATGAATCCTGAAGCCTGCAAGGCTAGGAAGAAGGTTTTATATTAATTGCTGAGACTATCTAATGGCTTGGATTTCATTTCATTTTATTATTTTGTAGCCACAGGGTTTTGCTCTGTCACACAGGAGTGCAGTGGTGCAATCACGGCTCACTGCAGCCTTGAACTCCTGAGCTCAAGCCATCTTCCTGCCTCAGCCTCCCAAGTAGCTAGGACCACAGGTGCGTGTCACCATGCTGCTAGTTATTTATCTATTCATTTTTGCAAAGATGAGGTTTCACTATGTTACCCAGGCTGGTCTTGAACTCCTGGCCTCAAGCGATCCTCTTGTCTCAGCATCCCCAAGTGGTTTGATCTCCTATCAAAAAATTTGACTTTTTTTGTTTGTTTGTTTGTTTTTGTTTTGTTTTTGAGACGGAGCCTCTCTCTGTTGCCCAGGCTGGAGTGCAGTGGCGCAATCTCGGCTCACTGCAAGCTCTGCCTCCCGGGTTCATGCCATTCTCCTGCCTCAGCCTCCCAAGTAGCTGGGACTACAGGCGCCCACCACCACGCCCGGCTAATTTTTTGTATTTTTAGTAGAGACGGGGTTTCACCATGTTAGCCAGGATGGTCTCGATCTCCTGACCTCGTGATCCACCCGCCTCGGCCTCCCAAAGTGCTGGGATTACAGGCGTGAGCCACTGCGCCCGGCCAAAAAATTTGACTTTTAAGAGTCCCATAGCAGCAGCCAAATGGTTCACAGAAAGCTCAGGTGCCACAGAGGCGCGTGGCCATGACCTGCTATGTTCAAATTCCTTTGCCATCTCCCAGCTTGCTCTCCGGAGCCAAGGGAGGGCAAGGTAAGGCTTCATCTTTTGTCCGTTGTAATGGGCGTTGGGTAGGTGCCTGATGCTGAGAAATTATTTACTGCTTCGCTTGGCTGGGGCTTTTCACTGGGGAGAGGAAGGTGGGACAGAGATAGGGGACCAGTAACTGCTGTGCCTCATCATGCTGGAACTCTGAAGATTTCCAGAGTGGAAGGAAAATAGTGGCATGATTGAATGTTTATTTACTTATTTAGAAATAAAAAGTAATGCTGCTGAAAAAAAAACAACCACCCCAACAGCAGCAATGCAGCAGCCTCTGTGGGCTAGCCCGGCATCAAAAAGACCAGGGCAGAGCTCCAGCTTCCTAATCAATGACACACTTCAAGGGAGTTCAGAGGCAGGCAGAGAGAGGGCGAGGGGACTTTTTTTTTTTTTTTTTTTTTTGAGACGGAGTCTGGCTCTGTCGCCCAGGCTGGGGTGCAGTGGTGCGATCTCGGCTCACTGCAAGCTCCGCCTCCCGGGTTCACGCCATTCTCCTGCCTCAGCCTCCCGAGTAGCTGGGACTACAGGCGCCTGCTATGTCGCCCGGATAATTTTTTTGTATTTTTTAGTAGAGACGGGGTTTCACCGTGGTCTCGATCTCCTGACCTAATGATCTGCCCGCCTTGGCCTCCCAAAGTGCTGGGATTACAGGCGTGAGCCACCGCGCCCGACCGGGACTTTCATCTGGGATCTGCAGAGTGTAAAAGTTGGCAACAGCCACGTTGGAGTGTGGTATGATGCTCTGTTTTATCATCATGTAAAGATGTAAATTCACGGCCGGGCACGGTGGCTCATGCCTGTAATGCCAGCACTTTGGGAGGCTGAGCTGGGTGGATCACCTGAGGTCAGGAGTTTGAGACCAGCCTGTCCAACATGGCGAAACCCTGTCTCTATTAAAAATACAAAAATTAGCCAGGCATGGTGGTGCGCGCCTTAGTCTCAGTTATTCGGGAAGCCGAGAAAGGAGAACTGCTTGAACCTGGGAGGCAGAGGTTGCAGTGAGCTGAGATCACTCCACTGCACTCCAGCCTGGGTCAGAGAGTGAGACTCTGTCTCAAAAAACAAAAACAAAAACAAAAACAAAAAAAAAAAACAACGGTGTAAATTCACAAAATAATCTGAGTCAGCCCTGGGGGGAGCCTGGGTTTTCTCCGGGTGCTATTTGGCAGCCTCTGAGCAAGGTGACTTTGGTCATTCTGGCCAGAAGGCCTTGAGAGCTACTGAGGCAGGTACAAGGGAGTAAAGTGGATCACGTACGTGTGTGGTCCGGCAAGGGCAGAGCTCCTTCCTTGCGCTTTATAATCTGGGCCACCCGTTGGAGAAACTCTTCTGCCCTTTGCATGGAAAGTGGATTTTCAGTGGAGATCCTTCAAAATACCTTCTCTGAAAACCATATTGTCTTGAGTTCAATGCTTCTGGTCGCCTCTCCAATTTTAAGAATATATTTGATTGCCACAGGTTTGCCCCCAAACCCCTCCTGAAGTCCATGTGGGTGAGTCTTGCGGAGCAGGGGCCCAGGCTGGTTAGGGCAGCCAGAGCTGTGATCTCAGAGCACGCAGTGCAGCTGAGGAATTCCGCAGATCAGAACGCTTTCCTTCAAACCCTTGGGAATATGCCCAGCTAAATTCTTGAACTAGTTTAAAAATCTGCAGATTTTTGTTTCCCAATGAAAAACAGTCTTTAACTACAAAAGAGGCTCAGGTTAATAATGCTCCAAGATAGCAAGGCACTCCCCTTAAATATGTACATTTTCCTTTCTCATGCAGTAAGTACAAAACCTGGAGGCTTTTTTTTTGTTTGTTTTTTAGCACATTCCTGGACCCAGCCCTGGAATTTAGAGGATCTGGGCTCAGGAATCTGAATGTTTAACCGCCCCCTCCTCCAATGTGATTTTCATGATCAGTCAGGTTTGGAATAAACACCTCGGGCAGATTTTTTGGCTTCGGGCGGAGCTAGGGAGGAGATGAAGCCAACTTCGGTAGCTTGCTTTGCTGCTGTCTTCTCTTGACAGCCCCTAATTCAGTGGTCATTATGTTTAGGGGATAAGCTGCCCCTGGGGTAGCACTGAGGGTGAGATAGTCATAGTGGCTACATTTGCACGAACTGCTCGACACAGTTCTAAATGGATCATAGAACATGTACTTAGTGTTCACAGCAGCCTGCTAGGATTGGTTCTGGTATCATCTCCATTTTTCACAGAAGAAGAAACTGAGGCACAGTTTCTCTGAGGCACAGAGAAATTAATGAACTTGCCAAAGCCACACAGTAAACACGCGTTCTGGCATTTTATGTTATTTTTATTTATTTACTTTAGAGATAGGGTCTCACTGTGCTGCCCAGGCTGGAGTGTAATGGCATGGTCATGGCTCGCTGCAGTCTCGAACGCCTGGTCTGAAGCTGTCCTCCCACCTCAGCCTCCTGAGTAGCTGGGACCACAGGTGAGCACCACCATGCCTAGCTATTTTGCCTACTCACATACTAATTATTGTTCATGTGCAATACCCAAGTCACATATCAACGTCATCATAGCTTGTTTCTCTTTGTTTCATAGATTGCTTTGTCCAAATTATCTTCTTGTTCATTGAAACCCTTTACAGTGAGGGAGATGGGGATTACTTTCTTGTTTTTTGTTTTGTTTTGTTTTGTTTTGAGACGGAGTTTTGCTCTTGTTGCCCAGGCTGCATTGCAATGGGACAATTTTAGCTCACCGCAACCTCCACCTCCCGGGTTCAAGCGATTCTCCTGCCTCTGGCTTCCGAGTAGCTGGGATTACAGGCACGCGTCACCACACCAGGCTAATTTTGTATTTTTAGTAGAGACGAGCTTTCTCCATGTTGGTCAGGCTGGTCTCAAACTCCTGACCTCAGGTGATCCGCCTGGCTCGGCCTCCCAAAGTGCTGCGATTACAGGCGTGAGCCACCGCCTCTGGCCGGCATTATTTTCTTTTCTCTTTTTCTTTCTTTTTTTTTTTTTTTTGAGACAGAGTTTTGCTCTTGTTGCCCAGGCTTCAGTGAAATGGCGTGATTTCAGCTCACTGCAACCTCTGCCTCCCAGGTTCAAGCGATTCTCATGCCTCAGCCTCCTGAGTAGCTGGGGTTACAGGCATGCACCACCATGCCCGGCTAATTTTTGTGTTTTTAGTAGAGACAGGGTTTCACCATGTTGGTCAGGCTGGTCTTGACCTCCTGACCTCATGATCCACCGGCTTCGGCCTCCTGAAGTGCTAGGATTACAGGTGTGAGCCACTGCGCCCAGCCCTGAGAAATAGTTCTTCTAATTGTCATCCAGTTTTCATCTGAGTCCTGTTGTTCTTTGGATATGTGTCCTAAGAGAGAGAAAGAAGAAGAGGGAAGGTGAGAAAGGGATAGGGAGAGAAGGATTGAGAAAGGGGGAGAGACAGTGAGGGGCAGGGGGAGAGAAGGAGAAAGGAGAGACAGGAAGAAAGATAAAGGGGAGAGAGAAAATTATGCCACTGTAATCTAAAGAGAGAGGAAGAGAGAGAGAGTGAGAGAGAGAGAGATGACAGAGGGAAGGGGGGAGAAGAAGGGAAGATGGAAGAAAGAAAGAAGTGAGAGAGAGAGAAAGAAAGAGAGAGACCATAAGAGAGAAGAGGAAAGAAAAGGAGAAAAAGAGAAGGAGAGGCAGAAAGGAAGAAAAGGCAGGGTCAGGGAGAGAAAGAAGGGGAGAGAAGAGGAGAGAGAGAGGGGAGGAAGGAGGGAGGGAGGGAGAGGGAGTGCCTGCTCACACAGGTGTCTCATGCCACTTCCACTCTGGCTGTCTTCCTGCTGTCAGATTCTTAGCTGCTCATTGCTCCCCCACAGGCTGTGCCAGCAACGTCCCAGGCCCAAGTATGGGAGTGAGCAGGATGCTGACCTAAGAACATCGCCACAGAGCTTTCTTCTCCAAGTCTAGACACAGCAGAGAACATTCTGGAATCCTACCCAGGAAACCAGAAGCAGACTCTTGCTATTTTTTTTTTTTTTTGAGATGGAGTCTCACTCTGTCACCCAGGCTGGAGTGCAGTGTCGTGATCTCCGGTCACTGCAACCTCCGTCTCCCAGGTTGAAGCAATTCTTCTGCCTCAGCCTCCCAAGTAGCTGGGATTACAGGCATGAGCCACCACGCCCGGCTAACTTTTGTATTTTTAGTAGAGACAGGGTTTCACCATATTGGTCAGGCTGGTCTCAAACTCCTGACCTCAGGTGATCCACCTGCCTCAGCCTCCCAAAGTGCTGGGATTACAGGTGTGAGCCACTGTGCCCGGCCTGGGTCTTGGTAGTTTCTTTTTTTTTCCTTTTTTTTTTTTTTGAGACGGAGTCTCACTCTGTCGCCTAGGCTGGAGTGCAGTGGCACAATCTCGGCTCACTGCAACCTCCGCCTCCCGGGTTCAAGCGATTCTCCTGTCACCTGATTAGCTGTAACTGCAGGTGTCTGCCACCACTCCCAGCTAATTTGTGTATTTTTAGTAGAGACGGGGTTTCACCATAGTGGCCAGGCTGGTCTCGAACTCCTGACCTCAGGAGACCCACCTGCTTCAGCCTCCCAAGTGCTGGGATTACAGGCGTGAGCCACCGCACCCAGCCGCTAGTTTCTTTTGATGGCACTTGGGGAATAAAATCTGGGTGTATCTAAGTGATAATGTTTACTTTGATTCAAGGAGTGTTTTTTAGTTCCTGGTGCGTATGAGGAAAACTGACACAACGGCAGCACTGAGGGAAGTTTAGTTAATGACTGTGGTGCCTGCAGTGGCATCAGAAGAGGACCTGAGCATATGGGGCCAGGCACTGTGGAGACTTGTGCATGGGGGCGGGTGGGCAGTCACTGGACTTTCCCCTCCTAGGTTCATTTCCTTGTAGAAAATGACATCATTTTTCAGAAAACTAGACAACTGTAGTCTTAATTTTTAGAAACTGGTATGTTGTGCAAAGGACATACAGCATGAAAGGTAGGAAGGGGTGTTGTGGAGATGAAAACCATTCCCAAAATTTGTGCGGCTCTGAGTCAGAGCCAGTCTAGACCAGAAGATTACACTCCATTGAGGTGATGGGGGGCAGCCAGGCAGGCTCCTAGCAGAAACCTGGTGGATGAGCTGGAGGTTTTCTTTTCTTTTTTGAGACGGAGTTTCACTCTTGTTGCCCAGGCTGGAGTGCAATGGCACGATCTCAGCTCACTGCAACCTCCACCTCCTGGGTTTAAGCAATTTTCCTGTCTCAGCCTCCCGAGTAGCTGGGATTACAGGCACCTGCCACCATGCCCAGATAATTTTTTTGTATTTTTAGTAGAGACGGGGTCTCACCGTGTAGGCCAGGCTGGTCTTGAATTCCTGACCTCAGGCGATCCACCTGCCTTGGCCTCCCAAAGTGCTGGGATTACAGTCATGAGCCACCACGCCTGGCCAAGTTGGAAGTTTTCTAGAATAAGCGGAAAGAGGCCCTTCCAGGCAAAGCGACAGAGGGAGCCAGCAGAACTGGCTTTTCCCTTATGTGGGGCTCCTAGCCGTCAGTCAGGTAGCTGCAAAGGGCTTTACGTTTCCAGTGGACTGCTGCCAAGTGGACATAAAACATTTGAATAGACATTCCCTTCTCCAATTCATAATTGTTTTTATTTATTAATTATTATTATTTTATTTGAGGCGGAATCTCACTCTGTTCAGGCTGGAGTGCAGTGGTGAGATCTCAGCTCAATACAACTTCTGCCCCTGGGTTCAAGCAATTCTCATGCCTCAGTCTCCTGAGTAGCTGGGATTACAGGTGTTCACCACCAGGCCCAGTTAATTTTTGTGTTTGTAGTAGAGACAGGGTTTCACCATGTTGGCCAGACTGGTCTCGAACTCCTGACCTCAAGTGATCCTCCTGCCTCAGCCTCCCAAAGTGCTGGGACTACAGGCATGAGCCACTGCGCCCGGCCCACAAAGCAAAACCACAGAGCCCTAAGCCAATGATCTAGCTGCTTTGGTCTATATTTCTGTGAGTACCCCTAAGGCACCAGACCCTGTGGGACCAGCGGTCACTCTCAGGCCAGGGCGCCTCTCAAGGCTGGTTGCACTCACTCCCCTCTCCAGCCAATCTCCAAGGCCCGCCCAGGCTGACGGCACCTCCCAAACAGCCGTGGTTTGCCAAGTTCTCCTTATGCCTCAGGCACTGTGCTAAGAGCTTCAGGAGGGCAATCTCGCCCAGTTCTCATAAAGTCCATGTGGCTTTAGTTTTAATACCCTCATTTTACAGGTTAGAAAACTGAGGCTTGCAGAGGTGTTTGTGATGCAGCTCCAGGATTCTTACTAAAATCTACCTGAATTTAAAGGATCCAAGTTTAGCCATTCCACCATCTGGCCCCCTCCTGCATGTTTCTCCAGCCTAAGCTCTTGGCAGCCTCCTGTGGGCTCTCTCTCACCACCTGTCTTTGTCCCCTCTGGCCATCTCCTTGCATTGCCTGGCACAGGCTCAAGCACTGCCCCCTCGCACCGACACCAAGCTCTTACAGGGCTTCCCGCTTTGCACCTGCAGCCTGCCCCTCCTCCACCCACATGGCTCCAGGAAGGTCTGCCTGGCAGACTCCTGATTCTCAGGCAGCCCCTGCAGAGAGCCCTCCCCAGGCTCCCTCTCCTGTTCCCTTATAGCTATTGGGAGACATCTGTCATGATGTCATCAGAGTATCACTGCTTTCCAAGAAAGGCCTTCCTACTGGGCAAAGAATGGGCTGATTTCTACCAAGCTGAGTGATCCCCATCATTGGAGTCAGTCAAGCATGTGTTAGGGGTAGTGAAGGGGCCATTGACTGAAGGTTCTTGCAGTCGGAAAAATCTGGAATCTCAGATCCAACCAGAGTAACCAATGTTGACTTCATTCAGGCTCTGTTTTTTTACTGCAGTGATCCTAGAAGCAGAGGGCCATGGGGCTGGCACAGGGCACGAAGTCCCTGTAGGTATGTTAAGAAGAAGAGCATGGGCCGGGCGCGGTGGCTCATGCCTGTAATCCCAGCACTTTGGGAGGCCGAGGTGGGCAGATCACCTAAAGTTGGGAATTCAAGACCAGTCTGACCAACATGGAGAAACCCCGTCTCTACTGAAAATACAAAAATTAGCCGGGCGTGGTGGCACATGCCTGTAATCCTAGCTACTCAGGAGGATGAGGCAGGAGAATTGCTTGAACCTGGGAGGCGGAGATTGTGGTGAGCCAAGATTGCGCCATTGCACTCCAGCCTGGGCAACAAGAGCAAAACTCTGTCTACAAAAAAAAAAAAAGAAGAAGAAGAAGAAGAAGAAGAAGAAAAAGAAACTGAATCTGCATCCATGCAGTGGGCATCCACAAAGTGGGCTCCCAGGGTCCATGTTTGTAGAAGTTGGTGTGCAGGTGCAGTTTTTGGAAACAAGGTGCTGTATTAGGGTTCTCCAGAGAAACAGATCCAATAGGGCATATGCAGATCTATAGAAGAAATTTAATTAATTAATTAATTCATTTATTTTTGAGACAGAGTCTCACTCTGTCGCCCAGGCTGGAGTGCAGTGGCGCATTCTCGGCTCACTGCAAGCTCCACCTCCCGGGTTCACGCCATTCTCTTGCCTCAGCCTCCCGAGTAGCTGGGACTACAGGCTCCTGCCACCACGCCTGGCTAATTTTTTTTTTGTTTTGTATTTTTTAGTAGAGACAGGGTTTTACCGTGTTAGCCAGGATGGTCTCGATCTCCTGACCTCGTGATCTGCCCGCCTCGGCCTCCCAAATTGCTGGGATTACAGGCGTGAGCCACTGCACCTGGCCTAGAAGAAATTTATTATAGGAATTGGCTCACACAATTATGGCTCACACAACTATGTCTGCAAACTGAAGACCCAGGAAAGTTGGTGGTGTAATTGCCAGTCTGAGTCCAAAGGCCTGAAAACCAGGAGCACTGATATTTGAGGGCAAGAGAAAATGAATGTTCCAGCTCAAGAAGGAAGAGGAAGAACTCACCCTTTTTCTGCCTTTTTGTTCTACTTGGGCCCTTGAAGGACTGGATGGTGCCCACCCACACTGGTGAGGATGGATTTGCTTTACTCAGTCTACCCATTCAAACGCTAAGCTCTTCCAGAAACACGCTACCCACACACCCAGAAATCACATTTTACCAGCTATCTGGGCAACCCTTAGCCCAATCAAGTTGACATCTGACATGAGCCATCACAAACACCAAGGTTATGTAAATTCCGAAAAGGTTCTGAGACACGGAAAAGCTCAGGTGCCTCTAGCCAGGCCTGGCAACTGTAAAGCCCACTTTGTTGAGCTGTAGGTGAGGATTCGTGTGTTTGGGAAGAGAAAAAGGAAGAGAGGAAAGGGCCAGGTGTTCTAGTAAGAGTCTCAAGGGACTTAGTATCTTTTTTTTTTTTTTTTTGAGACAGAGTCTTGCTCTGTCACCCAGACTGCAGTGCAGTGGTGCGATCTCAGCTCACTGCAACCTCCGCCTCCTGGGTTCAAGCGATTCTCCTGTCTCAGCCTCCTGAGTAGCTGAAACTACAGGTGCGTGCCACCACTCCCAGCTAATTTTTGTATTTTTAGTAGAGACGGGGTTTCACCATATTGGCCAGGATGGTCTCGATCTCTTGACCTTGTGATCTGCCCTCCTCGGCCTCCCAAAGTGCTGGGATTATAGGTGTGAGCCACTGCGCCCGGCCGAGACTCAGTATCTTAAGGCAAAACACAGGCATTTGCTCATGTTCCAACTCCACAGTTCTCTGAATGCGCTGTAGAGCTTTGTAACTCCATCCTGTGTAATGTTTCCTGCTGTCTCTTTCAGTTGGTCTTTGGGAAATATTTTCAGTGACAGAAAGTAAGAAATAAGGAAAAATATCCAAGTCCTTGCTCATATACCTCCCTTGATCTAGGGATACAAATTCAGATTTTTGCGGTGGCAAAGACAATCTTCATTGCAATGACAAGCTTCCAACACATCTTCTAAAACTCCTACAGGGGAGGAGCAAGAATGAGTCTGCAAAGAAGGGCTCAGGGAGGAAGGAGATTGGCGGGAGTTTCTTGCCCAGACTCCCCTGCCCTCTGCTTGGCATACTAGGAGGGAGAGGCCACTCTTGGCATATTGCTGCTTTTTTTTTTTTTCAGCTAAATGTTGGAGACTTTTGTTTTCAAAGTTGAGTTTTTTTTGGATGGCTAAGGATGGAAAAAATGCACATTCCCTTTTTCAGATACTGGTTCATGCCCTGTTTTTGTTTAATTTCTTGGAAACTTGAAGTTGCAGCCTGCGAAGTGGGGAGGCCCTGGGCTGGGGAAGCGAAGCTCTGGAAGGGGCCCAGGTCCCGATTGGGGATCCAGAGAGGCTTCCCTTCATGTGCCTCTAGACGAGGTGTGGGGAACCCGGGGAACAGCCATCCCAGCCAACACAGAGTGCGTGGGGATACTGGAGCCCGGTTTTTCTTCTCCTTTCTTGGGACACTGCCAGGGAATATAACCACAGACACTGCACGAATGAGCACCCAAGTCACAGTTTTTCTAGAAACAAAGGTGTGGTTGGGGCATCCCATTCCATTGCTACCCCAACAAGGGCAGTGTGGCCGGTGGGGCCATCTGGCTTGGGTGTGGGTAGCAGTTTGGAGAGATTTTAGAAGAGGCTCCCTGACAAAGGGTCAGAGAACCCCAGCACTGCACTGAGTTTTCCTGACTGTGAGCTCTCAGACAAACAACAGTGTCACCTCCTGTAAATGGGTGCCCTAACACTGCAAGAAGCTCAAATTCATGTTGTCATTCAGCCAACATGGTTTTTGGCATTATGATGGTTTCTGTGATGCACAGAATAGCACGTAATTGGCTCTGGGTGTGAAGATCACCACGGTCTTAATGGAAGAGAGGGTTGAGCAAAGTGATGATTTAGTCCAATTGCACAGAGTGGATGGTGTGGGCAGGCAGCTGGGAAGAAGTTAAGAGTAGCCTCAAGGCCAGATAGTCCTGATCCCTCCCACTTTCTTCGCCTGACCAGGTGGGTGACCTTGAACAAGTTGCCTAGAATGTCAGATCCTGTTTCCTTATCAGGACAAAGGAGATCGTAACAGTACCAGCCTCACCCCCATTCCTAACCCAGCTGGCTGTGACCTCCTCCCCACCTTCCCCTATGGCATCTTCCCTGGCACCCCTTGACTCATCTCATTGACTCTTGACCTGGTGTCTCCTAGAGTGTAGGAAAAATGCCTGCCTCATCTCTAGGGGCTGGGGCATGGTGCTCATGAAGCCTTTGCCTGGGAATAAATACCCAGATCAGTCTGGGGATGAGAAATGACACTACCTTCCAGAGCACAGCAGGGGTTGTTCAAGTCTTCCAGAAAAGCAGCTCTTGTTTCTCCTCATGTGGTGGGAGTGGAGTCAGAGCGTGGCTCAGGCCCCACATTCTCAGCTGTTTGGATCTGGGGACTCGAAGTTTCTGGTGGTTACTTCTGAAAGTCTTTTCCAGGATAATTATTCTTGCTCGGTTTCTCTGCCATCTCTGACAGGCTGTTTTCCCTGCTTCCCCCGCTGCCCTGAAGGGGCCAGAGGAACAGGGCAGGACCCCAGGGCTGCGGATGGGTTAGGCAGCTCTGTTCCCGAATCCAAAGCAGTTCTTGGTGACTGTCCTCCAAGACTTGCCCTGGACCCTGCTCCGGGTGGGATTCTGAGACCGCCTGCTCCACGTGGCAGATGAAATCTAGGTCTCTTCTGTGAGAGGCTGGCGGGGAGGATGTTTTCCTGGAAAGGACCACAGGACAAACCGCTGATGAAATTTCTCTTGTGACCTCCCTGGAGGAAGAGCACTTCTGATTTCTGCAAACTTTTTCCATTCCCCCGATCTCACAAATGGGGAAACTGAGGCTAAGCGACTGAGTTCAGGGCCATCTGAATCTCAGGGATGGACAGTCAGGATGGACAACCTATAGGCCTTTCCTCCTCTGAGAATCTCTCTGCTCGGGATCGTTTTTCTGGTTTCCCCTGGCTTGCCTAAATTCTGCTCATTTGTCCCGGCGCATTTTAAGAAGTCATGTGACTTCTAAAGACTTCCCTGACCTCCTCCCTTCATTAGCTGGGTATTTCAGGGGCTTCTACGGCACCCTAGGCTTTCCGGAGCGGCTGTGCTCCTTTATGTATGCGCGACTCCCACTAGGCTATGAGCTACAGGAGGGAGGGTAGGTCTTGCTCCCGGAGAGCACCTTAATCACAGGCGCTGAATGAAAGAATGAACTGGTTGTGCAGGAACCAGGATCCGAACCCGCCT
This sequence comes from Homo sapiens, assembly GCF_000001405.40. NCBI lineage: Eukaryota > Metazoa > Chordata > Mammalia > Primates > Hominidae > Homo > Homo sapiens. Next base: position 47,582,432 of record NC_000007.14, on the reverse strand, counting down.
CCCCAGGTACTCTAACACCGGCCCGGCGGAACCTGCAAGCCTCCAGACCACTTGGAGCCTGGGCTGCTCAATGGGTCTGATAATTCCAGGTCCTCTCTGCGGCCAGCGAAGGGAGGTCCCAGGGCGCACCTCGGCAGGGCGGGGGACCCCGGTGAAGGGCGCCTGGAGGCGCGCTGCATTGTTAGGGTGATGAGGCCAGGTGACCCGCCAGGCTCGGGGCGCGGGCGCGGGGGCCGGCCGTGGCGATTGCCCGCGCCGCCTCGAGGGGGCCCTGCCGCGGGCGCCGGCAGCCAGCCAGGAGGACGGGCCCGCCCGCGCGCTACTCGGAGCCCAGCCTCGTTGCGGCCATCGCCCTGCCGGACCGCGCCTCAGGCTCCCCCAGGTACTGGGGCCGGGGAAGGAGGAAACGCGGCCACGCGCCGCGGTCCTCTTTGTTTCGGGCCCGGCGCGGGCTTTCGCGCTCCGGGCGCAGGAACGAGGCTTGGGGAGCACAGAGATCTGGAGCTGGGGCGCGGGGACTGAGTTCGGGGAGCGCGGAGACAGAGTTCGGGGAGCGCGGGGTACGGGAGCTCAGGGCGCGGGGATGGGGTCACGGGAGAACCCAGGTTAGGGAGCGCGGGGACCCGGTTGGGGGCGCACGGGCAAGGGGTTTGGTGCGCGCGGGTACGGGGTTTGCGGCGCGTGGGGGGCGGGGGCTCGGCAGGAGTCCCAGGACAGGGGCTGGGGCGCGGGCCAGCTTCGCCGGAGTCCGGGGACGGGGGCGCTGACTGGCTGGGTTTGGGGACTGGCTGGGGCGCAGGACCACTCGAGTGGGACCCGTGGCGCCCGGGCGCCCTGGACTGAGGGCAGAGACCGGAGCAGCTATGTCGCAGTCGCTGTCGGGACCGAGCGGACTTTGCTCCCTAGGACTCCGTCTCGAGACTCCAGGTGGAGAGCGCAGCTAGGGGCTTCAATGGGCAGGCTCAAGACCCTTCTCCTACTTTTTCTAGGCAAGCTCTCCAGTGCGTCTCTTTCCCTTTCCCTTTGGTGGGTGGGAGGCAGGGGGTCTTTACGCGCTTCCTTTTTTTCCCTGAAGGACGGGACCTCGGGGTGGGGGGATATTCTGGGGTGGGGGGTGCTGTCCCAGGCTGGGGGCCAGCTGTGTGGCATGTGCCTCCTGGCACGCGGGAGCTGTCGCTGACAAGCAGGAGGAGGGAGGGTCCCGGACGGCCCAGGGGTCTCTGTGTCGGTGCTGTGCAGCGGCCTGACATGTGAGTCCCGGGTCCTTTGCTTGGAGTGATTTGAGTGTCTGTGGCGGGAAGAGATTCAGGCGTTCCTCAGGCATTCTCCAGACAGTGTCAGCAGATGACCCGAACTCCAGCGTGGTTGAAAAACTCAAAGCGCCATCAGGGTGTGGGGCCAGCAGAGAGCACTACTGAGGGTGGTCACAACCCCCTGGGAAGCCCCCAGGCTTCCTTGGGGCGCATTCACACACTTTGATCTTCCGGGTTGGCTTTCCCCCCATTTTTTTCACTATTTGAATGCATGATCATGGAGGACTCTGAAAATATACTGAAAAGTATGAATGCAGAACTCATTGTATTAATATTGCATGGCCCTTCTGAACTAACCAACCCTTTGACATTTTAGATTTTCTTGAGGCTTTGGTCTGTGCATATTAATTTTTTAAATTGCTTTCATGCTTTCCCTTTTGAATGAGGTTTACTTGTTCTGGTGATTCTGGTTCTTCTCTCTTTGGGGCCTGTGAGGTTATATTTGCAAATCAATCAACAAGTATTAAGAAAGGCTTTTCTGTGCTGAGGCCTTGAGGGCCAGGGAGGGGGTGGGGAGTCGCTGCAGCTGGAGGGTGGAGGGGCAAGGCCATTACACAGAGATGGAGGTGCACTGGGTCCTGGTGGGGGTGTGGTAGCACAGGGGGTGGGGGGTGTGTACACAGGGAATTGACAGGAGGAACTGGCAGCAAGCCCGACTCCTGACCTTAGGAATAGTAATGGTGACCCCGAAGACAAAGTAACAGGCATACCGATTGAGTGTTTGCCTGTGCTAAATGCTTTGCATGCATTCATTTCATTTCACCCAAATTACATTCCTTGGAGGGAGTTGGGATTATGATTACCCCATTTTACAGACGAGTAAACTGAGGCAAAGGAAGGCTAAGTAACTTGGCCGAGATGAAATGAAACATGGTGGTAGTGCAGCCTGGGATTCTGGGACAGGACTCTAGGGTCCCAGACCCCTGTTCCTGGCTGCTGCTGCGCGTCTGTCGACTGAATTCTAATGCATGTCCAGACAGCGATTCCTCAGCTGAGGCTGCCATAGCTATCAGCAGCTCAGCTGAATTATGTCTTTAAAAAACTACCAAGATAGAAAAACTAGTAGCCCCAGGGCACTACTTATTCCTGAATGCAAATTGATTTTTTTTTTTTTAACAAAGTGTCTCTTTGGCACCTAATGTTTTGAAAGTGAGCTGTTTGCAAATGTGACTCTGGAAATAAAGGGCAGGAGAGGGGGTGTCAAAGTATGCTCTTCCACTGCAGGAGGTGTTGCTGAAGGGGATAGCAGAGACCTGAGGAGGAGGCAGTATGGCAAGAACAGTGAGTGGAAGGGCTGACCTACCATTTGGCAGTCGCAGCTTATATCTGCTTAGGACTCTACACAAGGACCCATTTTACAGATGAGTAAAATACCAAGTAAATTCTTAAAGTCTGGGAACAGTTAGGGATCTGAATGAGCCCAGTTCTCTGACTCTATGTGCCCCATTCCTTTCTTAAGATCAGCCTGTTGTAAACCACCCCTGTTCAGGGGAAGCCTCTTGTTCCCTCCCTGTGTCCCTGTGTATGAACTTGAGAGGGGGAGGAACTTTCCACCTTCCTGAGGGCAGAAAGCATTGTTTAGATCCCTGCCACTTACTAGGAAGCCAGAGACATTTGCTGAGTGCCTCAGCAGCACGCTTAGAATTGAGGCTTCGAGGCTTCCTCACAGCGGCCCCCATAGATTTCCCAGGGAGGGGCCTCCTGTCTTGCGGGTTGATCTGGTGGGTTTGCCCCATGCAGCAGGAGCTATCATGGGAAGGGTGGGTCTGGGCGTCTGAAGCTCTCCAGGAGGTCAGCTGACCCTGGGACCCCGGGTCCTTCCTGTAGGACCCCAGAAATCACTGGGGAATCAGCTAACCCCTGCAAGCTGTGCCTGGAATGACCTAGAGCCAGTCCTGTCTACCTAGAATCCTCTGCTGCTATCCTTGTTGATCTAGAATGAGGGATGCTGGTTAGTTGGTTAATTAAGTAGGTGGTTGATTAACTTAGTTACTCTCTTCCTCACAGCAAGAGTATTAAAAACCATCACAACATGGAACACAGTTCTTTCTTTCTGCCCCCACAGTGAAGGGCGTGTTGCGTGGCTTCATCTTCACAGGGATCATGGCTCACAGTTGTGTCGTTTCCACGCTGCCTCACTGCTCCTAAAACGCTGAGACAAGAAAAATCGCTGCCACCAAAATGCTGCTGAGCAGGACTAAATTCTCCTAGATTGAGGGCGTTTTGAATCTTAGAGTATGTTGAATCCGGATGCAGGCCCGTGTCCTGCCGTGGGGCTTTTCGAGTGCAGCTCGGGCAGGAACAGTGGTTTCCTTGATGTCTATCCGTTTCTCGTAAAAGCAGAAAACTAGACTCTCCAAGTTTCGTGAGCTTTCTGTTTGTACTCTGTGACTCAGGAATGTGTTTGGTACACATCCATCACTGCAATGTGGGATGTAGTGCTGAGCTCAGGGTCCCTCGGGTGTCTCCATTGTCTGCATGGCGGCATCTCCTGTCCTGCTCAGTGTACTCCAGGAGCACCGTGGCCCTCTAGACACACCTCTAACCACCGCCCCCCCCCAACCCCCTGCCCCATGCACCTGGCGCAGCTCTACCTGGTATCCCTCACCTGTTGCCTCCTACCCTCGCTGGGAGTTGCCTCTGCGAAACAGGAGGGAGGAGGCCAGTGAAAATGAGGGTGACTGAGGATGGGGGCCATCAACTTGGGGATGAAGCACTGCACACAATTTAGGGTCCCTCGGAATGCCTCACTGTGTCAGGGAAGGGGAGGATTCTCACATGCTTCTTTTTATTTTTTTATTTTTATTTTTTTGAGATGGAGTCTTGCTGGAGTCCAGGCTGGAGTCCAGTCGGGCCATCTCAGCTCACTGCAATCTCTGCCTCCTGGGTTCAAGCAATTCAGCCTCAGCCTCCCAAGTAGCTGGGATTACAGGCGCATACCACCATGCCCAGCTAATTTTTGTATTTTTAGTAGAGATGGGGTTTCACCTTGTTGGCTAGGCTGGTCTCGAACTCCTGACCTCAGGTGATCCACCTGCCTCGGCCTCCCAAAGCGTGGGGTTACAGGCGTGAGCCACTGTGCCCGGCCGATTTTTTTTTTTTTTTAGAAGGCAGTAGTCTACTACTCTTTTGTCTCCTGGGCAAAATGAATGAAAGATTATACTGAAGGATTCTATGTCTGTGATCTAGAAAATTCCCTCTGGCAGAGGGAGGTGCTCCCAGAGCTAGGGAAGTGCTCCTCAGAGCCACCCCTCAGGGGAGAGACCTCTCTGTCCCTGTCTCCACCCCAGCGCTGGGCAGGAAGCCCTGGGAGCCCTCTGCAAACAGCCCGCCAGCTCTCAGCCTAATAACGCGGCTAACAAGACCCCCTTCCTTTTACTACTCAAGTACCCAAGGTGGCTTGGGCACTTTCTGTCCCTAGTCTGATCGTTGCTGAACCGTGCATGTATGCCATCCTGATGGTCTCCCTTTTCTGGAAGAGAGCGCTGAGACTTAGCGAGCTCAAGTAACTTGTGTGTGTTGTGAGGATACTGAGCCTTGGATCTGAATCCCGGTCCGTCAGCAATGCTTGGAGTTCTTGCCAAGATGAGGGGTTTGTGCAGTCCCCACCCACAGCCCAGCCCCTGGAGTGGCCAGGCCAAGGCTCAGGAGCTGCGGCGTGCCTGCTGTCTACCTCAGCCAGTGCGCCAGCCCCAGCTGCTTCCTCGGACCCCAAGGCTGGGCCTTTCTTTACTCTTCCTTCCTCCCTCAGCTCTAATTATGGTTCATGTTAGATTGTCTGCCCTTCCTCTTCCTCTTCTCTTTTGGGGAAAGATAATAGCACTTAATACGCCCTTTGCAGGCCTGGCTTTGTTTCTAAGATATCAGAAGAATCTTTAGGAATCTTTCTTCCAGCTGCCCAAGCGAGCGGCAACCTGTCGGCACCCAGGAAGGATGAATACGGGTGCCCTGCTGACGATTACAAGTGCCACTCCTAGCCAGGCCATGCCCCTGGGGACACCGGGGACACCTCCAGGTGGACTAAAGTGTGTCACCTCCTTTCATTGTGTCTTGGCAGCCACAGTGTGACGTGGCACCTCTTGTGTGTAGAGTTTATGAAACTGCTCCTGAAAAGTAGAGACCAATTCGTTGATGCTTTGAATACACTGGAATACACTCGTGGCGATACTGAAAGAAAGAAAGTCCTCGGGAAGTGTCTGGCCAAGGCCGTTCACTGCCGTCTGCAGTTGCTTTTCTTTTTACAGGAGAGCCCGGGCTCTGCTCCAGGCCCTGGGATTATTTCTCGCTGGAGGATTCAGGAATCTGCGCTCTCCCCATCACCCTGGAACACAGCTGCAGTGTGTAACATTTCACTCACTTGGAGCCACACAATAAAAGGCACAGGCCCACATCTGGCTGTGCAGGGCAGGCGGGCAGGAGAGTGGGCCCTGGGGCACACTGGGCCATTAGCAGGGGCATCTGCGTCCTGGCCTGTGCACATTCCTCCCTGGAGCGCCGGGCTGGCTCTGCAAACAAAGGGGCCTGGTCCTGGCATTCTTCTCCACCTTGTAATCCATCACCTTTCTTAGAGGTGTCCCTGGGCGCCTACCCCTTTCATCACTGGCCATTTGGGAGGTAGATCAAAGGTACGCACAGGAGGCAGTGACATAGGCCAGGCTCTGGCATCCCACAAACCTGGGGCAGAACTGTCCTTTGTCCTGAGAGGTCCTGGGGTTATTGTGACTGTGTTTGTCATTTGTCACCTGCAGCCTGGGGTTGTCGTTCCTCCACAGGTTTGCTCCTCCACTGGTTCCGGAGCTCAGGGGTGGGAGCCACGTGGGGTTTTGTTTCCTCCTTTTGGGCTCCAGGCCCAGTGTACTTTGGTCCTGCTGAATTTCCATGGCCCCAGGGGCCTGAAAAGCACCTTGTGGTCCTTCTGGAGAACCACTTCCTCATTCTTGGAGGTGCTAATCTGATCCACTGGGAGGGAGCTGTGTGCTAAGTGGTTGACACAGGGGAGGCCAGCGTGATAGAGATGAGTTTTTCTCCAAAGATCAAGGACAGGTGTTTCCAGTTTGTCTCCTCTGGAAAGACCTGCAGAGCCGGGTGGACAGGGCTGGAGGAAAGGGGGCCTGTGTCCATGTCTTGGGTAGGTGCTAAGGGAGACAGGAGGGCTCTACGTGGGTGAAGAATGCATTTCTCTCTTGTCCTGCACGCAGGAGGGAGGCACATTTTTTATCTGTATTACTCGGAGAGTAGCAGAAGACTCTCAAGTAATGAGCATATTTTTGCTGCTTTTTTTTTTTTTTTTTTTTTTTGAGGCAGAGTCTCACTCTGTCACCCAGGCTGGAGTGTAGTGGTACAATCTCAGCTTACTGCAAGATCTGCCTCCCGGGTTCACGCCATTCTCCTGCCTCAGCCTCCCAAGTAGCTGGGACTACAGGCGCCTGCCACTACGCCTGGCTGCCCGGCTAATTTTTTGTATTTTTAGTAGAGACGGGGTTTCACCATGTTAGCCAGAATGGTCTCGATCTCCTGACCTCATGATCCGCCCTCCTCGGCCTCCCAAAGTGCTGGGATTACAGGCGTGAGCCACCGCGCCCGGCCGTATCTTTGCTTCTTAATTTGCTTTTTGACTATTTTTCTACAAAATAGTTTTCTTGTAATATGTGCTCATTGTAGACTTGGAAAAGATAGAGAAATGCTAAGGAAAAAGGAAAAAATTCCTTCTAATATCACCTCCACAGAGGTTCATATTTTAGCCTTCTTGTGTGCCATATGTTTTCTGTGCTTTTTTAATTTACCAAGCTGAGATCATACCATATGTATTATTTTGTATCCTGCATTTTAAAGTCAATGTGGCAGTATAAGCATTTCCCAATCCAGAAATAGCTCTGCATAAATATGACTGCTGATGACAGTATAGTACTCCAGTATGTGGATGTACCATGATATTTGGACTTCACTATTTGTTCATTGATCATTTACATCCTGTGTTATGCTTGCACATAGGTCTTTGGGCAGATCGTAGCTAGTCATGCTCTTGAAAGGATTTCTAGCAGACTCTTTGGCATCAAAGAATACAAACATCTTTTTTTTTAAGCTTTGGTAAAACATGCATAACATGAACTTTGTCGTTTTAATCATGTTTAACTGCGGCAGTTAGGCGACATTAAGAACCTTCACGTTGTGCAGCCATCACCACCCTCCAGCTCCAGAACTCTTTCCATTTTGCAGAACTGAAACTCGGTGTCCCTTAAGCACTAACTCCCCATGTTCCCCTCCCCCCAGTCCCTGGCAACCACCATTCTACTTTCTGTCCCTGTGAAACGGACTACATCGGGTGCCTCATACAAGTGGAATCATACAGTATTTGTATTTTTTGTGATTTGTTTATTTCACTTAGAATACTGTACTCAAGGTTTCATCCATGTTGTAGCATGTGTCACGATTTCTCTCTTTTTAAGGCTGAATAATACCGTGTGTGTGGGGGTGTGTGTGTGTGTGTGTGTGTCTGTATGAATAGCACATTTTGTTTATCCATTCATCTGTTGATACACTTCAGTTACTTCTACCCTTCGGCTGTTGTGAATAATGCTGCTATGGACATGGGTGTATAAGTCCCTGCTTTCCATTTTTTTTTTGGTGAGCACAAGCTTTTTGGAACTCCTTAGTATATATGGTCAAATTGCAGTTGAGACATAGGGTGCTGGCTGGATTCTCACGGTGTCCACCCGCTGTCCTTAAACATGGCTAGGTTATCACCCCCAGGGTAAAAACCAGGCCTGCAGGAAAAGGAAGAGGGAGACTTCTTACCAAGCTATTTTGACAGATTGTGTAAACTCTGTGATTAATGGGATGAGAAAGCAGGAAGAATGTCTTTCATTTAAAAAAAAAAGAGCCTTCGGGGTTGCTTGGTTTTATTTTCAATTAAAAGGGTCTGATTTTGTTTCTGGAGAATGGTTTTAATTTGGATAAATGGTTCAGTCTGGGAACCACATGCCAGAGCCTATGATCTATGAGTGCAATTACTCAGGGTTTCCTCGGCTGCTTTTCTGAGGGAACGGTCCAGAACTGGGCTCGCTCTGGTTTGGCTCTGTTAAAACGTCGATGCAGGCCCTGGGCAGTTGGAGTGAGGCGGTTCTTGTGATCAGTCCTTGAAGTGCAGCCATAATGCCCTCCCCATAATGCCTTCCCCAACTGATGGTGGTTAATTTTTACCCTCTAAGAATGTGTTCACAATTCCAAATCAGGAATGTCAACAGCAGGCTGTCGTTTTCCCCTCCTTGGAACATGTTGAACCAGAATTACTGGCATCTTTTCCAACGTGGGCATTTGCAGAATTGGTGGGATTTGGGGGCTCAAGGAGGAGGCAGACTCATCCTAATGTTTCTCCTCTGGATTACTTGAGGTCCCTGGCCGGGCAGGCCTGCAGGCCCAGAGACGGGGTGGTGGGTTGCTCTATCTGGAGTCAACTGGTGTTTCTTTCCAAGAGGATGCTGGGCTGGGGGAGGTGAGGGACTAAATCCTGGGCGACTTTGCAGAAGGACCCGTCGCGATGGAGGGGCAGCGTGGGCAGAGGCCCTGGGCAGGGCCACCTGCTGTGTTCTGGAGTAGCAAAGGGGATTTGCAGAAGGCAAAGAAGAATACAAAGACACAAGGTAGGGTGTTTCACCCTTTCGGAGAACTGTGGCAAAGCCCTGGACAACTTTCCATGGCGCTTGTAGATTTGAGACCAATGCCCCAGCGACCTAGCGGGCTGGTGGGAGGCAGCGTGGAGGGCGGCAGGGTGTCCCCAGGGTGGGAGGTGGAGAGAGTCTGCACAGAAATTTCCAAGAGCACAGCCCATAAGGGAAGAATAGGCTTGCTCGTGAGGTGGGTGAAGGCATTGCCCTGCTGGCTTGTATCAGGGCGTTGGCTCCTGGGTCCTCAACAAAGGGCATATTAGCATAATGAATAGTTAAGTTACTTGGTTGGGCTTCAGTCCTTGGGGCCGTGGTCTCTTTCCGAGGGAAGGACTGGTGGGTGGGCCCCACCTCTGGAGATCCAGCCTGCATTGGGACCACGTGGTTTGAGAAATGTTTTCCCAAGCCTGGGCCACACGTGACCCTTGATTTCTGGGGCAGCCCTGGTGGCAACTCCCCACATATCCCTGTGAGGCCTTTCTCATTTTCCACTGGCAAGGATTCAGGTGTAACCAGATTATTCTGATGAAAAATTTGAGTGAGACAGGTAACCCGCAACACACAGAGTTGCTATGTTTTGCTCTTTTTTTTTTTTTTGAGACGGAGTCTCGTTCTGTCGCCCAGGCACGATCTCAGCTCACTGCAACCTCCCCATCCCGGGTTCAAATAATTCTTCTGCCTCAGCCTCCATAGCTGGGACTACAGACGTGTGCCACCACGCCCCGCTAATTTTTGTATTTTTAGTAGAGACAGTGTTTCACCATGTTGGCCAGGCTGGTCTCGAACTCCTGACCTCAGGCGATCTGCCCGCCTCGGCCTCCCAAAGTGCTGGGATTACAGGCCTTAGCCACTGCACCCGATCATGTGTTGCTCTTTAACTCCCCACCCCCACCTCCATTAAATAGGAATAATCCAAAACATAGGTCATCGAGAGCATACTGTGCTTTTAAGGCATTTTGCTTATTATTAGTAGAGATTTTGCGACAACTGGAATGGTGTTTATTCACTTTTTAAAGGCTCACTCTTCTCACAGGATAACAGAACACACGATCATTCATTTTCCTCTTCCCACGAAGGTGTTTGCAGCAGTGGGCGTGAGAAGCATAGTGTGTGTGTGACTACCGCGCGAATGGTTCTCCCAAACCTGGATCCCGACCTAGGCGTTGCCGTTGCCGGTCTCTGGGTGTCACCCTCCCATTTATGACTGTAGTGACTTCTCAGAACGCCCTGGAGGGATGGCCTTACTCCAAATGGTCCCTCGGCTGCCGGGCTATTTGTGAGTAAAAGATGTTTGTCAGTGCTGCTTCTTTTAGAACATGCCCATTCCACATCAGCTCAGCTTGTCGGGTGTCTGGTTGTCTGTGCGGAGCCCATGGGGAGGTCTCTGCAGCCTCACACCTAGCAGTGAGGTGGCCCCTCTGCGTGGTCATGCCCTGCGGAGTTGCATTCCTCTCCCTGATGGCTGGCTGCCAGGACCTGTGGGCCCTGGCGGTGAGAGGAGTGGGAGGTGCTGTGGCTCCTGCCAGGCTAGCTCTTCACAGACTGGGTTAGTTCTTCCAAAGCATAGTTCCCTGGGACACCACGCACGGGGCAAGCACAGCTGTGTGGCCAGCGGCATGCTGACAGGGCTAGACACGCACTGGGCCGCTTAATGCCGACCTTGGCCTGTGAGTCTGTGACCAGGACTCTTGGTGAGCGGCCAGCTGGGGGCTGTTGGTGCTGAGTTCAGCTTTGTAGCCAAAAAGGTTCCAGCTGATTTCCAGACAGACCCGGCTTCCGTTTTCAATGCCAAGATGAGCTGGGCGAATGAGTGGGAGCGGACAGAGGCTTTTGGCCGACTGTGATCGCTATTGTCTGGAGTCCCCTTGACCCTCTGGAGGTACTGCCTCTCCTTTCATTTGTACACACTGGTTTTTCTGCACGGTTTCGCCTCTTGTCAGCTCTGGGGACACCAGCTTTTCCGTTTCCCATACTGCCAGATGGCTTTGAGCAAACAAGAGGAAGTCCCCAGCGTGGGTGCAGCCTGTGGCTGCGTTGTCCTGCCTGTTTACCCTGGGGGTGAAGCGGAAAGGGAGCAGGCTTTGCAGGAACCCAGGTGGCACCCCTTCTCGTCCCTGCCACTTGTTCTCTTTGTGGCCCTGGGATGGTCCCCAAACTTCTCTGAAGTGGTGCTGAAAACTGTGTTGATAGCACGGACCTCACTGAGCTGTTAGGAGTAGCTGTCGACACTGTGTACCCGAGGTTCTTTCCAGTGGAAACCAGGTTAGCCTTCGATTCCTTTTCTTTCATCTGTGGTTGGTCACCCTTTTGAGAGCTCTGACCCCAAAAGAAGTGTTTTTCAGATTGGCCCAAGTTCCTCCACGTTGGGCCCCCCAAGACAGACTGACTGAGAAGGGAGTGGAGCTGTGGGCCTCCTGAGTCCTTCCCAGGCTATGTCCCTTCCAGAGTGGTCCAGGTGGGACGCTGACTACCAGAGGCCTGGCCCTCTGTTCTGAGGCCCAGTTAGCCATGGCCTTCATCTGCTCACATTCTGTGGGATTGGGTTGTGTAATTTTCGTTGTATCTCTCTGTCCTCATTAAATCTGAATTCCTCCAAGGACAAGAAGGCTGCTGCTGCTTAAAAAAAAAAAGAAAGAAAAAAAATGATAAGAGCTTTAGAAGGAGCTTAGAGTTAGCTACGTGTACTTGCCAAGGTGTGACATCACTCAGAGCCTCCATTCCATCCTCTGGACAGCCAGGGGCTGGCCTCCCAATCCGGTGCTCACTGGGCACACTTCACTATGGGAGGGGATAGTTACACATCTAGATGAAAACATTCTAGAAGTGATTGCTTACGAGGAGAGAGGGAAATGCCGGCACATTTTCCCAGGCTTTTGTTCATGTTTTTATTAGGGCCACAACTTTCATTCTTGGAGTTTTGCTTTGTAAATTATTCCTTTAACTTGCAGAAGAGAACCATTTACAACTCATCTTACAGACTTGAGAATCTAGCCTACTGATATTTCCTTGGAAAATAGCCACATTGCAAGTTGTTGTGTTATTGAAAGTTGATGACAAATGTCCCCAGGAGTCCATGCAGGTTTCCTGAGAAGAGTTGCACCTACGGAGCTGTGACTTCAGCACAAAAGAATATTCTTTCTGGACAGAGTGTGTTGTGGGGTTTGTTTCCTTCAAATCTGTACTGCCAAATGGCAAGAATCATTTCCTTTTTCTTCCTCGGAAAATGGATTCCAGTCTTGATGCAGAGCCACCAGCACTGTGTAATCCCTTGTGTAATGTTTATTTATTTATTTTTTCTTTTTATTGAGACGGAGTCTCGCTCTTGTCGCCCAGGCTGGAGTGCAATGGAGTGATCTTGGCTCACTGCAACCTCCGCCTCCTAGGTTCAAGTGATTCTCCTGCCTCAGCCTCCCAAGTAGTTGGGATTATAGGCGCCTGCCACCACGCCTGGCTAATTTTTTATATTTTTAGTAGAGGGGGGGTTTCACCATGTTGGCCAGGCTGGTCTGGAACTCTTGACCTCAGGTGATCCGCCTGCCTTGGCCTACCAAAGTGCTGGGATTACAGGCGTGAGCCACCACGCCCGACCTATTCTTTTTATTGAGACAGAGTCTTGTTCTGTCACCCAGGCTGGAGTGCAGTGGCACCATCTCGGCTCACTGCATCCTCCACCTACCAGGTTCAAGTGATTCTCCTGCCTCAGCCTCCCAAGTAGCTGGGATTACAGATGACCATCACCACGCCCAGCTAATTTTTGTATTTTTAGTAGAGACGAGGTTTCCCCATGTTGGCCAAGCTGGTCTCGAACTCATGATCTCAGGTGATCCACCCACCTTGGCCTCCCAAAGTGTTAGGATTACAGACGTGAGCCACCACGCCCCGTCCCTGTGTAATATGTATGTATGTGTGTTTGTGATAGAATCTCACTCTGTTGCCCAGGCTGGAGTGCAGTGGCGCCATCTTGGCTCACTGGAACCTCCACCTCCCTGGTTCGAGCAATTCTCCTGCCTCAGCCTCTCGAGTAGCTGGGATTACAGGCGCCCATCACCACACCTGGCTAATTTTTTAAATTTTTAGTAGAGACGGGGTTTCATCATGTTGGCCAGGCCGGTCTGGAACTCCTGACCCCAGGTGATCCACCCTCCTCGGCCTCCCAAAGTGCTCGGATTACAGGCGTGAGCCACTGCGCCTGGACCCTTGTGTAATATTTAAATGCAGGTTTTGTTCTTATAAAGATGTTGGGCATCCAGCAGACTTGTCCTGGGAAAATGTCTCCTCTCCCCCTTTTTGCTTTGTGCTGAGACCCCCAGATCGTGTTCACAAATACTGCATCGGGGACTGAGTGCACGTAAGACACTAGCCAAATTTTGGAGAGATGTTTGGGTTCATATAATACATAGGCTTCGTGCCTGAAGCACATCAATTCTCAGATGAGCAACTGCTCAGATCCCTGCCTGGAGGAGGAGTGGGTGTGGTGATGGCAGCCACGCTGTGAATACTGTGGGCTTTGTTCACAGCCACAGTGAGGAGGAGATAGTGTGTCCCGGTACAAGTTATCGCTCTATCAGCAGATCCATCTGTCCTTCCTCAAAGAGGCTGCGGCCCACTTCAGGGCCATTGTGTCAAACAGTTGGCATTTGGCCTTGGCCCTGGGTAAAACACATGGCAGGGTATCACGTGGGTGCCACTCACGACTCCCCCACATCTGCCGGGGTTTCCATAACGCACTGTTCTGTTTGCAGCTGCACGAATGCGATATGGCACAGCAGCCGCTCATAGACCTCAGGCTTGTTGCCATGCATAGAAGATGCACACCGCAGAGTGGAGGCCGCAGGCAGGGAAGTAACTGGCATGAATTATTGACTGTGTGTGAGGCCCTGTGCGGGGAGATTCACTTGTTCCTTCCTTTATTCATTCATTCACTCACTCATTCCTTTCATGCAGCTCATGTTCAGTGAGTGCCTGCTGTGTCTCAGATACATTTAACCCTCACTAACTCTGTAGAAACTGAGGCTCAGAAGGTGAATGCAGGGCGAGGTAGCTTGCCCACCATCTCAGCTTGGACATGGCAGGGCAAGGGGCTTCCGATCACGCCTCTCAGACCCAGAGTCTGCTTGTCTCCATTCTGCCTGCTCTGGAGCCCCCAGTTCTTCCAGCTGCATCTCGAAGGTGAAGGAAGACGATCCCGTGGCCTGCTCAGGACTATGTGCCTGCTGCTGTGGCCTGGCTCGCCTCTCCCTACCCTCTCCTGCAGGCCCCAGGGTCCTCTGGAGTCCAAGGCTTAGTGTTTTGAATCACTGGCCTTTCCTTTGAGAAAAATGGGGCTCCCTGTGCCAACTTTTCAAGAGCTTGATGGCAGGGCAGCCTCTCAGAGGGTCTTGGGGGAGCTCCCAGAGTGGAGTTTTGCCGGGGTGCCTGTGGGTACAGACAGCAAAGTGGAGGCAGCTTAGAAATCAGCATGTCACATTGGGCTGGAGAATCAGCCGGATGCCCGAGCCTCTTGTTTTAGGGGGCGACTGGCAGAATAAGTCATGTTAGGCCCAGCTTGTTCCTTATTACTGATCGATGTTACCTACGAGGGATGTACCACAGTTTACTCAACCACTCACCAGTTGCAGGACTTCCAGTTCATGAACATGATATATCTTTTCAGTTATTTAGATTATCTTTCATTTCTTTCATTGGCATCTGTGTAGTTTGGCATACAGGTCCTGTGTGTGTCTTCAGATTTACACCCAAGTGTCTCACTTCTTTTTTTTTTTTTTTTTTTTTGAGACCGAGTCTCGCTCTGTTGCCCAGGCTGGAGTGCAGTGGCATGATCTCTGCTCACTGGAAGCTCCGTCTCCCAGCTTCACTCCATTCGTCTGCCTCAGCCTCCCAAGTAGCTGAGACTACAGATGCCCCCTGCCATGCCCGACTAATTTTTTGTATTTTTAGTAGAGACGGGGTTTCACCGTGTTAGCCAGGATGGTCTCGATTTCCTGACCTCGTGATCCATCTGCCTCGGCCTTCCAAAATGCTGGGATTACAGGTGTGAGCCACTGTGCCTGGCCTCACGTCTTAAAGTGATTGTGAATGGCCTTGTATTTTTAATTCTGTGTCTGTGTATTCATTACTAGTACATAGAAATGCAATTGACTTTTGTATGTTTACCTTGTATCCTGTGAGTTTGCAAAGTTTTGTTTTGTATATTCCTGGGCATTTCCCATGTAGATAATCATGACATCTGAAAATAGGGACAATGTTATTTCTTCCTGGACTTTGCCTTGTAGATTGTTGCACAGTATGAATTTGTACGGTTCTTCTCTCCTCATTAGATTCAGGATAAGCAGTTTTTAAAAAATGATTACATATGTGTGAGGTACCTCTACTTGCTTGCCTCACATTAAGAGATGGAATGTCTTTTTTTTTTTTTTTTTTTTTTTGAGATGGAGTCCGGCTTTGTAGCCCAGGCTGGAGTGTAGTGGTGCCATCTTGGCTCACTGCAACCTCCCTCCCTGTTTCAGGTGATTCTCCTGCCTCAGTAGCTGGGACTATAGGCACACACCCACCACGTCCAGCTGATTTTCTGTATTGTTAGTAGAGACGGGGTTTCACCATGTTGGCCAGGCTGGTCTCGAACTCCTGCACTCAGGTGATCCACCTGCCTGGGTGTCCCTAAGTGCTGGGATTACAGGCATGAGTTACCGTGCCCGGCCATGAGATGGAATGTCTTTTTGTCCTGCTGTTGGCCCGCTAAGTCAGATCACTTGGTTGAGACCCGATTCCCTTCTTACCTTTGATACTGCCTCCTAACAACTTTCAGCCATTTTAACATACAAGGATGGCCTTTGCCTGAATCAGTTATTCCCTTAGGAGTTATGCAGTGGTAGTTCTTAACTGTTTTTAAGCACTTTAGAAACACTATTGTCTTGCACATAATCAGACTGTTACTTAGCAATCCCTTTTGCTTGGGGAGCAAGCTCTTCAGAGTAAAAGGGAGAGTAGAGGGGGAGAAAATCGTATTTACTTTGTTGATTCCATAGGCAGTTTGCAAATTTGACAAAACAAACATGTGTGCCTTTTCTCAAACCCTGACTCTGTAAGAGCACCCTGAGTACCTTTGGGCAGCACGCTATTGTAACTGCAGTGGAAACGTGAATGTGGCTGCCATCACTGCCAAATGATAGATGCCTGCCCAGGCTCACCTACCAGCCGGGCAGCTGCTTGGGTGGCTCTGTTGAGGAGTCCATGTTTTTGGACGAGTGCTATCTTAAGTCAGCAGTTCTCACAGTGAGGTCCTGACACCAGCATTAGCATCCCCTGGAAACTGTTAGGAATGCCAGTTCTGGGTTCCACCCCAGACAGACCTCCTGCGTCAGACACTTTGGGTTGCGGCTCGGCAGGGTTTAGAACCACTCATCTGGATTAATCTTTTTTCCAATATGTATACTAATCTGAAACCCCAGTGAAGCTGTTAATTGAGATGTCTTTAAAGTTCCATGTGGCTTTGCAGTAATCCACGCATATCATGCCATCAGACTGTGGCTGGTTGCTCTTCCAAAGCCTCCCAGCGCCCGTGTGAGGAATAAGCTGCATTTACAGTTCTCATACTTAGGAGAACTCCTTTTAGCTCCCTGAACCCCCAATGTGAATTTTTGCCTAAGATTAAGAAATCCAGCAGAGTGCGAAATTGGAAAGCGAGGTTGGTGTTAACTAGTGTAAATTTGTGCGTATTTTCAGCATTTGTTTATATTTAACTTTGTCCCCCACCTACTGGCTTATTACCTTAAGAAATAAAAAACTGGCCAAGCGTAGTGACTCATGCCTATCTATAATCCCAGTAATTTGGGAGGCTGAGGCGGGCTGATCACCCGAGGTCAGGAGTTCGAGACAAGCCTGGCCAGCATGGTGAAACCCCGTCTCTACTAAAAATACAAAAAATCAGCTGGGCATATGGTGTGCGCCTGTAGTTCCAGCTACTCGGGAAGCTGAGGCAGGAGAATCGCTTGAACCTGGGAGGTGGAGGTTGCAGTTAGCTGAAATTGCACCACTGCACTCCAGCCTGGGCGAAAGAGTGAGCCTCTGTCTCCAAAAAAAAAGGCCGGGCGCGGTGGCTCATGCCTGTAATCCCAGCACTTTGGGAGGCTGAGGCAGGTGGATCACGAGGTCAGGAGATCGAGACCATCCTGGCTAACAGTGAAACCCCGTCTCTACTAAAAATACAAAAAATTAGCCGGGCTTGGTGGTGGGCGCCTGTAGTCCCAGCTACTCAGGAGGCTGAGGCAGGAGAATGGTGTGAACCCAGGAGGCGGAGCTTGCAGTGAGCTGAGATCGCGCCACTGCACTCCAGCTTGGGTGACAGAGTGAGACTCTGTCTCAAAAAAAAAAAAATAGAAATAAAAAAATCAACATTTCTGGAGGCCAGTGTCTTTATAGCCTGCTCTACTGGTTAAGGATTTTGATTCTTCACCATAGAGATGCAGACTGAGCTTCTTTTGTGTGCAAGACAGTCTGCTTTTCTTACAACGAGGAGTTCCTATGAACTCAGGAGCAAGTAGGTAGCCACGTGTGAATGTGGACCAAGCTGTGAGAAGGGGACATGTCTGCAGAGGAAAAGAAGGTGCTGTGGAAACTGAGAGCTGAATGAGGATAGGGTCGGGGAGGCAGCCAAGAGCTTAGTGATATTAATCAGTCAGGTTGTCCAGGGAAGCAGAACCAACAGGGCATGTTCATATATATATGCGTATACATGTATATACGCATATATATATATGAATAAATTTTAGCCGTTCTTGAGGTTGCAGTCTTTTTTTGTTTTTTTTTGTTTTTTTTTTTTTTGAGACGGAGTCTTGCTCTGTTGCCCAGGCTGGAGTGCGATGGCACAATGTTGGCTCACTGCAACTTCTGCGTCCTGGGTTCAAGCTATTCTCCTGCCTCAGCCTCCCGAGTAGCTGGGATTACAGGTGTGTGCCACCAGGCCTGGCAAATTTTTGTATTTTTAGTAGAGATGGGATTTCACCATGTTGGTCAGGCTGGTCTTGAACTCCTGGCCTCCTGATCTGCCTGCCTCCGCCTCCCAAAGTGCTGGGATTACAGGCATGAGTCACCACGCCCAGCAAGGTTGCAGTCTGGAGTCTGAAGGCAGCTTGGAGCAGAATTCGGAATCTGTCTTTTCTCTTAAGGGCTTCAACTGATTGGATTAGCCCCACTGACATTATGGAGAGTCATTTGCTTTATTCAAAGTCCACTGATTTAAATGGTTTTTTTTTTTTTTTTTTTTGAGACAGAGTCTCGCTCTGTCACCCAGGCTGCAGTGCAGTGGTGTGATCTCGGCTCACTGCAAGCTCCACCTCCCGGGCTCACGCCATTCTCCTGCTTCAGCCTCCTGAGCAGCTGGGACTATAGGAGCCTGCCACCATGCCAGCTAATTTTTTTTGTATTTTTAGTAGAGACGGGGTTTCACTGTGTTAGCCAGGAAGGTCTTGATCTCCTGACCTCGTGATCTGCCCATCTTGGCCTCCCAAAGTGCTGGGATTACAGGCGTGAGCCACCGCGCCCGGCCTTAAATGTTAATCATATGTAAAAAATACCCTCATGCAACATCTAGACTGAAGTTTGACTAAACAATTGGATACCATGGCCTAGCCAAGAGGATGCATAAAATTAATGACCACTGCAAGGAATTGGGATTGTGACTGTGACTGTGGTCTGGGGCAGTGGGAAGATTTATGCTGGTTGGCAAGTGGGTGTGGGAAAAGCCACCAACAGTGTCCTCCCTGCTCAGTGGCCTCAACCCAGGGCTGTCATGAGATAATACACTGTTCATCACTAGGCTTGTGGAACACAAAGGTGAGCCACTTTCTGGAGAAGCGGGGCAGAGCTTCTGTAAGTCGACTTTGATGACACCCTGGGGGTGAGATTGGATCTCCCCAGGATAGGATTGGTGTCCTCCAGAGGGAATGAGCATCCTGGCTTCAGAGGTTGGGCACTCAGTCTTGCTAGTGAGTCCTGCCCCATGGTTGACTAGCTCAGGACCCAGGAGGTCATCACTGGGTCCTGAAGCTTTTCTACCAAAACTGGTGAAAAGGCCTTCTTCAAGGGCACCTTTCAGAGTGAGCACCCAGGAGACGTTCGTGAAAGTGTGAGCTGCCCTCAGCTTAGGAACTGTTCTTATGTATTTATCTCACCGTCCAGATGGTAGGGCTGTGGACTTTAGATCTTTGTCGTTGGCCTAGGTTTGAGAGTCCTTGAAGGGGGGCTCCAGGCAGGAGGGGTTCTGTGTTTCTGGCAGGTGCCCATGCAGCTCCTGGCTGTGACCACTCCATCTGCCTCACTCACTCTGGATGATCCTTGTGTGCCCAGGCAGAGGGCCTGGCCCGGGGATGCCCAGGGAGTTTTGCCTAGCTTCGCTGTTAGGGACATAAACAAGAACGGGCATAGCTAAAGAAGGGTATGGCCAGAGAAGGCTGGGCCCGGAGCTGGGGGTGGGGCTGTGTCTTGGCTCCCAACGGTTGTTGTTGTTGAATTATCCCCAGGCACTCATGGAGTTGTCCTGAAACCCATCTTCCGTGTGCCTTGATTTATCCATGCTGTTCTTACCCATGTCATCTTCAGAGAGAAAAGTCTTTTTCCCATGCACAGCCAAGAGACTGACTTTACTTGTTTTGTACGTAGTTAAGAATTCCACCAAAAAGAATTCCACTGCCATACCAGCATCTCCAAGGATGTCCCATAAACTTGGTTGCAGAGTTTTGTGAAATGTTGCACTCCAGTAGAAGGCAGCAGACTAGGCCTGGTGCGGTGGCTCATGCCTGTAATCCCAGCACTTTGGGAGACCAAGGCGGCAGATCACCTGAGGTCAGGAGTTTGAGACCAGCCTGACCCATATGATGAAACCTCATCTCTACTAAAATACAAAAATTAGCCGAGTGTGGTGGTGGGCACCTGTAATCCCAGCTACTTGGGAGGCTGCGACAGGAGAATCGCTTGAACCCGGGAGGCGGAGGTTGCAGTGAGCCGAGATAGCGCCATTGCACTCCAGACTGGGCAACAAGAGTGAAACTCCATATGGGAAAAAAAAAAAAAAAAGGCAGCAGATGAGACTGAAGGGTGTGACCTTTCAAGTGTTTATCCACCTTTGACCAAATAAATCTAATTCCATCTCTTTGAGTCTACTTAAGATAACTATCAATGATAAAGATTTTTTTTGCAGAACTCTGTTGAGGAAAAATGAGCTGGCTTTTCCATTTCCAGAATGATCTCCGGGTCAGAGACATACACTGGGTCAGTCCAGGGAGGGGAGGCCACTCCTCCCCTGGATGGTCAGGGTGCACAGGGAATTTTTGCCATCATTACTGCAATGGAGAAATGTTTACCTATCAAACTGTATTGCAACTGTGCTTCAATTACTTGCCACCTTGGGCTGTTAGTAAGGATTGACCTATTCAGGTTACCAGTAGACTAAGTGGCTGAACCAGCTATCTACTGTGAAGCAGACTAAATAACTTAGTGGTTTAAAGGAAAACAAATTCTTTCTTGAGGTCTAGTGGGCTAGCTGCATGGGAGCTGTGCTCAGCAGGTCTTCACAGCCTGGCCTTTCTGTCTGCATAGTCCTGCTTCTTAGCAGGTTTATCTCAGGTCACCCAAGGGCAAAGGCAGAAGCTGCAGGCAACACCTCAGGTTCTATTCCATTGGCCAAAGCAAGACCAGCTCGGATGCCAGGGTTAGGAAATAGATTCCACCTTTTGACGAGTCTTGGGAGAGAAATATTGTGGCCATGTTTTTCATTCTAAAATGTTGCTTGACTCTTCCATTTACTTATTCAGCAAATTTTATTTTAAAAATTGGCCCCTTGCTGATACCTGCAACCCACCTAAGGAATGACACAGCCTCACACTTCTGAGGTGACTGCATGATTTGGCTATGAGCTTCCTAGTAGCCATTGTGATGAGGGAAACAATGGTTTTGAATTGTTTTTTGGTATCTAAGCGATTTAAAAAAAAGAGTTAAGAAAAACAGATAATGAACAGAAACAAGTTATTCTGGAAAGTAGAGAAGTTTCTGAGGCTGAATCCTGAGGTGGGTGGTCCCATAGGGTCCCTGCATAGTCCTCAGCATACCCTGCACCCACCACATTAGAGAAGTGGAACACAACAGTCTCTAACACTCCCAGTGGTGGCCAAAGGCAGTGTGATAAGATTCAGGCCCCTAAGAATAAGGTGCCAGGGATTTGAGCATCCTGTGCTCCATGTGTCCAACTCTGAGACACAAGGACAAAGCACTAGAATATTGCACTCGAGCTACAGAAGAATAAACCTAGGTGTGTGGGACTACAGAGGCATGAGCATCTGTCCTAGCTTACCCTCTGAAGTTTGCCCAACCAGCGTCGCACCACGTCCTATCCCTATTACCCTAGACAAAGAGGTGACCACGCTGTGCCTCAGTTTACTTCTGGTGTTACAGTGATATTTTCATGAAGTCACACCTGAAAATCCCTGGGGTGAGCAGTCACTGTGACCTGACATCAGAGGCCAGGGGTCTGGCAGTTGTGTATGGGGACACCCATGGCCTGCCTGATGTGGGGGTCACACAAGGTCACACAGGGTTGCTTGGGGATTACAGCCTGTTTCTAGATGGATCTGGTGGCGCCTGGGTTCCTCACTGAGGACTTGGAGGCTCCAGGCTCCAGGACATTCCCAAGTCCCCCAGCCAGGACCTCAGAAAGGACACTGTTCTGGGTGGGTTTGAGAGGAGCAAGTTAGGGGTGCTGAGAGGTGGGGCTGCTGTTGCCCCTGGAAAGGGGGTCATTTGTAGGCTGATGTCTGTGCTGGGATCCCAGTTCGAGGGTTGCAGGAGCAGCCAGCGGGACCACAGGCAGAGTCGGCCAAGGACTGGTTGCCCCTGACAGCAGCAGAGAGGTGGACAAGGGAGTCTGGGGAGAATGCCACCGGGTGAGAAGTTAGGTTTAGGGCTTTGGTTGGGCAGATTTATGGAAGACATGAAAACACCAGGTTTTGGACAGAGTGATATCTTAATTGGTTTGTGCTGCTACAACCTGATACCTTAGATTGGGCAATTGATAGACGACAGGAATTTATTTCTCACAGTTCTGGAGGCTGGAAGTCCAAGATCAAGGCCCTCGGTGTCTGGTGAGGGCCTGTTTCCTGGTTCATAGATGGTGACTTCTATGTGCCCTCACATGGTAGAGGGGTGAGGGAGCTCCCTGGGGTCATTATTATGAGGCCCTAAGCCCATCCTGAGGCTCCAGCCTCATGACCTAACCACCTTCCTGAGGCCCCAGCTCCTCATACCATCACCTTGGGGTTCAGGTCTTCAACATAGGAATTGGGGGTAGGGGGGCGGGTCACAGACATTCTGACCATGGCAATGATGCAGAAAAGCCCAGTTTGAGGTGGGCTGCAAAGGGAGACCCGCGGCCGGCTCTTGCAGTCCTGCGGGGGTGGAGCAGGTGGTGTAGACCCAGCTTCCTACCTTGGGGCCCCAGTGGCCCTCAGCAGCATCGTGAATCCCTTCATGCTAGGTGTAGTGTGTGTGGATTGTTCTCAGGGTTTGTAGCTTCATCAGATCATCAGGGCTGCTCGACCGCCGAATGTGAAGGCCAGGGTTTCCTTGTCCTATGCTACAGCAGCTCTCTCTGCGTGTCCTGGTCCCCAGGCTGCCCATTGCCCTGATGAAGATGCATGGTGGAGCTTGGGCCTGGAATGAGGGGGAGTGGAAGGAGGTGAGTGCAGAGATGGACAAGGGCCCCAGGGAGACTGGGGCCATAGGATGCTGTGAACTTTGATGGAGGCCTCAGAGATGTAGAGCAGGAGGGCTGGCCTCTCGTAAGATTGGCTCCTGTGGCTCTTGTTTTAGCCCCTTCCAGCCCCCATCCCTGCCTCTTGTTCTCCATTCTCTGCATAGTCCTGGGGTGCGTAAAGATGATGTGACGAGGCTGAGGCACCGCCCTGCACCAGAAAGTTCTTGGAACTCGCCAAGGGCACATTCCTAAGATGCAATGTTGTGAAGCCACCTCTGCTGTCCCTTGGAGAATTCTCCCGCTCCCATTATTAAAAATCTGAACATGTGTCTTGATGTCTGTTTATTTATTTATTTATTTTTTGTGAGATGGAGTTTTGCTTTGTTGCCCAGGTGTGAGTGCAGTGGCGTGATCTTGGCTCACTGCAACCTCCACCTCTCAGGTTCAAGCAGTTCTTCTGCCTCAGCCTCCCAAGTAGCTGAGACTACAGGCGCGCGTCACCATGCCTGGCTAATTTCTGTATTTTTAGTAGAGATGGAGTTTCACCATATTGGCCAGACTGGTCTCAAATTCCTGATCTCATGATCCGCCCACCTTGGCCTCCCAAAGTGATGGGATTACAGGTGTGAACCACCACGACCTGCCTGTCTGTATATTTAAATATGCATTAAACATGGGGTTGGAAGAGTGACATGGGAGGTCTATATACACGGGCGTTGCGAGATTTGCTTCTGCCTTCCAGTGCTTTCCCTTGGGCTCCCTCTGGGGAGATTTCGGCTCTGGGAGATTTGCGGCCAGTTTTGCCATTACCAGGTGAGTGGAAGGGCTCGAGGGGGTCATGCAAAGCTTCCTCCTGCTCATGGCCTTGGACATAACCAAGGAGGGCTTGGACTTGGACCCTGAGCAGGGTTTTCCTGCAGGTGTACACAGAGGAATGTCCCATAGGGTGGCTGTGTGGGAGAGTGGGACCCTGGGGAGGCAGAGCTGGGACCCTCTGCTGAGGGGGGCCCCAGGCAGTGGGCCTTGTCCTCTCCTCATGCGTGGGAAACCTGCCCAGGGAGGCTGTGGTTATTTTGTCCCAGTTTTTCCATCGACGAAACAGGAGTCGGTGGAAATTTGCAAGTAGGTGATGGGAGAGGTGGGCCTGAACCCCAAGTCCTTAGAATGAAAACCTGGGCCTTTCTTGGTCCCTGCAGGTGTGCTCCACTGCAGGGTGGGGAGGTGCTGGGGTCGGCCTCTTTGAAGTTGGGCTGATGGACACAAAGGGGTTGGGGTTGGTGGAGGCACCCACTCTTGCATGGAGGAGGGTGTGGGACCCTCTGCCAAGTGTCAAGTTAGCCTGAAATGAGGCACAGACTGGGAGCTTTGCTTTTTGCCCTGGGGTAAGAATAAAAGAAGAAAACAATGCAGGCCGAGGAAGCATTCCTAGGAGGTGGCGCAGCCTCTTTGATCCTCCTCGGCACCGGCTTGCTGTAGCTTGCTCTTATCAGGACGGCAAATACCCTGTTTCCTTTTATGTTGGGAACCTACAAGAGGCTCTGATGCTAGAATCGGGCTCCCTCATTCTTGCCTGCAGGAAGCAGTGTCCTGTATACAGGCGTCAGCACCCACATGGGGGTGGACAGTGGAGGGCCAGCCTGGGCCTGCCTCGTGTGCTCAGGCCTCCTTGGTGGGGGTGGGAGTGGTGCAGAAGTTCTCGTCATTTGTCATTTGCCAGAGGGACGATGGGCAGACAGCAGAGATGTCCCGAGGCCTGCTCACCGCAGGCCTTCTACGCAGCCCTCTGGAAAAGAGGCCATCCTTCCAGTTTGGAGACTTCCTCTGGAGAATTCCATGACACACATTCTTGAACTGTGGATGTAATCCAGTAAGGCGTGGTTCATGGCATGTGGTGTGGAATAATTCATTGTTGGACAGTTTGCTCTAGGAATGGCGTGGCCTCCCTACCTCCTCCCACTACATGCTAGTGGCCACCCCAGTGGTGGTGATGGTTAAAATGTCCTCACATTTCCAAATGTCCCCAGCGCCTCCAATTATTAGTAGGCAGAGAAGTCAGTTGGCACTTAAAAAAACAAACTAGGATGAAAAATCCCAGAGAGTATTCTGCCAGTTGCCACGTCATATTCCCATAAAACCTTCAGTTATTTACCCATATGGGTGCTTTACCTGGTTGTTACTTAAGATAGATTTCTGTATGTGTTGCAAGGAAAGGCATTGCAGAAATGGACAGGACCATTTTTTTCGTTCCACATTGTGACTCTTCCTTTCCTGTATTTGAAAGATTAAAAGATAGCACCCCCTAGATGGGTGAGGGTTGGGTTAAATAGTAGTGTTGGGACAGAAAGGTCCATTTGTGAGCTCGCTGCAGGCAGGTTTGATGGTTCTGGTGGAAGTAGCCTTGGCGGCTGCTGGTTTTCAAAGCCTCTGACAAAGCTGTGCATATCACCCGTGACTGCACCCTGAGGAAAGACGAAAAGTCAGCCTCTCCCTTACGTAGGACGCTTGTAAACTTTCCCAGACGCACTGTTGGTCTTAAGGATTGTTCTGACCCTGGACATTTGCAGGACTTGTCCAAGGTGGATCTGAGCCTCCTCATGTGCTCCAGGCAGAGATCAGGATTCGGATGCATCACCAACTGGTGGAAGATGGGGACTAGGCACCCTGCACACCCTGCACAGGTCAGGTTCTGTTGCTCCCCGCCCCCGCTGCTCCTGGTTATCGTCTGTGGGGGGCATGGCTTGGTGGCAGGGACTGGAGGACAGAGGGCTGGGAGTAGGGCCTCTTGGCTGCAACCTGCCCTTCTGCCCAGCACCGTTGCATTGAGAATCGCCAGGTGCCATTCCTTCCTTGCATGCCATGCTCACTGTACCAAAGACTTGTGGAGTTTTGCCATTTGGGTTTATGGGAGGTTGCATTCCCCTCAGCCCAGCCAGTGAGAGCGGGCAGCGTCTGGCCTGGGGCCCGCACTTTGCAGCCCCTGAAGATCTCAGCTGTTATGCCTCTGCTTTGCTTCCCTCAGCTTGGGAAGCTTCACTCGCCCCTGCCCCCAGAGTGTGACTCAGATGTACCCACTGACCGGAGGAACTTGTTGGGAGGAAGTCACAATTATGGGCTTAGGGAAAGAAAAGTCAAACAACCAACAAAATAATAATCATGCTCGCCTGTGGATTGGGCCTAAGGGATGTGGGGCCCTCTGTCGTCCTCGGTTCCCTACCTCAGAGCTTCAGATGCCCAGACTCAGGCCGGAGGCTCCTAGGGCCCCAGGACAGGCAGAACACCCACATTCATGGGGGTGCAGAGTTGTCCCCAGATGGCCTGGAGAGACCCCTGCTCAGGGGGTCTTGGCCCTTAGTGTGTCTCAGGATGAGGACTCTAAATAATCTATCTGGGAACCTCCTTAGAGTAGCTGACTTGTTTTACTAAAGGTAATTTTTTAAAAATCACGTTTTGATTTTAAAGTGTCTCCAGGATCTTCTGCAGTTTACTAGAACCTCTTACTGCTCAATTGTCAACAGGGTTATTCTACAAAAGAGGGCATGTGGGTTCAAGGAGAATCTGAACATGGGATTCACACACTGAACTCCAACTGGTTGCCTCCGCCTTTGTGTGTGTTTATATGCGTATGTGTGTATGTAAGTGCACGTTCCTAAATGTATATGTACACAAGTGTATGTGTGTCCACATGAACACACACATGTATACCGTGCATGCATGCATGCACACCTACATGTATGTGTCTATGTGCATGTAATGTGCATGTGTGTATTATGTGTGTGCAGGCTTACTTTGGAGATACTGCAGTTTGGTGCCAACTGGACCATTGCAATAAAATGAATATTGAGATAAAGTAAGTTGCACACATCTTTTAGTTTCCCAGTGCATATAAAAGTTGATTATACTAAGCTGTAGTTATATTAAGTGTGAAAATGGCAGTATGTCTAGAAAAACAATGTACATGTCAATTTAAAAATGCGTTATTGCTAAAGAATGGTAACAATCATCTGAGCCTTCAGCAAGTTAAAATCTTTTTGCTGATGGAAAGTCTTGCCTACAAGTTCATGGCTTTGGACGGATCAGTAGCTACTGAAGGTTGGGGTGGCTGTGGCAATTCCTTAAAATAAGACGATGATAAAGTTTGCCACGTCAGTTGACTCCTTCATGAAAGACTTCTCTGTAGCATGTGATGGTGTTTAATAGCATTTTATCCACGGTAGAACTTTTTTCAAAATTGGAATTAGTCCTTTCAAACCCTCTTGCTGCTTTATTACATTTACACAATTACATTTGTGTAACTTTCTTTTTTTTTTTTTTTTGAGACAAAGTCTTGCTCTTGTCCCTCAGGCTGGAGTGTGTTGGCATGATTTCAGCTCACTGCAACCTCCGCCTCCTGGGTTGAAGCGATTCTCCTGCCTCAGCCTCCCAAGTAGCTGGGATTACAGGCGCCTGCCACCACACCCGGCTAGTTTTGGTATTTTTAGTAGAGACAGGGTTTCACCGTGTTGGCCAGGCTAGTCTGGAACTCCTGACCTCAGGTGATCCACCCGCCTCAGCCTCCCAAAGTGCTGGGATTACAGGCTTGAGCCACCACGCCCGACCACATTTGTGTAATTTTCTAAATATTTTGTTGTTATTTCAATAATATGTACAGCATCTTCTTTATCAAGGGTAGATTCCATTCTTTTTTTTTTGAGACAGAGTCTCGCTCTGTTGCCAGGCTGGAGTGCAGTGGCGCAATCTCGGCTCACTGCAACCTCTGCCTCCCGGGTTCAAGCGATCCTCCTGCCTCCGCCTCCTGAGTAGCTGGGATTACAGGCGCACACTACCATGCCCAGCTAATTTTTGTATTTTTAGTAGGACGGGGTTTCACCATGTTGGCCAGGATGGTCTCCATCTCTTGACCTTGTGATCCACCTGCCTCAGCCTCCCAAAATGCTGGGATTACAGGTGTGAACCACCGTGCTCGGCCCGATTCCATCTTAAGAAACCACTTTCTTTGCTTATGCATAAGAAGCAACTTCTCATCCATTAAAGATTGATCATGCGATTGCAGCAATTCAGTCACATCTTCAGGCTCCACGTCTAGTTCTAGTGCTCTTGCTGTTCCCAGCACATTTGCAGCTCCTTTCTTCACTGAAGTCTTGAACCCTCAAGATCATTCATAAGGGTTGAAATCAACTTCTTCCAAACTCCTGTTAATATTGACAATTTGACTTCCTCTCATGAATCACAAATGTTCTTAAAGGCATCTGGACTGTTGAATCTTTTCCAGATTTGTTTTTTTTTTTGTTTTTTTTTTTGAGATGGAGTCTTCCTCTGTCACCCAGACTGGAGTGCAGTGGCGCAATCTCAGCTCACTGCAACCTCTGCCTCCTGGGTTCAAGTAATTCTCCTGTCTCGGCCTCCCGAGTAGCTGGGATTACAGGCACCCGCCACCATGCCTGGCTAATTTTTGTATTTTTAGTAGAGACA
This sequence comes from Homo sapiens, assembly GCF_000001405.40. NCBI lineage: Eukaryota > Metazoa > Chordata > Mammalia > Primates > Hominidae > Homo > Homo sapiens. Next base: position 47,554,245 of record NC_000007.14, on the reverse strand, counting down.
GGGTTTCACCATGTTGGCAGGTAGGTCTTGAACTCCTGACCTCAGGTGATCTACCCGTCTTGGCCTCCCAAAGTGCTGGGATTACAGGTGTGAGCCACTGTACCTGGCCCAAAATGTATTTCTTAAAAAGTAAGACTTGAGGGCCAGGCACAGTGGCTCACGCTTGTAATCCCAGCACTTTGGGAGGCCGAGGTGGGCGGATCACCTGAGGTCAGGCGTTCGAGACCAGCCTGGCCAACATGGTGAAACCCCGTCTCTACTAAAAATACAAAAATTAGACAGGCTTGGTGGCAGCCTCCTGTAATCCCAGCTACTCGGGAGGCTGAGGCAGGAAAATCGCTTGAACCTCGAGGTGGAGGTTGCAGTGAGCCGGAGGCTGCAGTTAGCCGAGATTGCACCATTGCACTCCAGCCTGGGCAAAAAGAGCCAGACTTCATCTCAAAAAAAAAAAAGTAAGAGTTGAAAGTCAAAATTACTCCTTGATCCATGGGCCATAGAATGGATGTTGTGTTAGTAGGCATGAAAACAACATTCATTTCTTTGTACATCTCTGTCAGAGTTGCTGCATGACCACCTGCATTGTCAACAGGTAGTAATATTTTGAAACGAATCTCTTTTTTTCTGAGCAGTAGTGTCTCCACAGTGAGCTCAACAGTAAGTCTCAACAGTGAGCTTAAAATAGTCAATAAACCATGTTGTATGCAGAAGTTCTGTCATCCAGGCTTTACTGTTCTATTTATAGAGCACAGGGAGGATAGATTTTGCATAATTCTTCAGGACTCTGGAATCTTCAGAATGGTAAATGAGCATTTGCTTCAACTTCCAGGCATTAGTTGCCTTAGCCCCTCACAAGACAGTTAGCCTGTGCTTCGAAGCTTTGAAGCTTGACATTGACTTCTCCTCTCTGGCTATGAAAGTCCTAGGTGGCATCTTCTAATAGAAGGCTGATTTTGTCTGCATTGAAATCTGTTGTTTAGTGTAGCCACCTTCATCAATGGTCTTAGCTAGATCTTCTGAATAACTTGCGGCAGCTTCTACATTAGTACTTGCTGCTTCACCTTACTCTGCTATGTTATGGAGACGGCTTGTTTACCTAAACCTCTTGAGCCAACCTCTGCTAGCTTCAAACTTTTCTCCTGCCGCTTCCTCACCTTGCTGAGTCTGCATAGAATTGAAGAGAGTTAGGGCCTTGCTCTGGATTAGGCTTTGGCTTAAGGGAATGTGGTGGCTGGTTTGATCTTCTAATCCAGACCATTCAAACTTTCTTTGTAACAGCAAAAAGGCTGTTTTGCTTTCTTATCATTGGTGTGTTTACTGGAGCAGCACTTTTAATTTCCTTCAAGAACTTTTCATTTGCATTTGCACCTTGGCTAACTGTTTGGCATGAGAGGCCTGGCTTTTAGCCTGTCTGAGCACATGCCTTCCCCACTAAGCTGACTCATTTCTAGCTTTTAAGAGATGTGACTCTTCCTTTCACTTCAACACTACTGGTTATTAATTGGCCTGATTTCAGTGTTGTTGTGTCTCAGGGAATATGGAGGTCCGAGGAGAGGGAAAGAGCAGTCCAGAGCATCAGAACACACAGAACGTTTATCCATTGAGTTCGCAGTCTTATATGGATTTGGTTCATGGCACCCCAAAACAATTACAATAGTAACATCAAAGAGCACAGATCACAAATAACCATGAAAGATATAATAATAATGAAAAAGTTTGAAATATGGTGAGAGCTTCCAAAATGTGACACAGGGACCAGAAGTGAGCTCATGCTTTTGGGAAAATGGCACTGACGTGGGGTTGCCACAAACCTTTAGTTTGTTAAAAAAAACTGAGTATCTGCAAAGTTCAATAAAGCAAAGCACAATAAAACGAGGTCTGTCTGCCTGTGTGTGTCTTGTTGATTTCTGCAACGGAGGCAGAGAGTGATTTTTTGTTGTTATTTTTCTTCTTGTTTCTCCAGGCAAATTGTTTCTCGCCTTCACTCATGTGCCAAGCTCTAGACGGCTTCCTGGCTTGGCAAGATTACTGTTAACGCATCCCTAAGCATTCCTTTTATTTGTTAAATCCCTGTTATTCTGTTAGAATCTATCTTGCAGCCAAAATAGCCTCAGGAGAAAAATAATGAAAAAAAAAGAAATGAATTAGGTGTGCCAGAAGAATGTGATGGGCGTGGGGAGGTTTATGCAGATAAATATGGTGGGTAAGAATGCCGCCCCTTTTCAATGTCTGTTTAAATGTTTCCATTTTCCTTGTAAAAGCACTCCAACACAAGAAGTGCATTTGCAGAGAGGCCAAGGATCGCTCCCGGTGGACACACGGTTTTGTAGCCTCCCTCTCCACCCCACCCCTGCCCCGCTCCAGCTGTGCCTTAGCAGACGTCATTCCCTGTTATTTCAGTCTCTGCAAGTGCAAGAATTTAGGGTGATAACAGCCATACTTCCATTCCATGAATTTGCACACTTCTTACTCTCTACTTATCTAACACACATGTGCACAGTGTGAACCTTGGTCTGCTGACTTAACTTTGCCTGTGTGGGGTGTTGTTTCTCTCCTGTCTGTGGACACTTACTGAGTTGAGATTCACAGGTGTGGAAAGAGCAGGGTCTGCAGTGCGAATGTTTTCGTAGTTCTCATTGTAGACTGTCCAATGACTTTTCAAAGTGCTCCCCAAGGCATGAATTATTCCACTGGGGGTCTCCTTGCCTGTAGTTTTGAACCCTGACCCAGCCAAAGGCTCCCCTGCTCCTGGTGGCTATGCTGGAACTCTAGCTCCTTCCCTTTGGCCTGAGGTGGCCACACCCAGGGCTCCAGCCACATGACGTTTTGTGCCCTCACCCACCTCCTCCGTGGTCTCCCCATTTGCTTAAGGAAACACCTGGAGTGAGACAGAACCATCCAGTCCATGGCTGTGCCCCACTGGGCCTCCACCTTCAGGACGTGCCCAGGGTCTAGCCACCTGCTTTTGCTCAGTTCCCGAGTCCAGCGGCAGGAAGTGGACACCAGGCCAGCCTTCTGCCCGGGAGCTCAGGTGCTAGAGCTTGTCTGCCCTCTGTGCAGCAGGGAGCCCACCTTGCCCATTTGAGAAAGAAGCAGGGGCACTCCGAGGAGATGCTTCCTGAAGGAACCGGGTGTTTTAGGAAGATCTTCCTGGCGCTTCCCACAGGTCTGGTGAATGCTATTCACCCAGGCTCCCAAGAGGCTGAGCCCCTCCTTGCCCTTTTTCTGAGTGAGCTCATGTTCCTTGGCTGGGTGCAGACTTGGGAGATGTGCTCAGTCACTCCACAGCAAAATTCTGTCTCTTTGGGGTGGCATGACTCCTCAGGAGTGGGGTAAGACTGTTTAGGAATGACCAAAACTTAGGTCTGTTTTGTTTTGTAACTTTGTTAATATCCCATGGGCGTTTTCCATATAAGTGAATATGGATGTGATTATTATTTTTAGTGACTTCATAGTATTCGAATCCCATTCTATGTTAGTACCATAAAATGACCAGAGCCCAGTTGCTGGCTATTAAAACTGCTTCCAGCCTTTTTTGTTGTGCATAATTCTGTACCCTGCCCTTCCACGTAGATCTTTCCAGGCATGGTCATTGCCTTAGAACACATTCCTTGAAGGAGAATTGACCATTGTGATATGTGTTTGAAATGAGAACATAGAGATTTTGTTCTCATGTGCCTTGCCCATTGAGACCCTGCTGCAAATGTGTCTTTGTGCTTCTATCTCCTGGTCCTAGCTGTCTTGCTGTGGGACAACTAGGGACAGCATCTTGCTTACATGAGGTTGGGAAGGTGAAGGTCAGAGGGACAGCAAGCCAAGGTTACCGCCTTACAGGACGGATCCTGTGGTCTGGCTGCTCACCCATTTGTTCTACGCGTTTATCTTTTGCAAAGGGCTGTGCAGTTCACCAAGCCCTCTCCATACATCAAGGCTTCCTGTGGACATTGCTGGCCATGGAACCATGGGGCCGTGTTTCTATTCCCATTTCCCTTCTTCCTTCCTTCATTAATTCAGCAAACAGGCATGGACCCCTTCTCGCGTCTGGGCCTTGGATAGGTGAAGGGCAGGGTGAGGGTGCAGGGCTTCCCTGTGATGTAAGAACTTTTGTGGGGCCCTGAGGCCTGGGGCCAGAAGACCTTGCCCGATCCACCCTGAGAAGGCCTCGCAGGGGAGACCTCAGTGTTGCATTTGGGGACCAATGTTTAGCTGAGTGGGGATGGGTGGGAGGGATGGAAGAGGGGAGAGGAGACCAAGGCATGGGTCTGGCACCCCTGTCAAGAGCCAAACGAAGTAACTAGGTTGTGGGGATGGGGTGGGAGGGCGGGGACGTGGGTAGAGTTGATACTGCAGTGTTCTGGTCAGAGCATGAAAAACCTGGAATGGGCCAGTAGGTGGTCTGTGTGCCAGGGCCCATCAGGAGTATCATTCATTCATTCAGCAAATCCTTAGCTGTGTTCTAGGCAGGGGGATCCCTCTGAACCGGATGGACAGATGGACTAGAGTTTATGCCCTCTTAGAGGTGAGTTTTTCATACCCGATGACTGTAAGACCAAGGTGGATGGACTTTTCCCTAGGGCCTCATGCAGGAGAGGCATAAACTGAGCAGGGATCTGGGGGAAGTGAGCCCGTTTGTAAGGACAGCAAGTGCCAATGTCCTGAGGCAGCACCTGGCTGAGGAGGTTGGAGAGCAGGCCAGAGACAGGCAGGGGCTAGATCACATTGGTCTGTGGGCTCATGAAGAGAACTTTTTTTTTTGAGATGGAGTTTCCCTCTGTTGCCGGGCTGGAGTGCAGTGGCGTGATCTCAGCTCACTGCAACCTCCGCCTCCTGGGTTCAAGTGATTCTCCTGCCTCAGCCTCCCGAGTAGCTGGGATTACAGGCACCCGCCACCACACATGGCTAAGTTTTTTTGGTATTTTTAGTAGAGACAGGGTTTCACCATGTTGGCCAGGATGGTCTCAATCTCCTGACCTCGTGACCTGCCCACTTTGGCCTCCCAAAGTGCTGGGATTACAGGTGTGAACCACCGCGCCTGGCCAAAAGAACTTTCATTTATTTATTTTTTAAGGGTGTAGATTCTAAAAGCTGGAGAGGGTTTTGTGCTACATTGTCATGTCCTGATTCCTGTCTTAAGAAGCTCCATTTGGTTGGCCTGTGGATGCACAGAGATGGTCAGTTCAGTGGTGGGTGGACCAGGATGGTGGGAGTGGAGACCGGGGAACTGGGCCTTTTTGGGGCTTTATTTTGCAGGGCTTGCTGACAGATTGGCTGTGTGCTGTAAGAGAAAGAGAAGGAGCCCCAAGGTTGAGACTTGACTGTGTGGGGAAGTGGTGCTATTTGTGCAGACCGAGCAGCAGGGAGGACATGTTGGGGAGAAAACTGGGAGTTCTTATTTGGAGGGTTGAAGTGAGCGGTGCTTCGGGGATGGCCCAGTGAAGGTGGGAGCAGGTGGTGCTCAGGACTCAGCAGGTCAGGGGAGAAGAAGCTTGGAGTGGTCAGGACCATCAGCCGGCAGACAGGTGGTGGGAAGGGTGACAGCCGGCCTGGGGGTGCATTCACAGGGAGGACCTGCAGGTCGGAGCCCAGGCACCCTGAAACTTAGAAGTACCCAAGGGGATAAAACCCTCCAAAGGAGGCAAAGGCAGGACCAGTGAGGTAGGGCACGGGGTCACAGCGACCAGGGAAGAAAATGCATCAGGAGATGGTGTGTTCAAATGCGGCTGGGATTGGAATAAAATGAGGGACAGGTGTCCCTTACTGGGTCTGACAGGCTATGGCTAGGTGGTGACTTATGGAAAGTTGCAGTGAGATGGGTTGAACATGGATTCTGGAGCCCATGAACCTTGGGGTAAGGGGCAGTGACTATAGTCAGCCTTTGAGGAAGGCTTCCTATAAGGGGAACAGCAGAGAGACAGGCCAGGTATGGGAAGGCTGGGTAGGCATTCAAGGAGGGTTGTGTTTTCAAAGATGGGATGTGTTACAGCAGGCTGTATGCCACTGGGAAAGTTGGCACAGGCAAGAAAAACGTGAAGGTTAGGAGCTGGAGGGACGGGGTGGGTGGTGACTCACCCCTATAATCCCAGCACTTTGGGAGGCCAAGGAGGGTGGATCACCTGAGGTCAGGAGTTCGAGGCCAGCCTGACCAACATGGTGAAACCTCAACACTACTAAAAATACAAAATTAGCCGGGTGTGATGGTGCATGCCTGTAGTCCGAGCTACTTGGGAGACTGACACAGGAGAAACGTCTGCACCTGGGAGGCAGAGGTTGCAGTGAACTGAGATCGCGCCACTGCACTCCAGCCTGGGCGACAGAGTGAGACTCCGTCAGGAGTTGGAGAATGAGAGCCAGGGTGGCTGGGGACAATGCTGGAGCCCGCTGTGCATGTGCATCTGGGTTTGGCACCTGGCAGCGATGCACATGAGCTGGTGAACTGCAGTGGTCTCCATTTTCTTCTGGGCTGAGGTTTGTTGGGAGGCTTTAGCTCCTGTGCGTGTTGCTGCACAGAGCAGCTATGCACTGATGAGAAAGGACTGTGGAGGGGTGGATGGCGGCGTAGACGTGGGGCCATGCTGAGGGCTCCTGGAAGTCTGTGACCTTGGCTTGCTGTCCCTCAGACCTTCATCTTCCCTACCTCATGCAGGGAAGATGCACAATGTGGACCTGGCCATCTGATGGAACTATAGGATTGTCCCCAGTACCTTGTGCTGGTGACTAACAGTGGACACCTAGAGGTCTGGGAGGAGCAGCTCCCGGAACCCCATTGATAAAAGTGTCTTCGTGTCCAGTGTGTGCCGCTGCCCCCTGCAATTTCAGCAATTTCAGCAATTTCAGCAGAAGCATGCCTCCAAATCTAATGTCCCCAGGGCTCCACTGAGTGCTGGTTACTCCTTCACGTCCCACCCACACTTGCCTTCCACTCCCCGACACAGGCCCCTTATCTCTCTTAATTCTTAGTCCAGTTGAAGTCAACACAATTCTTCGCTTTGCCCTCCGCCCCACTCCCACCCTTTGCTCCTGAGCCTCTGCTTACCTGTTTTGGTCAAGGCCCAGTCTACACTGGAGCCCGACACACACTGCCTCCCTCCCTCCTCACCCTGGAGGGTCCACTGCCTCCTTGGCTTTATCTTCTCTCTGCTCCCTCCTAGGCTATAAACTCGGGAATGAATGAATGGACAGATGAACCCTGCCAGTATAATTGTAAACCATCTAATCAGAAACTCAAAGGGCAGCAGATAGGAGGCCACAGCTCAGGGTGTTCCAAAGGCCCAGCCCAGGGCGTGACTGAGGGGTGTGGTAGTCAAGGGGGTGACCTTAAAACCTGGCGTCTGTCTTTGTCATTTTAGTCATTCCATCCGCAGCGCCTGTTGAGCACAGCCGTGTCTTACCAGGCGGGTGCTGAGCGCACACACTGAGAGACCGTGGTCTTGGCACACGCGTAGTTTATAGTATGAGTGGGGTATGCCGCAAGCCCATGTCTGTTCCCTGCTAGCCTGGGTGGACAGTGATGGCTGTCACTGCAGACATGGGATGAGAAGCTTCAGTGGTGAGGTGGGACTTGAACTGCCTTTTTCTTTGCTTGAATAACATTTAAAAACTTTTTTTTTTAAATAAGGAGGATAAGAGGATTGTGAGTACTATGCTGTAAGTATACTTTAGTGATATTTAAAAAAATTATAAGAGCAATACATCGAACCTTTTAGGAAGCTGAAAACAGATGTGTAGAAATTGCCACAGGCTCCCAGCCTCAGCACCTCACCGTCCTGGGCCACCTGGGGAGGGGTTTTCCTCAGGCTCTTATTCAGTGGATGTGCACAGGGCTGGGACGCAGGAAGACTGTAAGGAAGGAGCTCTCCTGCGGTGACGGCAGGTCCTGGGAGCTCAGTCCAGCTCCGGAACAGCAGTGCTGCTGTGCGGTGACTGTGTGTGAGGCCAGGGGGTGCCGGACGTGGACGCCACGTGAGACAAGTGGCTCAGGTAAGATGGTTAAGGTCTGAGCCTCAGCGCCTCATTAGAAGCTTTTGAGGTCGGTTGCAATTTGATCATCCGCTTTAGCAGATGAAGAAACTGTGGCCCAGAATAATTAATAATAAACCCGCAGGCAGTGAGTAGAGGAGTGGGGTCGGGGTCCGCCGCAGCTCTCTGGACCACCTCAGTCCAGGCCTCCTGGGGGAGGCTCCAGGCTACAGGAGAGCAGGGCACCTGCCTCTATCCCCAGATCTCATGGCTCTCTGTGCTTCTTAACCCAACTACAAATCAGAGCTCCTGGGAAGACTGTGAAGAAATATCACTGCCTAGGGTTCCCCCAAGACTGTGGAGTCCCCTGACTGTGGTGTAAGTGGTAGGGGTGGAGTTTGTGTGATGTCGGTATGTTTTTAACCAGCTCCTGCAGGGGATTTGAGGAGCAGTGTTGGCTGAGAACTGCTCAGGCTGCCCCCAGGTGGGATCCCCTAGGGCTTCATTACCCACAGTTCCAGATGTGGTCCAGTGGTCATTTTCTGATCTAAGTCAGGCAATGTTGGGGCATTTTCGGTCAGGAAGAAACTGGGGAGGTGTGAAAGGACGGGGGTCGATTAGAGAGGTTTCCGAAAGGACAGTGGTAACTGAGATGGCTATCTGTGGGTGACCCGCCTCCCACTGCCCCAGCCTTCCCATGGGAGCCCCCCAAGGGAGGGGAGACCAGGCTGGGTCCTCTTGCTGTCAGCACCCTGTTTAAGGATCTGGTGCAGGTTTTGAAGCTGAGCAGGTTGTTAAACTTCCTAGAGCCTTGGGCGCCTTGTCCACATCAAACAGTAACAGAGATTTCTATGGGAGGGGAGTGTAGAAAGCCCTCCCCTTTCGTGACCAGTGGCATGCACTACCATCTAGCTCTTCCTCAGTGTTCTAGAAGAGACCAGTCTGGCCAATATGGTGAAACCCTGTCTCTACTAAAAATACAAAAATTAGCTGGGCATGGTGGTGCATGCCTGTAGTCTCAGCTACTTGGGAGGCTGAGGCAGGAGAATCGCTTGAACCTGGGAGGTGGACGTTGCAGTGAGCCGAGATTGTGCCACACTGCACTCCAGGCGACAGAGCGAGACTCCGTCTCAAAAAAAAAAAAAAAAAAATGCCCTCTTACGCATCTCAATGTATTATCACGGAAGAGTTTAAAAGGCCAGGCACAACACCAACAACTGTGTCCTTTTTCTTTACCCCCCTGGAGGAAGTGAACATACCTCTCTCCGTTTTTAGTGTTCGAGGTGCTCAAAGTGGCAGAGTAAGTCCTAACATCGTGGATCTCCAGGCTTTTCGTACAACTAACTCTGCAGGGTTCTTCTGCTTGGAGTCAACTTGATGGTGAAGAAATGCTTGGCAAGGAGTGGAAAAGTAAATCATGATGTCCTCAGCACAGGGCACCTATTAACTAGACAGTTTCCTATGTTCTCATTTTCGGTTAGAATAGGTGGGGCAGCTCATTTGACAGGAGGAAACTGGCTTGTTGGAAGTGCTGGGATGCCTACTGATCCGTGCCTGGGTCCTGGGACACCCATTGGTAGCAGTAGGTCTGTAAGCTGGACCTGGGGACTTGGGCTTGTGGTTATTTAGCTCTGCGACCTCAGGCAGTTCTGGAAGCTATCACAGTTGGAGGCTGGAAGTCCAAGATCAAGGCTCTGGCAGATTGTCTGGTGAGGGCTGGCTCCTGGTTCATCCAAGGCACCTTCTATCTGTGTCCTCCCATGGCAGAATGGGTGAAGGGTCTTGTGGGGTCCCTTTCTTAAAGGCATTAACCCCATTCATGCAGAGTCTCCCCTCATGACCTAAGCACCTCCCAAAGGCCTCACCTCCTAATATCGTCACCTCGTGGGTGAGGATTTCAACATATGGATTTTGGAGGCACACAGAGAGCCCGTAGCTGTGGGGGTCCGTTTTACCATGAGAAAGGTGTGCTCCGTGCTTGTGAGAGGTGGAGACAGGTGGGCCCTTGTTTATCTTTTGGGCTGGGCACCCCCACCCCCGACCCATGGATAGGTGAAGGAAGGAAGATGCTCCTCTTGGCACCAGCCTCTGACTCTTCCTGCTCCTCTGAAGGGAGGGAAGGGGGCGAGATCCTACCAGGGACTTAGCTGGAGGGGGCTGGGGAGAGCCACCTTAATTTAACACTTTCTTTTGCTCTCCTGTGCACAGTCTGTAATGAAACAGCTCTGTTTTGAGCAGAGAAGAGGGAAGAAGCACCCACTGGAGGGGAATTTTGTAAGGAAAGCATTTTTTATTTACTTCTCAAAGTCAGGGGGAAGGAACTCTGTGACGAGTCAGAGCAGAGGGAAACAAATGCTGGTTTCCCCAGGGCGGGCAAAAACACCATGCAAAGGATGTCAGAAGTCACCATCTGTTTGTCAGAAGAAGCCCTGAAGTGTGGCAGTCGCAGAATGACATTTCATTGACAGCCTGCACACCCCAGGGGACTCCCATGGGTGGGGACAGGCTGCGTGCCCGGGAACTTTGTAGCCAATGGAGACGTTTTGGTTAACCTGGTGGAATAAATACACTCTCCTCTGTGGCCAGTGGACTCTCATTCATCACGTTATCTACTGAGTGTCTGTGATTTTCATGAGAAACAGTGTTGTGTAAAGGACAAAGCAGTACTGCTTTCAAGTCCTGCTTCCACCCGAGTGGGTAACTCCAGCTTTGGACCATCTTGAGGGTCAGGCACTTCACAAATGGCATCTTTGATCATTAATACCACTCTGGGAGTTGGACTCCTTGTCTCCTAGGATGTCGCTGGGTCACTAAGAGCCTGGGCGAAAGCCCCCTCACCGCAGGGACTGGAAGTCAGCTCCCCACCTCTCCAGTCTTTCAGGTGCCCCATGCACATATCCTGAGCCCCTGGGACTTGACGTACCGAAAGTCCTCTGCTGGTCTTCCCCCTCCAGCATGGCCCTGGGGAACAGGTGTGAAGATGTTTGCTGGATAGGTGAGATGCAAGTGTGCCTGAACACTTCCTGAATGTCCCAGAGGGTGAGTGCCCTGGGAGGCACACTGTTACACTGTCCCTTCTGGATTTCGGATGGAGCACAAGCTGGCTGCACAGGGAAAGAGACAAAAGGGAGGATTTTCCCAAAGTCTGTGTTTGGACAGGGCCCAGGTACAAGACCTGCCCCTAGAGACAGTGTCTGGGCCTCCTGCTGCCCAGTGACCAGTGTTCCCACCTTTGGACAAGGAGAGAGGGCCAGGCTCAATTTCTGCAGATGAGAGCTGGCAACAACTTGCTGATGTCAGAAATTCCTTAAACTGAAGGCAGTCTTTTTCAATATCAGAGGCAAAGTGCCTTTTTTTTTTTTTTTTGACAGTCTTGCACTGTTCCCCGTGGTTGGAGTGCAATGGCGTGATCTCGGCTCACTGCAACCTCTGCCTCCTGGATTCACATGATTCTCCTGCCTCAGCCTCCCAAGTAGCTGGGATTACAGGCGCCCACCACCACACCTGGCTAATTTTTTGTATCTTTAGTAGAGACGGGTTTTCACTATGTTGGCCAGACTCGTTTTGAACTCCTGACCTCGTGATCTGCCCTCCTCAGCCTCCCAAAGTGTTGGGATTACAGGTTGAGCCACCGTGCTCGGCCGTAAAGTGCTTTTAAATGTGCTTTAGGTGGCACATAGAAACTCCCTCACACTCGGACACCCTCAAGCCATGGAGCAGTGGGACTGGCCATGTCAGATTTCGTGTCGACGGGCATGTAGTGGGTAGAGGAGAGCTAGGAGTCATCTGCCCAGAGTATCTGGTGGCCCCAATTTCAGAGCACTGAGGCTAGGAATCGGGAATCAGGGCTGGATCCTGCCAGGACAGTGGCTCTGTGAGCACACGTCAGAGGGACTAAGGATTTGGACTCTCCACCCCTCACTTGGGTTGTCTGGCCAAGGTGTGGTGAGGATTTGGTTTAGATGATGCCTCTCTGCAGAAACACCCAGTGGTAATGCATATTCTCATCTCTGAATCACAGGTGGCGCTGACCATGGCTTGTCCCATCCAAGGTCATGGTCACCTTGACCCCTTGATTAGGTGGAGACTGAAGCTTTCTCTGTTGTTGACTTACTCTTTTCCCTTTTATAGTAAATAAAGGAAAGTATTTAGAGACTATGTATTCTCTCTAAAGATCAACCAGTGACAGCCTATTAGATTCTGTCTCTCCACTGCACATAACTCCCGAGTCTCCCATCCCACGACGCATGGAAGCTGAGACCTTTACGCTTCCTAATAACCTGCTCCCAGGACTCCCATTGCCTCTCTGAGACTGTCTCTGTGGTCATTTGCTTTTTTTTTTTTGAGATGGAGTCTCGCTCTGTTGCCCACACTGGAGTGCAGTGGCACAATTTCGGCTCACTGCAAGCTCCGTCTCTCAGGATCATGCCATTCTTCTGCCTCAGCCTCCCGGGTAGCTGGGACTACAGGTGCCTGCCACCATGCCCAGCTAATTTTTTTGTATTTTTAGTAGAGACAGGGTTTCACCGTGTTAGCCAGGATGGTCTCCATCTCCTGACCTTGTGATCCGCTCGCCTCAGCCTCACAAAGTGCTGGGATTACAGGCGTGAGTCACTGCGCCCGGCCTCGGTCATTTGCTTCTATCAGTAGGGACTCAAAGAGTCTTGGATTTGTATTGTATTCAATGGGTCATAATCCAATATTATCACTATTTTGATCTCCAAGTTGTTTACAGTTTGCCTGGTGGGAGCCTCTTCAGGCTGGCCCCTGTGTCTTTTTGTTAAAAAACCCATTGTTCTGTGAGCACTGTCTTACTTTCTGGCCAAAAAGAAGAGATTTCAGGCTCATTGGGGGGTGACTGTTGGTATTGGAGCCTCCGCACCCTCCAAGGACAGATCTGGGAGTATCTCTGTGTGTGTGTGCATGTGTGTGTGTGCACTGGTTCGTATACACACATTCACATCTACTTTGATTTCTAGATGTATCTACGTCTCTAGATTGGAAACTCTGAGTCACACCAATATCTGATTCCTGTCTCCCAACACAGGGCTTACTATAATGTCCCCCATTCTAGACTAGCAAGCTCCTCCCGAAGGTGCCTCCCATTTTTCTTCTCACAGATCCTTATGCTCAATCATCCTGTGCATGACCAATCTCCCGTCACCTCTCCACTGCTATGGCCGTCCTCTCCCCTGTACATTTATCTGTGTTTCTAGGGCTGTTGCCCGAGGCTGAGGTTCTCTTACCTAGAGTTTCCATGTCCACTCCTGCTTTCTCCCGAGTGTCCTCCCAGGACTGCCAGGGGTCCTCCAGGATGAACATACACCTGTGATGCTTTTTCCTTTTTGCCAGTTAGAGCCCCCTGTGACGTTGGAGTCCAGCCCAGCTCGGTACTGGGGCCTCCTTCCTTGTGACTGCTTTGTGCAATCCTGCTCACCACCCTGTACTTGCTTCTTGAGCCCTGTCTACCCTCAGTGTCCCAACACAGCTGTGCATTAGCCACCCAGCCTTTGGCCAGTTCACCAAAAATACGGCGCTTTACCACCCTTGCCTCTCCTCACCTCTTTTCCTGTCTGGAAAGTGTCTGCTTCTGCTTCAAGTCACAGGCCATTCATGGAGTTCTTCCCATGATCTGTGGACTCCGTGCCCCCTCCTAACACTGCGTGTAGATCGTCCCTCTGGGAGGGGCGGGGTGAGCCAGCCGCTGTATTTCCTCTGACATCGAGCACACACGTTGCTCACGTATCTGTGGGTGAATGCATGATCGTGTGAGGGAATGGACTCATAGGAGCAGCCTCCAGTTTCCAGTGACAAAACGGGCACGAGTGGCCCCTCAGCTCTCCCCCAGGGAACCTTGTACTTGGTGTTAAAGTCTGACTCATGGAGGGGCTCATGTCCCTAGTTCCAGCTGGGTTTCCAACCCAGGTTGAGATGTAGCCTCTCTTCCTGATGGCTGGTTTGCTGATGTCTGCCTTAGCCGTCTGGAATTCATCCTCCCTGGGAAGAACCTCATTTTGTTCCTGGGAAGAACCTCATTTTGTTCCTGGGAAGAACCTTGTTTTGTTCCTGGGAAGAACCTCATTTTGTTCCTGGGAAGAACCTCGTTTTGTTCCTGGGAAGAACCTTGTTTTGTTCCTGGGAACCAAGTGCAGTCAGAAGCTAGGGTGAGACAACCTGGCGAGTAAAAAGCACAGAGGATTGTGGCAAAGCACGAAGAAAATTGGAAGCTGGGCAGCAGCACAGAGCTCACTGTGGCTTTAAGATGGAGTGAGGCCAGTCTGCCACCCAAGTTTTGAGGTGAGGGTCTGTGCCTGGAGGAGTCTGTGCCCTGGCTTCTGAGTCCCTTCGCATCCCCAGACCCTCAGCTACAGCTTACTTCTGGGAGGACTCAGAAGGGTGTGGTCTGAGACAGGCAGTGAACACCGGTGTTGATGTGGTGGAAATACAGCAAAGGAGAATGTTTTCATTCCTGCACCAGTGTTTATTGCTCCTGCTTGGTGCTGTGTGTGGAAAATCCCAGACAAGGTTAGGACTTCCTATTGGAGGTACAAGACTTATGACCACACTAGAGGGTCAGGGCCCCAACCATCCTTGAGTGGCTCAGCCATGGAGGATGATTAACCAGTCTGGGAGGTCAGATGGGGGGCGGATCTTCAACTGAGCCCAGGACAGCGGTTTTCAGCCAGAAAGGAGAATGGGAAACTGCCTTGGGAGAAGCCCCAAGTGAGCCCAAGGGCGCAGAGCAGAAGGACCCTGGAGTGTAAGAGCCTAGATTGCAAGCCTGGCAGGAGGAGGTCAGAGTCGGGGGCAGGGAGAGGGGCTGGAGAGGCGGCCTGCTGATGAATGCGGATTCGCCTTAGGATTGAGCACTGTTTCTTGCCAGTGAAAAATCAGTTTGTTGTCCTCACTGGGGAGGTTTATCACACGCACGATATTTGTTACTAGTAACGAAGTGTGGGAGTTTTCTGAATGGCTACTCTTTTAAATAAGTAAGAGCAGATTCAGGGTATCCCTGCAATAAAAAGCCACCTTCAACCATTTGCCTTCCACTCTGGCTTGCATAGGCAGTGGGCTGGCCTGTGCTCCTGGCCGTTGTTCCTGGGTGGACCCCAGAGAGTATGAATCCTGGTACTCAGGTTGGAGGAGTTTTATCCTGCTGGGGGCTATCTGTTCATTGCTGAATTCAGATTTCTTTGGCCGGTTCCTGTGGGCACCATGGTAAGGGCGGTGGTAGATCCAGCTGACCTCTGGGCGTGTTTGCCCTGGGTAAACCATGACAGCAGCATATCCTGTTCTTAGCTGTTTGTAGGCACTGCTATGTACCTGGTATTGTGTCAGATGTGAAGCAATCTGGAATGAATACGATACAGATGTGTTCTCAGGGAAAAATGTTTGAAAAGACTAAAGTTTGGATATGCTATAGGAAAAAAATGATGAATGTATACAGAAAAATGAATGAAGGAATGAATATAGAAAAAGGTGAATAATGGTGTCATTTGAAGGACAGGGGGAAATGAGAATGCCTGCTTGTCTGCCAGGTGATGATTTAGTGAGGAATTGGAACCCAGAATGGTGTGTTCTAGGAGGAGGTTTTTTCCTTTGTAGTTAAAAGTTGAAGAGCAGCTTTGCTCTTCTACTGCAGAAACAGAAAGATGGATATTTAGTGCCAGAACTTGAGAGGTTAACGTCAGCCAGTTGAATTGATGGCTGGAATTTGCACATATGTCAGCCATAAAGGCCACGACTTAGCCCACCCAGACTGCTCCCCACATCCAAGGCATGTGGAGTTGCAAGTGGAGCTGTAGATCTGAAGTTAGAGTGTTGGAGCCATAAAGGCTGAGCTCTGGGACACTGCTCCTAGGCTGGGCCTGGAGTGAAGGCCAGTGGTAGGAGTACAGGGTTAGCTGGCCTGAGACTAGAAGGCCCCCTATCCTGCTCTGAGGCAGGGGTCTCTTCCGCTGCCCACCGTAGACCACAGGCAGTGGCTTCATCTTGAACATGTTCTTTTAGTTTTAGACTTGCCACAAAGCTTCTTGCAGACAGCCAAGATCCACTGCCCCGGGAAGGCTGGTGAAGTCCGACAGGCATTGAAAGGAGGGATCTGCCTGTGGATCTTGCCCGCCTCTCCTCCTGGCGTTTCTAAGTGACCCTTTCTTCAGGATCCTGGCTTGTCCATCTTCTCCCATCACCCTGTCATCTTCACCTCCTGAACTTCGGGTTTCTAATTTCCTTCTAAAATCGCAGACCCATAAAGGAAGACGGGACTTCAGATGTGCTGTGAATTGTCCTGATTTGCCAGGAGCAGGATGGCGGGGGGTGGGGGGGGTGCGGTGAGGGAGGGATAGGCTGGGAGATAGGGAGGTGCAGCCCAGCCCCCAGGTGTGCAAGGCCCCGGGCGGTCCTGTGCTTTGATATTTGCTTGAAATCCTTACCTGGTTAGGCGTGTCCCTCTCTGCAAGGCCAGGCTCCTAGTTTTTTAGTAGAAGAAGCAAATTAGAAAAAAAGCCTTTCTGCCTCGGTGTTTACCTGCTTTCCACTCCAAATGCCCTGTTTGCTAGTGTAGATTATCAGGGTAGTGTAGATTACTGCTCATTACAGATGCAGAGTTGACTGGATAATATTCAAGATTTAGAAATTCCGAAAGCCAGAGCTTGCCCGGTTTTGATTCTTTTAAGCACCTCGCCAGCGTTCTCGGAGAGGTTTGAAATCCTAGTAAAGCTGAACCCTGCGCCAAGCGCGGCGCGTCGGTAATTCCAATCAGATGGCGGCTGCAAGATCCTGCTCCCCCCGCCTGGAAGGCGTTTCCTCACCCACTTTCCCAGTGTTTGGCGGCTCAGCCTGTGCCTCCGCGCTCGCTCGGAGCTGCGGTTGGGGCGGGCGGGGGAGGGAGGGCTAATTCGTGTCAGATGGAGGGACGCCGTGCGGGACCGTGCGCTCGCGCCTGGCTTTTGTTCCCGGCGTCTGACTTCTGACGGGCAGGAGTGGCCGTGGAGGCTGCGGCGCGCGGCTGGGACCTGGGCCGGCGGCCACGGAGAGCCCTTGGCCCCTCCCGTGTTGGCCATTTCCTGGGACTTGTGTCCGCAGGGGACTCGGGAGGCATCCTCCCCCCAGATAGCCGCTGGGGAGGGGTCAGCGGCCACCCTCGCCCGGCCGAGCCCGGCTCCCCGCGGGCGGCAGGGGCAGCCATGAGGCTGCGCGCCCTGACCCCTGGGCCACCGGGAGGGTTCGCGCGCGGAACCCGGTCGCGCCGGCGCCGGCGCCAGGTGAGTGCGGCCCGGAGCTGGTGTGCATGGCCAGGGGCGCGAGGCACGGGCGCCTTCAGGGCTGCACGCACGTGGGCTGCGCCGGGTGTGCACTGGTGCCCGTGGACGCTGTGCTGGTGTGTACCCGCTTGTGCTCATGTGTATGCGTGTGCCCTTGTCAGTGCGCGTATGTCAGTGTGTGTGCACCCCGTCTGCACGTCCACGCGTGTGTGCTTGTGAGCGCGCGTCTGTGTGTGCAGGCATGTGTACGCTGGTCCGTGCCTGAGTCCTCGTGGGTGCGTGTGTACCCTTGTGTGTGCACGCGCAGGACAAGGAGCGAGAGGGCCAGTGGAGCTTTGCCTAGTGGGGGCGTCTTCTGGTAAGCGTGGAAGAGGGTTCAGGCTTAGCTCTTTCTAACTCAACTGCCTCTTGAAAAGGCTTCTTGGGTTCATTTCCCTGCAATGGAATTGGGATACTGGCCATTGCGCAGACCTGCTATCCCTCGCGTGTTTCTTGCAAAGGTAAAGGGCATTTTAGCTCTGCAATGAAGTGGGGGATGCGCTGGGATGTAGGAATCCTTACAGGTTCCCTGGGGACCGCATGGGTTCCAGCGGTGCTCTGTGGTCCACAGGACGGCCTTTCACGGTGTTTGAATTAAACAGAGCGGTGCTGGTTGGCTCCCCGCTAGGTTCAGCCTCCCTTTCCCTAAGTTATTGCTGAATTAAACAGAGCGGTGCTGGTTGGCTCCCCGCTAGGTTCAGCCTCCCTTTCCCTAAGTTATTGCATTTGTTTTTCTGAAGCTTTTGTAAGGTTCTGTGGGGTGAAAAACTGTCAAAATTTCAGCTGGTTAACTTGAGGTGTACTGCGTTCCCTTTTAAAGTTTAGTGGTCAAACGCTGCTGCCTGGAAGTGTGGGAACAATATGTGTTGGATGTGGAGGGTGTCCCTCTTGCCCCAGATACCGGCCCCCTGTGGGCTGGGAAATATCCCCGAGGCCCGGAAGTGTTCCTGGCTGTTTAACATCAGAGTAAAGTTGGGCTGGGAATGTGTTTTTGATCAGTGTCTGCCTCTCCAGAATGCCTCTGAAGGTTTCCCAGGTGCCTGAATGCCTACCTAAATCCTCTTACTATGGTGGAGCTGAATATTTCCTGAAAGGAAAACATAGCTGGGATTGTGCTGATGCAGCTTTGCACTTTTGCGTGTGTAACCATTTTGCCAGGGCGACCTTTAGCCGGGAGAACCTATCCGAGAGATCCCTGCGGTTTTGCATTTCGGCAGAGTGGAGCATTCATGTGGAGCACCTCCCTGTTCAATTTTGCAGAGATTTTTCTTTCTCAAAAGAGACCTCACAATCAAGACCAGCACTAATTACTGTGTCCCCCTCAGGGAGTCCTTGTGGAACCAGCAGCCTGCTCTCTACCCTTCCAACATTTTGTTCCTAACAATTAAGTGCAATTTAGATTCCTGAACTGAGCCTGCTAAATGCTTCAGCATTGCTGCCTCCTCTCCCCCTTTGGGAGAAATGAAAGCACAGTATCAGGTGAAAACAAGGGCAGTCTAATCCCGTCTGGTCTCATTTCACAATAGAGATGTTATGTACAGATGAAGCGTGAGCAGATGTTATTACACTATCCTAAATGAACTCCTCAGAGATCCAGCAATTCAAATGGCTGAGCCCTCGCAACAGTGCTTATGCTGTTTCCCTCTTTAAGTTTTCTAGCTGTGGACCAGTGGGCAAGAAAGCTGCAGGAAAACAGTGCCTCTTTCTCCCTGGTTGGAATAAAGGTATTTGTGAGGAATGAAAGGTCACAGTATCTTTCCTTGGCCCACAGACTGTGGCTAATTCATTTGGTCAACAAATATTAATTGAGGGTCCATGGTCCACTGTCTGCCAGGCGCTGGGCAGGGCCCTAAGAGGACAAAGGGGAAAGAGCCTGGTGTCCTGCATCTAGGAAATTGCAATATAGCACAGGAGAGAAGGCATATAAACAAATAACTGCAATACGAGTGAAAAGTACGTACCAGCTGCTGCATTGCAATAGAGAGATGTGTTTGTTAGGTGTTTGAATGCTACTCTTGTCTGAGCGTGAGACTGGGGCTTGAGGCATATGAGGCCTGAGTCTCATATGCCTCATCCATTGGCTGTGTGGTGCTGCATCTCGGTTTTGCATCTCACCATCACGGTTTGTAGACTAGTGGTGATTACGGTAATGACACAGAAGCACTTAGCTAGTGTTACCAACTGCATAATTAGCAGCATCATTATCCTTCTTTTGCAGAGCACTGAACACACAACCTGTGTTATCAGAAAGGATGCAATCTCTTTGAAAAAACCAGATACCGACATAGGAACAACTACATAATAACAGTACCTTAAATGTATATAGATACTTACAGTATAGTCGGTTATATACAGTGGTGGTTCTGTCTTGGCCGCAAATTAGAATCACGGGATGGAGCTGGGGTGGGGGGTTTGACAACATTCCAGTGTTCTGATTCAACCTCCAGGTAATCTGATTTAATTGGTCTGGGGTGGAGCCTGGGTCAGCTGTTTTAAAAACTGCCCCAGTGATTCCTATGAACTGACAGATGATACAGCGTTTGGTCATTTACAATAGCTGTTAAGAGACAGGAGGGGGAGGATATCTTTTCTATTTAAGAGAGGTTGTGACTTGTCCTGGGCCACAGAGCTTGTAGTGTAGGTATCAGAACTTATGTGAAGGCTTCTGCTTGGTTCAGGACTCTTTCCCCTACTTTATTTATTTTTTCTTTTTTTTGAGATGGAGTCTCACTCTGTCAACCCAGGCTGGAGTGCCGTGCCATGATCTCGGCCTACTGCAGCCTCTGACTCCTGGGTTCAAGGGATTCTCCTCCCTCAGCCTCCTGAGTAGCTGGGATTACGGGTGCCCGCCACCACGCCCAGCTAATTTTTATATTTTTAGTAGAGACGGGGTTTCACCATGTTGGCCAGGCTGGTCTTGAACTCCTGAGCTCAGGTGATCAACCCGCCTCGGCGTCCCAAAATGCTGGGATTACAGGCATGAGCCACCGCGCTTGGCCATGAAGTTCTTTATTAGGTGATTGTATTAGTCCATTTTCATGCTGCTGATGAAGACATACCCAAGACTGGGCAATTTATACAGGAAAAAGGATTTAATGGACTCACAGTTCCACGTGCTGGGGAGGCCTCACAATCATTTCGAAAGGTGAAAGGCACATCTCACATGGCAGCAGGCAAAGAGAGAGAGCTTGTGCAGAGGAACTCCCCCTTATAAAACCATCAGATCTCATGATAATTATTCATTATCATGAGAACAGCACAGGAAAGACCTGCCGCCATGATTCAGTTACCTCCCACTGGGTCCCTCTCACAACACATGGGAATTCAAGATGAGATTTGGGCGGGGACACAGTCAAGCCATATCAGTGATTAAATGTTTAGGACTGTTAGGTGTTCTTGATGAATCAATCCTTTTATTATTATGAGAGGACTTTCTATATCCTTGGTAATGTTCTTTGATCTGTAGCCTACTTTGTCTGATATAGCCACTCCAACTTCCCTTTGATTAACATCAGCAAGGTACCTCTTTTTTCTAGCCTTTGTCTTTTAAAAAAAAAAAAAGGCCAGGTGCGGTGGCTCACACCTGTAATCCCAGCGCTTTGGGAGGCCAAGGCGGATGGATCACGAGGTCAGGAGTTCGAGACCAGCCTGACCAACATGGTGAAACCCTGTCTCTACTAAAAATACAAAAATTAGCCAGGCATGGTGGCGGGTGCCTGTAATCCCAGCTACTTGGGAGGCTGAGGCAGAGAATTGCTTGAACTTGGGAGGCAGAAGTTGCAGTGAGCCAAGATTGCGCCACTGTACTCCAGTGTGGGCGACAGAGCGAGACTCTGTCTCAAAAAAAAAAAAAAAAAAAAAAAAAAATATATATATATATATATATAAAATCTGACAACTTTTGTTGACTTATAATTGAGATACTTAGACTATTTACATAAATATGATTATTAATATGGCAAGGTTTGAATCTGTCATACTGCTACTTGTTTTCTATTTCTCCTACCTATTGTTTGTTCTGCCTTTGTTTTACTTCCTTTTGCCATTTAGATTAATTGAATAATTTTTATTATTTCATTTTATCTCTCTTGTTTGCTTATTACCTATAATTCATGATTTTAGTGGTTGCTCTAGGGTTTATACTATACCTCTGTAACATCACAGGCTACCTTCAAGTGATATTATATCCACTTCATGAATACTATGAGAGCCTTATAATAGTCTTATGGGATCTTTGGGGTGTCCAATTTCTGGCTGGAAACCTCTGTGGCCAGTGGCACCTTTGCCTGAGTTCTTGTCCTGTGTCCAGGAAGAATGAGATAGGCAGACGGGGAAGGGTGAAGAAGATGAAGATAAGCTTTATTAAGTGTTAAACAGCTCAGAGGAGACCCACAGTGTCCTCTCTGTAGGCAGGTCATCCCGACCTCTGCTGCTCTCAGCAGAGAGGAGGCCCTGGAGAGGGTAGTTCCTCTCTGCAGCTGGAAGTCCCAACATCTCTGCAGGTCTCTGAAGCTCTCGGCAGAGAGGGTAGCTCCTCTGTGCAGCTGGTCTCTTGTGGTCTCTCCATTCTCTCTGTCCTCTCTCTTGCTCTGGCTGAACATGGAAAAGCCCTTGGAGGGGAGGAAGTGCCTGCTGATTGGTCCATGGGCGGCCATGGGCTGGCTGGAAGAGGCACCATGAGTCCCCACTCCAGTCTGTGGGACTGGCAGCCCGTCCCCAGCCTACAGGCCCTCCCTGGCCTGAAGGTGGGGCCTTACTGAGGACCCACCCCCTTCTGCCCAGGACTTTGCCTACCGCTGCCATTCAAGGCCCTGGTACTTGTCCCCAATCCCGCTCTGAGATGAGAGGTGGGGGGCCGGGAGAGGAGACAGGCCAGGCAGCCAGAATAGACACTCCTGAGCCAGCAGGGATGGTGGGCGGGGGGGGGCTTCCCATGCGCCCGAGGGTGCAGGCCGCAGAGATGCCTGGGTGCTGTGCCTGGGAGGGTGGCTGCAGCTGCCTGCACTCAGGGAGCTCCTGCTTTTCCCCAGCTCCCGCCTGTGTGGTGGAGTGGGAGGCCCAGGTCTGCAGCCGTGGATGGTGGCTGCAGCTGCACCCCGGGGGGCAGATCCTGCCTGCTCCTGGCCCCACTCAAGAGCGCAGGGAGGCTTGGATCTACAGCTGCAGTTTGGGCAGCTGCAGTGGCACCCAGGGAGTTCCCACCCCAACTCAGAAGGGGTGGAGCTCCCACCGGCTCCATGGAGAGTGCAGCCCCAGCCTCACCTCCCTGCTGCAGCCAGCGTGATGGTAGCAACCGCTGTCATCAATAGTATATTTCCTTTTCTTCTTTCCTGAACTTTGTGCTATTTTTTCAGAAAATTTACTTTTACATATGTCACATGTCACATTACACTATTGTTTAAACAGTTAATTATCTTTTGGTGAGCTTTAAATAATAAGAAAAACTCATAAATTTACCTGTGTAATTAGCATTTCTGGTGCTCTTCATCTGTTGGTGTAAAGCCATAATTCCATCTGCCATGTCCTTTTTGCCCAAGCACTGTCTTTAATATGTCATAGGTGTCAGCTGGTGATGATTTTTTTTGGGCTTTAATTGTATATCTTTTTTTGCATATTTTAAGAAGTTTTTGGTTCACTTTTATTTTGAAGAGCTATTTTTATTGGGTACAGGATTCTAGATTGACAAGTTTTCTTTCAGTATTTTGTTTTATTCTATTTTGTTTATTTTTTTAACTTTTAGATTCAGGGTACATGTGCAGGTTTATTATATAGGTAAATTGTGTGTTGTGGGGGTTTGGTGTACAGATTATTTCCTCCTCCAGGTAATAAGCGTAGTACTCGATAGGTAGTTTTTCAATCTTCACCCTCCTTCCACCCTCCACCCTCAAGTAGGCCCTGGTGTCTGTTCCCTTCTTTGTGTCCATCTTTCAGTATTTCCTATTATACTGCTGTCTTCTCACTTATATTTTTTAAAACAATGAGAAACCTGTTATCCTATTGGTTGGTTCCCTGCATGTAATGTGTCTTTTGGCCCCGTGGTTGTTTTTAAGATCTTTCTCTTTGTTACTGGGTTTAAGCAATTTGATTATTGTATGCCTTGGGGTAGTTCCTGTCACATTTCTTGTGCTAGAAATATATATATATATATATATTTTTTTTTTTTTTTTGAGATGGAGTTTCACTCTTGTTGCCCAGGCTGGAGTGCAATGGCGCGATCTCGGCTCACTGCAACCTCCACCTCCTGGGTTCAAGCGATTTCCTGCCTTAGCCTCCCGAGTAGCTGGGATTACAGGCACCACCACCATGCCCGGCTAATTTTTTGTATTTTTAGTAGACACGGGGTTTCACCGTGTTGGCCAGGCTGGTCTGGAACTCCTGACCTCAGGTGATCCACCCGCCTCTGCCTCCCAAAGTGCTCGGATTACAGGTGTGAGCCACCGAGCCTGGCCAAGAAATTTCTTGAGTTTCTTGGATCTGTGGGTTTATAGTTTTCCTCCTGGTTTGAAAAAGTTTCAGCCATTATTTTTTCAAATATCCCCCCTTCCCTGCCCTTCTCCGTCAGTCTCCATTACACATATGTTATGTTGGTTAAAGTTCTCCCACAGCTTACTGATGCTTGTTTATTTGTTTATTTAGGTTGTCTCATCTCTGTGTGCTTTGCGTTGGGAGGTTCGTACTGTGATGTCTTCAAGTTCATTCACCTGTGCTTCTGCAGGATCTAATCTGCCAGTAATCGCATCCAGTGTATCTTGCACTGTATTCTTACATTTTCCTCAATGAATGTTTGATTTGGATCTTTTTATGTTTTTCAGATCTCTACTTAACTTTCTAGCATATAGAATAGTTATTATGATGGACATTTGGGTTATATAAAGCTGTTATGACCTTTCTTTCTCTTGTGGACATAGGCTTTTATTTCTCTTTAGTGTAAATAAGAATGGAATTGCTGAGTCATAGGTTAGGTGTATGTTTAAGTTTATAAGAAATTGTCAAACCATTTTCTAAAGTAGTTGTACCATTTATTCCACATTCTAAATACCATTTCATCTTTTCAAATAAATTTAATTATTCCAGTGGGTGAGTAATGGCCTCACTGAATCCATATGGATATTAAGTACTGATAGAATACACGGTCACATATCAGCAAATAGACATGATTAGTGCTTGACTCTAAAAGCAAATTGAATTCTTATAAGGTTATCATATAGCTGAGAGCCTTGGCTCTACAAACATGAATAGGTAGCTGAGTGGTTAGTTTTTCCAAGTGCTAATGCTTGTAATTGTGTTTGAGGAAGAACCACATGTGTATCACAGGCTGGACTGTCTCTTCTTCTGCAGGAGAGCTCAGAGAGGCTCAAGAGCTTAATGGTGATTCTGGAACACCTTTGAACCAGGAAAGCCAGTTGACTTCCTCATAACATAATTATGCTGTTTAGCTAATTACTTTTTCCAGAAGAAAAAGGGTTGAGAGTCTAGAAGTGTATGTGGATTACTTTGTCACAGA
This sequence comes from Homo sapiens, assembly GCF_000001405.40. Taxonomy (NCBI): domain Eukaryota; kingdom Metazoa; phylum Chordata; class Mammalia; order Primates; family Hominidae; genus Homo; species Homo sapiens. The sequence goes on along the minus strand of NC_000007.14, from coordinate 47,529,486 downwards.
AGTAGGTGGCTCTACGGCTGAAGTCTGGAAGGGAGTGCATTTTCACATAATGATGTTGGTTGATGTAATGTTTCTAGGCACCCCATGTGGTGATTGATGAGTTGGGTGAGAGTGAACGTCCGTCTAGGACTCTGGAATTGGGAATGCTAACATGGTATCCGTGGGTCGTCTTGGGAATTTTAGCATCACCAAGATGGTTTCTTGTTCTCTGTTTGCTTGGTAAAATTCCTGTTTTTGCTCTTTACAATTCCACTAGATTTATTATTTCCCTTAAATGAAAAGGAAAAAGAAACAAACTATGAGATGAAACGTTGACAATTTCTTCCTTTACTTTTTCAGCCGGAAGAATTAACCTCGAGTCTGCACGCTTTTAAGAACAAGGCCTTTAAAAAATCCAAAGTGTGTGGAGTTTGCAAACAAATTATTGACGGTCAAGGTATTTCATGCCGAGGTAAGTCTGTGTTTATGATTCTCTCACTGATTAATCCAGAGCAAAACAAACAAGAAACAAAACGAAAACTTTTTTTCAGGAGTTTCCGAAAGTTAAATCATGGAATTCCCCTTCTTAGTTTATATGTCCCCCAACCCCCTACCCCCTTACTTAGCAGGGGCCAACCGTATTTACATAGATAAGTGCTCATGAGGACATTTTTACAGAAAGAGCAGAGTTTCCCGATGGGAGAGGAGGCAGCAATTTGTAAATTAATCATTTATTCTCAGGTCTGCTCTGAAGTGTCAGTAACTCAGGTTGTTTAGTTTGACTTTCAGATCTGTTACTCAAGTTTGCGAATGAAATGTTTCTATCTTTAGATTTCGGGTTCATTTTGGTATGGCCCCTTTCAGATCCTGTCACTAAACTAAGCCACCAGCTTGGGTACCAGATATTTAGACGTCAAGTAATGAATGGAACTTGCCAATTCTTTTGTGACTGCACATTAATAAATCTAGTAAGAGAGGTGTGACTGTAATGAATGTGGGAGTGGTGGGGGGCAGGGGCTGCTTGGCGGACCAGTGGGGTACACCACACAGAGGGAGTCACTAGGAGGACCAGGTCCTTGGAGAGTGCGGGGGCTGCTCTTTGGCATCATTTCATCTGCGGGGTTGGGGATTTCCTCTAGAAAATGTGCAGAGTCTCAGCCTGTGGGCTTCTGTGCTGTTAGGACCTCCCCCTCAGTGCCTCCTTCCCTGCAGACCCCCAGCAGATGGTCCCTGATGGCCACTTTAGAGTAGGGTGCCTGTGATGGAACGATGCACGCAGTCAAACCTTAATGGGTTGAGGATGTGACCAGGGGCCTCTAAGGGGCTCTTGGGATTCTTTTACAGTTCAAAGGCCTGAGTGTGGGTGAGAAGACTGGGGTGCCCCTCCTCTGATTCGGCCCCTTGGAGAAGTCAGTGCTGAAGAATGTGTTGGATGAGTGGTGGGTACCGGCCACCCTGGTCGCTAAGTAGAAGCCAGAGACCAGGGAGCCACCTGTGTAATTCATCTAGATCTGCATCCAAGGCAGAGAACACGGGCTGTAGTGTACTCTGAGCCAACTGATAGGACATCCTGTGATTCAAAACTTTTTTTTTTTTTTTTGGAGACAGGGTCTCGCTCTGTCATCCAGGTAGGAGTGCAGTGGGATGATCAGGGCTCACTGCAGCCTTGACCTCCTGGCCCAAGCCATCCTCCCACCTCAGCCACTCCAGTAGCTGGACTATAGGCATGCGCCACATGCCTAGCTAATTTTCTTACTTTTTTAGAGACAGTCTCATTATGTTGTCCAGGCTGCTCTTAAACTCTTGGCCTCAAGTGATTCTCCTGCCTTAGCCTCCCAAAGTGCTGGGATTACAGGTTTGAGCCATTGTTTTAAGCCCATACTTGCAAACGGCACTGCACTAGGTGATATCTTGGTCATCTGTGAATGCTGTGGCCTGTCACTGGCCATTCCCCTGCATAGCTTGTCCAGTTCAGGAGGGCCATGTCAGCCAAATGTGGTGGCCCTTTGTGTTTGGGGCCTGCAGGTGTAAGGTGATGAGAAATTGCACTGATGCTCTCGGACAGGCGTCCTCCATCAAGCTTGCTCTAAAATGTCTGTGGGCAAATACAGCAGCCCCTCTGTGTCCCACATACCCTACAGGGTCCAGTAGGGGCTTTGTGCCTTTCCAGGAACATGGCAAAAATAGAAGCCCAAGGAGTCTCCCCATCTTTGAATGTCATTCTCATAGAAATGCTCATATTTTATTTTATTTATTTATTAATTTATTTTTGAGATAGAGTCTTGCTCTGTCACCCAGGCTGCAGTGCAGTGGCGCGATCTCGGCTCACTGCAAGCTCTGCCTCCCAGGTTCACGCCATTCTCCTGCCTCAGCCTCCCCAGCAGCTGGGACTACAGGCGCCCGCCACCATGCCCGGCTAATTTTTTTTTTTGTATTTTTAATAGAGATGGGGTTTCACCATGTTAGCCAGGATGGTCTCCATCTCCTGAACTTGTGATCCGCCTGCCTCGGCCTCCCAAAGTGCTGGGATTACAGGCGTGAGCCACCACGCCCGGCCAGAAATGCTCATATTTTAAAATTTTGGTCTCTAACTTTGACTCCCAAGTGTGAAAAGAAGGAAAAGGAAAGTCGTGGTTGAATTGGAACCATGAAACCAGCAGCACAGAGAACCTGGGAATCAGAGCTGTCAGGGCCTGGTGTTGATCCGAGAGCCCTGGTCCTGTGCCAGCGGAGCCATTGGGCGATACTGGGAGAGCTGTCATGAGCAGCATGGCATCAGCAGGGACACCTGGGCTTGTTCTCGGCTTCCTTACCCTGTGATGACGTCCCAGGCAAAGTTGCACAGCCGAAGGTTCCCCATGAACTGACTTCTGCCTGTCAGATGCTATGTGGGGACAGGTCTGATTTAGGAGCAAAGGTGGAGGTCAGACAGAGCTGGGTCCTGGCCCTGCCCCTGACAGGGGCAAAGTCTCCTCACTCTGGGTCTAGGACTTAGGGTAAGGGCTGTTCCAAGGGCAGAAGTCAGGCTTAAAGTGCACAGCCAGCGTTGTGGTACTTAGGTTTGTTGCTGGTGTTAGGATTGCTCTGAAGGGAACCCACTGTGGGTAGCTCCACATGGCTGATGCCGCATGTGTGTTTGGTTAGCCTCTGCACCACACATCCTTGAGCTGTAATCCAGTGGGGGAGCTCCTTAGACACAGAGGCCTTTTGCACAACTTACCACAGTGGCTTGGGCTGCACTAGGTTGGTTATACTGCTTGAGGAGTAATTTTTCCTTCTTTGTATAAAAGAGAACTGAGTTTACTGAAGAGTCATCTCAGACATCCTTTTTAATACTTCAGTATTCTGTTCCTGCCATTTAAGTAGTATTGACTATTTTCAGAGTAAATGGAACCAACGAAAGAGAAGAGCTTGGAGAAAGCACGGCCTCCAGCTGTGAAACGCGCAAGCACGTCTTGGACGGCGGGGAGCCTGTCTTCTTTCTTTATCTGGAGGATCATTGTCTTGGTGCCTTCCCTGGGTTGGGACTTGTGTCTCTTCCTCTGTCCTGCAGTTGCACACACTCAGAAGGGCCAGGGAAGGACCCCAGATTGATCCTCTGGTTCCAAATGAACTCTGTTTTGTGGTATTTTAAATATGTGGCGTGTGAAATATTACGGAGGGGTGAGGAGGCCTGCCAGAGTGGTGTGTATGTGCCTGAGTGTGTGGGTGCACATATGCATGGCTATGTGTGCAGTGCATGCATGCATGATTGAGTTCATGCATATGAGGACAAGCAGTGCACACACCTGTGATTGCATGTGTGTGCATGCGTGCATGCGTCTGAGTGAATGCATTTGCTTGAGCGCACAGATATTCCACATTGTGAGGGAACATGTGAGAGCATCCCTCCTGTTCAGACCACTTTGTAGAGTTCAGCTGCTCTATGACGTCCATTATCTTATCTTGAGGGAGATAGAAACAGAGAAAATGTGCATGCACACAGGAGCAGCTTTTGTTCTTGAAAGAGAAGAGAGGGAATAAATAGTGCCCTATCTGGACAAGATGTTCAACAGGCTTATCTTGCTGTGTGTCACCTGGTTGTTAAGGAAGATGCAGTAAGGCATGCTGTCTCCAGATAATGGTTTAAATTTCACACGCTTCTGGCAACATCCAGGCACTCACGAGAACAAAGCCCAGTGTGGTGGCCCCGTGGCCCATCTACTGGTTTCTGTTGGTAATGATGCTTTCCCGCCTCCTCTTGGAACTCTCTGGAGTTCTGCTTCGGTGGGAGGCAGCGAGACACCTAGAGCGTCACCTCCGAGGATTCAAGGCCCACTTTGGCCTGGAGGACCCCACACGTACCCAACATGGACAAGCAGCGGGGCTGCCAGCTCTGTCCTCGTGCAGCATTATCTCCTGTCCTGTTTGGCTAATGCTCCTCTACTCCAGGGAACCCAGTGTAGCACTGGTTTTTCTCACTGGTGAAATAGATTTTTGGTCAGTGGAGGTAACAAGGGAAAAAACAGCCATGTACCTTTTTTCATCCCTTGAAGAAAATCACTCATGGACAGCTATGATGTTAGGTGACTTCACCCCTCTTCTCACGCCTGGTTTATCCCTTTCTTCTTTACCTCCTCCTCCCCTACAGCTTACTTTCCACCGCAGGGATGCATGGCTGCTCCCATTGCCTTTTTTTTTTTTTTTTTTTTTTTTTCTTGAGACGGAGTCTCGCTCTGTCGCCCAGGCCGGACTGCGGACTGCAGTGGCGCGATCTCGGCTCACTGCAAGCTCCGCCTCCCGGGTTCACGCCATTCTCCTGCCTCAGCCTCCCGAGTAGCTGGGACTACAGGCGCCCGCCACCGCGCCCGGCTAATTTTTTGTATTTTTAGTAGAGACGGGGTTTCACCTTGTTAGCCAGGATGGTCTCGATCTCCTGACCTCATGATCCACCCGCCTCGGCCTCCCAAAGTGCTGGGATTACAGGCGTGAGCCACCGCGCCCGGCCTCCCATTGCCTTTTTTAAGCTGGTTCCTTTCCAGGGGCAGCCAGGATGCAGGCATTATGGACACACAGGCACCTGCTCCTGCTGTGTCCCTGTTCGTGGCTCTGGGCGCCTCAGCTAGGATGGGATGTCTTGTCTAGAGGCAGTAGAAAGAGATCAGGATGTGGGGTCAAGTTCTGGCTGTGCCACTCACACCCTGGGCAGTTTTGGACAGTAGGCTTTTATGAAGCCCATTTTCTCAACCCTAAAATGGGCATGAAAATGCAGATCCAGTGGTGCAGAGCTGGGACTCGGGGAGGGGTGTACGTGAAAGGGCCTGGTCTGCCAGGCCAGTGAGGCAGGACGGGACCACCGCCTCCCCAGGGGACGGCTGCTTCGTGCTGGCAGGCAGTGCTGCACTGCACCCTGGATGTGCCGCCTCTCAGAGGGCGCTGGTTCAGCTTCTCCCCAAAGAGTTGCCCTGAGCTTGCTGGCTGTGAATCCTGGGGGTGGTGTGGTGAGTTGCGTTCACCTTTCCAGCCTGGGTGCCTGCAGTGCATGCATGTGTGTTCTTGTGTGTCTGTGTCTGAATTCCTCCCTCACTCCTTGCTCTCCTCTTAGCAGTCCCATATGGTGAAGCTCTTCTGCCTTGAGCCCTCTGGCCTGGTGGGCTTCAGTAGGGTCTGTCCCCATGGTCCCTGGGTCCTTTCTTTGTGGTGGGTGGTGGCAAGCACACAGCTGCTTTTTGCAGAGAGAACTGGCAGAAGCTGAGGATGTGGTAGGCTTGGGAAGCTGCATGTCCTGTTGAGTTCATGGCAGGAGGTCCATTATCAGGAGAAGGAACCAGGAACTGGCCCAGATGAAGGAAAACCTTTGCCTTCTGGAGGAAGGAGGGCCACCGCCCTTCAGGGAGCACTTGCAGGCTCCATCCCCGAGGAGGGACCCCCACTCAAGGCACTTGGTGGAGGCATTGGGAGGAAACAGCAGCCATGGGCACCGTTGGAGGCAGAGGCATTCTGACTCAAGGGACGGGCCCACCTCTGGTTTCTGGCGCTGTTGACTTTAGCATGTGGTGAGTGTTGTGCCCTTGGGCATATGTGCACTGAGATCTTGAGGACTTCTGTTGGAGAAGTGTCTGTCTTCTTCTTTCTGTGGCATAGTTTTTTGGAACTGCCTCACGTGTGCCCTGTGTTATGGTCAGAATGTTTGTGTCTCCCCAAAATTCTTATGTTGACATTCTAACCCTCCATGGGATGGTGGCATTAGGAGATGGGGCCTTGGGGAGGTGATATGTTTTGTGAGTGGAGCCTCATGGGTGGGATTAGGGCCCTTATGAAAGGGACCCTAGAAAGCTCCCTCACACCTTTGGCTATGTGAGGATGCAGTAAGGAGGCACCATCTATGAACCAGGAAGTGGGTCTTCCCCAGACACCACATCTGTGGTGCCTTGACCTTGGACTTGCAGCCTCCAGAGCTGTGAGAAATAAGCAACTGTTTATAAGCCACCTAGTTTAGGGTAATTTTTAAACAGTAGCCCAAACTGGAGGAGACATCATGTTTTTATGCACATAGCTCTAGGAATTATGTTAATAAACAATAGAAACTCTTTTTTTTTTTGAGATGGAGTCTCGCTCTGTCACCCAGGCTGGAGTGCATTGGCGCGATCTCAGCTCACAGCAAGCTCTGCCTCCCAGGTTCACGCCATTCTCCCGCCTCAGCCTCCCGAGTAGCTGGGACTACAGGCGCCCGCCACCACACCCGGCTAATTTTTTGTATTTTTAGTAGAAACGGGGTTTCACCATGTTAGCCAGGATGGTCTCGATCTCCTGACCTCATGATCCGCCTGCTTTGGCCTCTCAAAGTGCTGGGATTACAGGCGTGAGCCACCGTGCCCGGCCTAGAAACTCTTTATAAAAAACATACAGGATTCCATGTTTCAGAAGTCTTTTAGACATGATTGTTTTCATTAGCTTTTTCAGTTATGTTAAGTTAATGTGTGTGCTAGAGACCAGGAGGTGTTCAGGGATGCTCCCAAGCCTGAGGTGCCATGGTCTGTTGAGGCCAAGGGTCCCTGTGGACAGGAGGTGTCATGGTGTAGGCTGAGGCGGCTGAGATAAGCCCCCATCATCAGAGCAGGAGTACTGGGGGGTCGGAAGTTACGTGGAGGCTGTGAGGCTGGCCTGGGGGTGTGGGTGGGATGGACTACCAGTGCAGAGGCTTGCGGCTCAGAGGTGGGCAGATCTGAAATGCCTTAGGGAGACACACCAGGGAATGTCACCCGTCGAGAGCCCTAGGCCTGCAAAGGCTGCTGATGCACAGAGGCTTTAGTTTTCTAACTTAATGCAAGCAACAAATCTATGATCCTGCTTGCCTGTGAGAAGGCGGGGGATATGGTGTCCCCACTTTTGGGGGGCGGGCATCCCATCCCTGCTGATACCTGGGACCCAGATCCACTGAATGGGAGAGCCCCTGGCCAGGCTTTGGCCCCCAGCCCTGCCTGCTGCTCCACCCTTGCTGGCCTTCTTCCTGGAGGCTGGGCCCCGGTCTCCATCGCCGTGCAGACCTCCCATTCCTCCTTCCTAACCCAGCTTCCCTGGGTCTGGCCCTTTGTCTGCCCAGGCTGGGATGCCCTTGAGATCCAGTCTCCTGTTTGCCTCTCCGCTCCTCTCCTGTTTGTACTCAGAGAACGGCTCTGGGAAACTGTAAACCATCCAGCGGGAAGAACCTGTGCCTGCATCCTCATGGTGGCCCTTTGAGGCTGTGCCTGCCTTATTTGGTCTCTCCTGACTCCCCCAGGTGCTTTGAGAGGCCGGCTGCACAGGGCTCATTTTTGACCTCTTGCTGGACTGTGCTGCTCTGCCTGCTGACCCTCATCCTTTAGGTTTCAGCTCAAGCACCAGGTCCTCAGGAAGGTGCCTCCCTGCCCTGCCGCTGTGTCCCCTAGCATCTGCCCTTTTCCCTCCAGAACTATCCATGGCCAGTGACTAGCCAGCCATCCGGATGTTCACTGGGGCAGTGATTCTCTGCCCTCAGCTGGAGCCCAGGAGGCATGAGGGGCTGGCTCTGTGTTGTTCACCAGATGCCTGTGCACAGGGCAGACACCTCCGTCCCAAAGTGGAGTGCTGTCTTGTCTTGCAGGGTGAACCCTCACCAGCACACTTTTACTGAGCAGGTGCGGCAGCTGGTGCATTGCGATGCCCACGGTGACCAAGGCTTCGAAGGGCTCGGAGTCTAGTGGGCTGGAGTAGTGAGCAGGAACAGGATCCCGTGTGAGGAGTGCTTTATCAGAGGTATTTGCAGCCTCCTTGGGAGCACAGAGGAGGGACAGGCAATTCTGGGAGGTGGGTGGGGCAGGGAGTGTGGGCATTGTCAGGACGATGGAGGAACTGCTGTGTTCTGATCATTTGTTTATGAATCTATCTGCTCCCCTGGGCCGACTGCCCCTACTATGATGCGATGCACTGCTGTTTCTTGGGTATCCTGAGTCTCAGCAAAGGGCCTAGAGCCCAGTAGGTGCACAGGGAATGTAAGTTGCATGACAATCCAGATGAATTTGTGCAGATAAACACCTGGCTCATTGATCCGCTCTTCTCTGGCAAATCCATGTGAAATGGCTCCAGATGTTATTTCCAAAGTTCTTTCCAGAACAATTGGAGGTGGTGAGTCCCCCAACCCTGAGGGCAAGCCCAGCCCCACCCTGGGGTTGACTTCTACCGGGGAACTGAGCTCAGCCCTCCCATCAGACTTGCCCCATCCAGAGAGGTGGCAACACGACAGAATCTCCCAGAAGCTCCCAAAGGGGAAGGAGGCACCCAGGCCAAATTTCATCTGAATAATTTCTGGTCGGTGGTGGTTATCCGATGGGAAGCAGCACTTCCCTGCCTCTAAATTCTGCTCCTCTGTTGCAATACAAAGCCTTTCTCAGCCGCCTCCACACGGACTTTACTCGTGGATTTTGTCTGAAATCCTTCCTGTTTTCTAACTCTGTGGCTGGGAAGAAGGCCTGGACCCCTCCCAGATGTTTCTCAACGGTCTGGGTTGTCAGGATTTGAGGTTTCTGCATGCCAGGGACGTCTGGGTTGTGTTAGTTGATTGTGCTGGTGGATTTTGATTTTTAAAACTCACTGAGTAGTGTAGCCAAGCTCATAAATCCAAGTATTTGTTTTGCAGTAACTGTGATCTGGAATTTTATGTTAAGTTGTGGGGTTGTTTTCTGTTGGTTTATTCAGATGGATGTAATGCTACTCTCTGGGTGTTCAAGGTCTGCCTAGGTGTGGCAGGGGGGCAAGGCCAAGTGGCAACTTCTGATTCCACATCCTCGAAGCCAGGGAAGAGGCAGTGCTGTGCTTCACGGAGCCCACGTGGGTATCAGCAACCCTGGGACACTGGCAGGCCTGAAGTGTTAAGAAATGTGAGGAGCGGCCGGGCATGGTGGCTGAAGCCTGTAATCCCAGCACTTTGGGAGGCTGAGGCAGGCGGATCACGAGGTCAGGAGATCGAGACCATCCTGGATAACATGGTGAAACCCCGTCTCTACTAAAAAAAACACAAAAAATTAGCAGGTGTGGTGGCGGGCGCCTGTAGTCCCAGCTACTCGGGAGACTGAGGCAGGAGAATGACATGAACCCGGGAGGCGGAGCTTGCAGTGAGCCGAGATTGTGCCACTGCACTCCAGCCTGGGCAACAGAGCGAGACTCCGTCTCAAAAAAAAAAAAAAAAAAAAAAAAAGAAATGTGAGGAGCTCTGTTCCAGAGGATGGAGTCGAAGCCTGGCCTCTGCATGACTCAGCCAGACGGCCCCTAACCTAGGGTGAGCATGGACAGGCAGGATCCCCTATCACCCTCGCCCCTCCAGCCAGCTCACTGTGGCTAGCATGGGTCTAGGAGGTGCCTACTGTGTTAGGTGCTGGCCACCCACACACAGGTGGACATCTGCCACCGGGCTGCTGGGCTAGTGAGGGACAAAGAAGTCCTGGACAGTCACACCCATGTGTGTGGGGGACTGGGGTTCTTGGGAGGGTGCTCCTGGTTTACATGGTGATGAGTGGCCCCACCGCTGGGGTCTGCTCACACACTGAGTGAGGTGGGGGACTTGTTTCCTTCCAAATGTGTATTTGAAGGAGACAATTACTAAGAGGGTTTCCTGAGTTAGACTTAAGATGTTTTTGAGGGATTGGTACCATCTTCTTTCTTTCCTTTCATTCTGCAATATTGTATAATATGATCCCTTTGAATATCTGATGGAGATGCAGAGACATTCTCCTTTGCACCCGTGCCTTGTGTTGGGGGGGGATATCTTAAATGGGGGGCAGGTTAACAACAAGGTAAAGAGACAACAAGGTTCGTCCTATACATAGATTATGTAAGTAATGTTAGGGATGGGAGCTGGCGCCCTGAGACGAAGCAGCAGGCGGGGCCTCAGTGGGTCTCACTGACTCTGGGCTTGATTCTCTGGACTGTGAAGTGGGCAGTGAGGCCTGGCTGGCCCTACTCACAGGCTGTTTGGAGGAACATGTGAGTCAAGGGACGTAAAAGGACTCTGTCAGCTCTTGAGTGCTTCATCAACATTAGTCAGTGCCGCAGCTGATTCAGTGTCCTATTTGTGAAGATTAAGTCCACCTCGATTGATTTCTGAGAGGCTCAAAGGTTAAACCTGTGATCTCCAGAGCCAGGCTGATGTGAGTTCAGACCTTAGCTCCACTGCCTCTCTGTGCTTCAGTTTCCCGGTCTGCCACATGAGGACAATAACTGATACTCATCAAGGGGTTGTGTGAGGATCAGATTCATGTCTGAGCACGTGAACCATGCCCATACGATAAGAATCCCTTGAGGGGGATAATGATTTATTTATTTATTTACTTATTTATTTATATTCTTTCTTGTAGAGATGGGGGTCTTACTGTTGCCCAGGCTGTTTTCCAACTCATAACCTCAAATAAGCCTGCCAACTTTGCCTCCCAAAGTGCTGGGAATTCAGGCGTCGGCCTCTGTGCCTGGCCCCAGTGATTATTTTTCGAGAAAAGAAAATCATTACGTGGAAAGAAAGAGAGAAAGAGTAAAACTGAATATCTGGGGATGAAAACTTCAAGAGTTTTAGGGGCTGTTGTCTTGAAGTGTGTTGCAGTGTTCTTGGGCAGATCTGGCGTGGGGAGGTGAGGATCTGTGAGGAGAGTGAGAACAGCAAATAGATAAGAGCATGGAGATGGCCGCCCTATGACATCGGCGGAGGGACCTTGCGGCGACATCCAATCCTACCTGTGCCACACGGGCGCACAGAGAGGGCTGCTCTGTCTCGAATGGGAGCATCTTGAGCCTTATCCCCATTCCTGAGTTTGTGTTCAACAGAGGGTGGTCTGGAGGGTTTAACTTCCCTTTTGGGAGGCACCTGGCTGAGGAAATGGTGCTGTGGGAGGCAGGCTGGGTGCAGCCAAGAGCCTTGGGCTCTCTGCAACCCCAGTCAACCTGCCACAAAGGCCTGTGCAAATACTGGAGTTTGTGAGAGTGACTATCTTGGTTGACTGATTCTTGATTGATTGATTATTGTTGACTGATTCTTGATTGATTGATTATTGATTGGTTGATGCCCTCAACAATTAATTTTATAGTGCCTTTTGGGTGGTGGCCTCCCTCAGGCTGTGTGACCCAGCTCCCTGTCACCTTCTCACCCATTTGCTGCTATTTTTCTTCTTGTCTCTTCAGACTTTTCTTGACCCCCGATACAGAAATGACTGTGGAACCCTCCCTCCGCCTTTAGGCTCCCGCTGCACCTTCCTGGAGTTACTTTCCTGTACCTCAGGTCATCCTGATTGAATCCACGGTTCCTGTTGATTTTCCTTTCCTCTTGCACTGCAGTGTACATTCATGAATGTTTTTTGTGTTCCCAATAGTATCCAGGTCCAGATCAGTTTCTGCCCTGTTGTAGGTGTCCAGGACATATTTATAGGCTTACAAAATGTTTCAGCTGTGGGTATTAATGAATACTGGTGGAATTAAGGAGGGAATAAAAGGTAGAAGTATTTAGTTTGGTGAGTATTAACTTGTGGTTAGCTTTGTATCTTTACAAACATCTGGTTTGTTGGAGGTGGTGAAGGTCCCTGCGGGTGAGCTCTTCCCCTTCCCTTTCCCGACGAGACTTATCTGAGGCTTGCCCTGTGGGTGGCTTTCGGGGGTAAAGATTGGTAATGACACCTTTCCTCTAGGTTTCTTTTGTCAAGCGTGGGGCTGCAGGACGCTGTGGCTGGTAGCCCTGGTAAGATGAGTGTGATTTGAAGCGGGGCTTGTGGAGACCATCCAGGAAAACAGCACAGCAGGGTTTCTATTGCAAGGTTGGGCGTTCTTGTCTTCAGTCAACATTGGCCAGCCTCCAGTAGGACCATAGAATTGGCACACCCCATGACACTGTGAAGGAAAAAGAGCCTGTGTAAGTACACCAGGCTGAATTGGGATACAACACATGAGCTAGATTTTTGTTTGTTTGTTTTTGAGACGGAGTTTTGCTCTTGTTGCCCAGGCTGGAGTGCAGTGCTGTGGTCTTGGCTCACTGCAACCTCCGCCTCCTGGGTTCAAGTGATTCTCCTGCCTCAGCTTCCCGAGTAGCTGGGATTACAGGCGCCCACCACCACGCCTGGCTAATTTTTGTAGTTTTAGTAGAGTTGGGGTTTCACCATGTTGGCCAGGCTGGTCTCGAACTCCTGACCTCAGATGATCCACCCACCTCGGCCTCCCAAAGTGCTGGGATTATAGCCGTGAGCCACTGCTCCTGACCCACAAGAGCTAGATTTTTATTTGTGTGTGTTTGTGTATCTTCACAGGAAATCATTTTAGCCATTGCTCTTGTCAGCGTAGTAGGAGGAGGACGGACCTGGCCCATCTCCTTACGTGCTGCCGCATGTGTAGATGGGGCATTAGCAGGGTAGGGGGTGCTGCTTACTGAGTTGGAGCTGGGAGCCGGGCACAGTCACTGTGGGTGTAGAACGGGGTAGAGGCAGGATGTGGGGATGCTGCAGCTCATTGAGTTGAGATGGGGTCCTGATAGTCACTGCAGGTGTAGACAAGGCAGAGGCAGGATGGGAGGATGCTGCTCACTGAGTTGAGATGGGGTCCTGGCAGTCACTGCAAGTTTAGATGGGACAGAGGCAGGATGTGAGGACTCTGCTCACTGAGTTGAGATGGGGTCCTGGCAGTCACTGCAAGTGTAGATGGGAGCCTGGCAGAGTCAGGGATGGGCTGCTCCACAGGAAGCTGTGGCCCTGGACAGTTGCACCCTATTTCTGTTCCTCAGTGCCGTGATCTTTACAATTTGTACATTAGAGTAGTTAATCTCTAGGATTTTCTCTTTCTCAATAGACTATATAGAGACCACTCCCCAAATAGACAATTTCATAGTGTTCTCTACTAATAATTCACATATGTCATATACATTTGCATTTTGATCCCTTTGTGTACATGCTACCTGGAAACAACAAGGTATTCCCTTTACATAGATTATGTAAGTCATCATGCATCACAGTGATGTGACGTTTTGGTAGAGGTGTTCTTTCTTTGGCTTATTTCTGGGGAAGCAGCAGAGCGTGGTGGAGGTGAGGTGGATGGTGGAGACAGCCTGCCAGCATTCCTGCTCTGCCTCTTTCTGCTTAGAGTCATTGTGAGGAATAGCAGGGTAAATACACATGAAACACAAAGAACACTGAGGAGCTCCAGAAAGTGTTCAATGGTGTCAGTAATGACGATGGTGATAATGATATTGTTAGTGATGGTGATGAGGGTGGCAATGGTATGCCGATAATGATGTTGTAATTGATGGTGATGATGGTAACGATGATGGTGATGGTGGGTGGTGGCGTGATTGATGATGATGGTATATTAGTGATGATGGTGTTGATGGGGATGGTGATGATGATGGTATGATGTTGGTGAAGATGGTGATGGTCAAGATGATCATGATGGTGATGGTGAGTGGTGATGGTGTAATTGATGGAGATGATGATGGTGATGGTGTGGTTGATGGTGACCATGGCACTGGTGATTATGTTGACATGATGATGGTGATGGTGACGATGTTGATGAATGGTGACAATGATGGTGATGATGATGTTGATGACAGCAATGATAGTGCTGTGACTGGTGATGGTGATAGTGATAGTGTAGTTGATGGTGATAGTAACAATGGCAATGGTAACGATTGTGATGATGATGCTGATCGTGATGATACTGATGGTGATGATAGATGGAGAAGGGTTAGGGGCATATTCTGTGATGCAGGCCAGTATTTCTACCGTTCCTTTTCTGGCTCATTCTTGGACTTTCAGGTCCCTGACTTTCACATTTTAACCTCCTAGTTAAATGCAAATTTCATATGTGGTTAAGTAGAAAGAAAACATTTCATCTTTTAAAAACTGTTATGTTAACATGTAAGGGCCCTGTTATCTCTACTCTTGGAACTTTAAGTAAGGGAAAGAAAAGATAGAAATGACATTGAGCAATGGGGTTAAGTGTCCAGTTGTGGTTTTTCTTACACTCCTCAAAACCTTGCTGGTGTGCTCATACCATCAGTTAGGACTCTGAGGCAACCCGTTCTCACTACATGTCACTGAGTTCCCTTGGGTGGCCTAACATGGTCCAGTTGCCATTGATATCCCAAAATGGTTGTATTTCACAGAGGACAGAGGAAGGTGCTGTTATGGGTGAGTCTCGGCATTCTGGAATTGAGTAGATTCGGCCCCAAAAGTTACAAGTTTTGTGGGACTTGGTCCCTGGAAGAAGGTAGATCCAGGGAGGATCCAGGGTCAGACCACGCATAAATGCTCCCCATTTGAGAGATGGTTTTCTGGGATCTAATAGTGGAATCAGCGAGACTATCATGGAATGAGACAGGATGGCACAGAATAAAGAAGTGCTGCAACAAGAGAGACAGCTGTAGGGAAGGCCTAAAGGAGATGAGAGTTGAGAAAGGAAGCAAGGAGAAAGGAGAAAAGAAGCAAGGAGAAAGCTGAGAAAGGAGACCAGAGGGAAAGTGGGATGAAGGGAGTTTTGTAAGAAAGATTTGGTAATGGGTTGTTCCACGCAGTTAACCCAACATTATTAAGCACCTGCTAGGAGAGAAAGATGAGAGTTTTGTGTCCTGTCTTTGAGTCCATCGGAGTCAGCAATACACTAAGTGATTACAGATAAAGGTTTGGAGATAGACGGGCAGGTCGGTAGGTGTGTGTTTTTTGCTTTGGGCCAGGTGCAGTATTAGGACTTCAGGAGAACATGGTAGTTATTTAAAACTAACAAGGCAACAATGGGGTCATGGGGTTGAGCAGTGAATGTGGGCATTGGGCAGGCCTTGTCTGGCGGTCCCCCGCTGTGGGTTAATCAGTCCCCTCCTGCCTTGTGGAGCCTGTTACTGGGACACAGAGAGGCTGGCAAACTTGACAGTTGATGCTAGGAGAAGCAGAGGGTGACTCACAGGCTTGTTTATAACTTGGTCAATATGTTTCGAGTGTTGTATAAAAGATTCTGACAACCCTGTAAGACAGTGGCCTGGATTCCCAAGGCTCGTGGAGACGTTGTGAAGAATAGCAGTTCCAAGACAACATATAAAAATGTTGGGCGTTTGCAAGCCAGACAGCTCTGGGCTGTAACTGCTGCAGCGGGAGCCAGGATTCTTAAACATGAGTCTGGAAACCTCGTCTGACAAGGGAACTGATGTGTGGTTTGCAGACTGTCAGCTGTGGAGCCGAGTGTTCAGGCAAAGCCACGAGAAGGGGCCTGCCACACACCAGCTCAGACGCCGGAGGGTAAGCTGGGCTGGAGAAGGTTCAGGCTCCTCACAGGAAAACGCTTTTGGTGGAGCCTACTTGCATGGAATGTCACTGACCCTCTCACTTGAGATTTTTCAGCTTTTCAGTTTTTGCAAGTTGATGGATGAAAAGTGATGTCTCCTTTTTATTATGTTTTTCATTCATCTGGTGATTACATGAGGTTGAACATCTAAAAAGATACAAAAAAGCTGCCTGCAGCATTTCTGTTTACTTAGCAAAGTAGCCTTTCAAATCCTTTGTTCATTGCTTATTTAAAAATTAGATTATTTTAGGGCGTGGTGAGGTGGCTTATGCTTGTAATCCCAGCATTTTGGGACGCCGAGGCGGGAGAATCGATCGAAACCGGGAGTTCAAGACCAGCCTGGGCAACAAAACAAGACCCCATTTCTACAAAAAATTTAAAAATTGGCCTGCACAGTGGCACGCGCCAATGGTCCCAGCTACCCTAGAGGCTGAGGCAGGAGGATTGCTTCAGCCTGTAAATTTGAGGCTGCAGTGAGCTATGATCATGCCACTGCACTCCAGCCTGGGTGACAGTGAGACCTCATCTCTAAAAAGAAAAAAATAAATAACATTTTGAAAATTAATAAATTTAAAAATCATTTTTTTAAATTTCTGAGACTTCACTATATTATGAATACTAAATCTTATCTGTGATATTAGGCAGAACTTTTGCCAATTTCTAATGACATTTGTCCTCAGAAAAGGTCAGTTTCTTATCTTTCCACTTTGTACATTGCAAACATTCCAGTCAGTTGCTTGTCTAAGTTT